>NC_000011.10:110202727-110505757 GCF_000001405.40 Homo sapiens
GTTTTTTTTTTAAAAGTAAAGACATACAAATGGCAGCAGATATATGAAAAGGTGCTCAACATCATTGAGCATCAGAGAAATGCAAACCAAAACTGCAATGAGATAATCATCTTACCCCAGTTAAGATGGCTTTTATCCTATTAAGACAGGTAATAACAAATGCTGGTGAGGATGTGAAGAAAAGGGAACCTTTGTACACTGTTGGTGAGACTGTAAATTAGTACAACCACTATAGAGAACAGTATGGAGCTACCATATGATCCAGCAACCCCACTACTGTGTATATACCCCCCAAAAAGAAAATCATTATATCAAAAAGATACCTGCACTCCCATATTAACTGCAACACTACTCACAATAGCCAAGATTTGGAAGCAACCTAAGTGTCCATCAACAGATGAATGGATAAAGAAAATGTGGTACTTGCATACAATGGAGTACTATTCAGCCATAAAGAATAATGAGATCCTGTCATTTGCAACTACATGGATGGAACTGGAGATGGCTAATGTTAAGTTAAATAAGCCAAGCACAGAAGGACAAAAATTGTATGTTCTCACTGATTTGTGGGATCTAAAAATAAAAATAATTAAACTCATGGAGATAGAGAGTAAAAGGATGGTTACCAGAGGGTAAGAAGGGTAGTGGGGAAGCAGGAGGTTGGGAGGTGAGAATTGTTAATGGGTAAAAAAAAAAAAAAAAAAAGTAGAAAGAATGAATAAGACCTAGTATTTGACAGCACAAGGTGACTATAATCAATAATAATTTAATTGTACATTTAAAAATAACTAAAAGGGTATAATTAGATTATTTGTAACACAAAGGAGAAAAGCTTGAGGGGATGGATACCCCATTTTCCATATGTGATTATTACACATTGCATGCTTGTATCAAAATATCTCATGTCCCCCATAAATATATACTTATGTGCCCACAAAAATTAAAAATAAATTTTTTAAATAAAATTTTTAGTAGCATCATCTACAAAAAAGTTTTAAAAATTAAAAAATTAAAGTACACACACACGGTTGGTTACCTCAATATACTCAGAAATTGCGTTTAATAAATTTAAAACCCTCTTTTTATTTAAAAAGAAAAAACTCTTAGAAAAATATGTATATGTATGTAAAAGGAAGTTTCATAAATCTGATAAAAGTCATATACTAAAAATTAGGCTGGTGCCATGTGCCTATAGTCCCAGCTATTCAGGGGGCTGAGGTGGGAGGATCACTTGAGCCTGGGAAATGGAGGGTGCAGTGAGCCAAGATAACGCCACTGCACTCCAGCCTGAGTGACAGAGTGAGACCCCATCTCAAACAAGAAAAGAAATGAGACACCACTTATGTTCCACATGGGACTGGAAATTGCAGCCAGTCAACTCAGTAAGAAACAGAATAAAAGTTTTATGGATGGAGAAGACTGAAAACTATAATTATTTGCAGAAAATGAAGAAAGTCTGTGTAGAAAGCCCAAAAGACTTCACAAATTATTAGAAACGGTGAGAATGAAACAAGGTTCCTTAATTTAAGGTCAGCAAAAAAAAAAAAAAATCAACTGCATTCTCTACACCAGCCAGAAATAGTTTTCAAATGTAACTCTGAAAATGACAGCAAAAAGATGATTAATAATAAATCTAACAAAATAAATACATGATCTTAATGCAAAAATTTAAACAACTTTACTGAATGGCATCAAGGAAGACTTGGTGGAAAGACACTGCATATTCATGATTAGGAATGCTTAATATTGTACAGCTGTAATTACTTTTCTTTCTTTTTTTTTTTTCCTTTTTTTTTTTTTTTTTTTGAGACAGAGTTTCACTCTTCTTGCCCAGGCTGGAGTGCAATGGCGCAAACTCGGCTCACTGCAACTTCCGCCTCCCGGGTTCAAGCGATTCTCCTGCCTCAGCCTCCCGAGTAGCTGCGATTACAGGCACACGCCACCATGCCCGGTTAATTTTTGTATTTGTAGTAGAGACGGGGCTTTACCATGTTGGTCAGGCTGGTCTCGATCTCCTGACCTCGTGATCTGCCTGCCTTGGCCTCCCAAAGTGCTGGGATTACAGGCGTGAGCTACCGTGCCCGGCCGTACAGCTGTAATTTCTTACCAAATTAATCTGTTAATACATTTCCAAGCAAAAGTCCCCAAAGTATTTTTTCCCATACAGGTTACACGAATTTATGCAGAAGAACAAAGAACCAAAACTAGTCAGGAGCCTATTTTACAAACAAGGTGTAGCAACTTTTTAAGAAAGCTCAACCAGATATCAAGACTTGTTAAAAAGCAAAGGCTGTAGTAATTAAGACAGAATAGTATTGACACAGGGATAGAAACACTGACCAATGCAACAGATGAGAGTATAACAGAACAGAGGAAGAAATATGAAAGAAATGGCAATGGGATCAATAGGAAAAGGATGAACTGTTAAATAAAGTATCAAGACAACTAGTCATCTAGACAAAAAAATAAAATAAAATTGGATCCATACTTCATACCATGCACAAAAGTTATTTATAGCTGGACTAAAGATTTAAATGTAAAAATAACCAAACTTTTAGATGAAAATATAGGAAAATATCTTCATGACATAAAGTGAGAGAATAATTTCTTAAAACAAGACACACACAAGAAAAAATCCCCACAAATTATGAGGAGAATAATTTATAAATTAAGCTACAAGAAATTGTAAAACGTTTACCTATCCAAAAAAAAAAAAAAAAAAAAACCACCATAAAAAGCCAAAGAGACAAGGTAAGCCATGGAAGGAAATCTCTCTAAAACATTTAAATGTCAAAAGATTAGTAACCACAATGGAAAGAAATTATCTGAATTAACTGGATCAAGATAAACAATCTAATAAAAAACAGGCAAAAAAAAAGTTATTTCAAAGAAAATGAAACATGAAAGGCCTTTAAAGAAAAATTATGTTATATTAGTAATTAACAAAATGCAAATTATTAATAAAAGCACAATGTCATCTTAAACCTATCAAATCGGCAGAAATTGAAAAGTTTAGTGATATGAAGTGTGGCGAAGATGTGGATATAGCCTTACTTTAGGAAACAATTGATGGTTACATAGTAAAGTTGAAGATGTGCATATTCCATAATGACAGACAACTCCCCTCCCTAGGTCTCTGCTGTAGAAATACTGTTGTGCTTATTCACTAGAAAACATGAATAGAAGACAAAAATATCTGTGGCTATATTGTTTAAAGATTTTAAAAAATACTCGTAACAATCCTATAGCCAGACGCAGTGGCTCATGCCTGTAATCCCAGCACTTTGGGAGACCAAGACTGGTGGATTACTTGATGTCAGGAGTTCAAAACCAGCCTGGCCAAAATGGTGAAACCCTGTCTCTACTAAAAATAAAAAAAATTAGCTGGGTGTGGTGGTGGGTCCCCGTAATCCCAGCTGCTTGGGAGGCTGCAGCAGGAGAATTGCTTGAACCCAGGAGGCAGAGGTTGCAGTGAGCCAAGATCATGCCATTGCACCCCAGCCTGGACGACAGAGTGAGAGTCCATCTCAAAAAAAAAAAAAAAAAAATACTGGTAACAATCCAAATGTCCACCATTGGGGGAACTGATAAATTGTAGTGCACTCATAAAATAAATACAGCAGTGAAAATGAACCACAGCTATATTCATCAAAATGGATGTGCATGTGTGTGTAATAAAATTATGTTTTGAGAACTTCATCACGAATTACAAAAAAAAAACTAGTTGTATAAAGTTCATGTGTGGGCAAAACTAGACATTATATTGTTGTAGATACAAACACAGATAGTAAAAGCTAAGAAACGGATGACGTGATGGAGAGGAACATGCAGTGCCAGTTACTGGCAACATACTATTTTTCAAACTGATACATGAGTATCTAATATATATACATATATTCCATCATTTATATTTCTACTAGATGCATTTCATTCTCTAATACTGTTATAAATGAATCTCTAGTTTTTAAGTGTTTAAAAACAGAAAGTAATGAAGGAAAAATACTACAATAGATGGGGAAGTTATGAATTTTGTTCCAAATATCTTTGGTCTTTGAGCCATTCGAATTTCAAAGGTCTCAAAGAAACTATGTAGAAGTCAATAGTTACTCTAAGGACACTGAGTAAAAGAAGCAACTGTGTTATTTCCACAGTATTGGGTTGGAGTGAGACCCAAACGAGCAATTCTCAAAGTGTGGTCCCAAAACAGCAGCATCAGACTCACCTTTAAAACACGCAATTATTTTATTTTATTTTATTTTTTTTGTGGCATGGTCTCGCTCTGTTGCCCAGGCTGGAGTGCAGTGGCATGATCTCAGCTCACTGTAACCTCCACCTCCTGAGGTTCAGCCAATTCTCAAGCCTCAGCCCCCCTAGTAGCCAGGATTACAGGTGTGCACTACCATGCCCAACTAAGTTTTGTATTTTTGGTAGAGACAGTGTTTCACCACGTTAGCCAGGCTGGTCTCGAACTCCTGGCCTCAAGTGATCCGCCCGCCTCAGCCTTCCAACATGCTGGGATTACAGGCCTGAGCCACCGCACCTGGCCATAAATGCACATTCTTGAGCAGCTGCATAGATCTACTGAATGTGAAACCTGAGGAGGGCACCCTGCAATCTGTGTTTTAACAAGCCCTCCAAGTGATTCTGATGCACGCTAGTGTGAGAACCACTGCCAAAAGTTGTTCAAGTATCTAAGAAATCCCTTCATTATAACAAAATAAGACCTCCCTAGGGTCACATCAAAATATTAATAGTCATCCAGACAGAAAGACACAGCACTGGCCCTTAGGAGAACATTAGTTTTTAAAAACCTTTAACTCAGGAGGCTCGTTGGCCAAACCCAGCTTCCCATCTGTTTTTGTACAGAATGTGATTTAAGAATGTTTTTTACCTTTTTTTTTTAAACAAATCAGAGGAAGAATATTTTGTGACACATGAATTGTATGAAATTCAGAGTTAAGTGTCCATAAATAAAATTTTATGGGAACACAAACATGCTCATTATTTACATATAGCTGCTTATGCACTACAACAGCAGAGTTGTATAGCTGGGACAGAGACAACTGGCCTGCAAAGTCCAAAATGTTTAGTATCTGGGCCTTTTCATAAAGATCATTTGCCCTATTTGCTCTAATTTGATAGAATCTACTAGTCTAAAAGCAAAATATAATTACAGTAATTTTCTGTTGAAAACGCAATTTTCATTTTAATTACACACAGGCAAAAATCTAATAAAGAATCATAAGGAAGTTGAATCAGATTTTTTTTTTTTTTTTAATAGAGACGGGGCACCATATTGCCCAGGCTGGTCTCAAACTCCTGGGCTCAGGTGGTCTCCCGCCTTGGCCTACCAAAGTGCTGGGGTTACAGGCATGAGCCACCATGCCCGGCCCAGATCTATTTTTATCTACAAAGCCATTCAAATAACCCACACAGAGCATCTGAAAAATGTTACTAACGCTTTCTCTCTTCAAATTTCTAATAAATGACAAAGAATTGCACAAAGAATTGACTGGTACATTTCAATGAAATACTCATTCAGTTCTGAAAACGAATGTAGCGTTCTCCTCTGGCATTTATTCGGGAGGTTAACTCAAACTATAAGCCTGTCTCAAATGCTGCCTGATAACTTCATTTTTCAGCTCTCACAGTGGCCACCCTCCTCGCTGGCTCTCTTCTACATGCTAAAACTCACCAAGAGCCTTCTTCCCTTTGATCCTCAACCTCGAATTTTCTCCAGACTGAGTTCAGTTCTTATCACTGAAGACTTGCTCACTGAGTTCCTGAATTATTTTATTCAACACCTATTGGGTGGCTTAAAAAGCCTTCTATCCACATCCATCTTCACTTCTCCAATTTCAACTTTCCTCTAGATTTTGAATATTTCTTGAGCACAGACTCTTCTTTGATTTCTAGGGCTTTAACAATCATTTATTAATTTAAAAAAATAGCCAGGTGTGGAGGTTAACGCCTATAATCCCAACACTTTGGGAGGCTGTCAGGCGGATCACTTGAGGCCAGGAGTTCAAGACCACCCTGGCCAACATGATGAAACCCCTTCTCTATAAAAATACAAAAATTACCTGGGGGTAGTGGCGGCCACCTGTAATCACAGCTACTCCGGAGGCTGAGGCAGAAGAATCATTTGAACCCAGGAGGCAGAGGTTGCATTGAGCAGAGATCACGTCATTACACTCTAGCCTGGGCAACAAGAGCAAAACTCTGTCTCAAAGTAATACTTTTAAAAAATATAATGCGGAAGATGGCCGAATAGGAACAGCTCCGGTCTACAGCTCCCAGCGTGAGCGACGCAGAAGACGGGTGATTTCTGCATTTCCATCTGAGGTACCGGGTTCATCTCACTAGGGAGTGCCAGAGAGTGGGCACAGGTCAGTGGATGCGCGCACCGTGCGCGAGCTGAAGCAGGGCGAGGCATTGCCTCACTTGGGAAGCCCAAGAGGTCAGGGAGTTCCCTTTCTGAGTCAAAGAAAGGGGTGACGGACGGCACCTGGAAAATCGGGTCACTCCCACCCGAATACTGCGCTTTTCCGACGGGCTTAAAAAACGGCGCACCACGAGATTATATCCGGCACCTGGCTCGGAGGGTCCTACGCCCACGGAGTCTCGCTGATTGCTAGCATAGCAGTCTGAGATCAAACTGCAAGGCGGCAGCGAGGCTGGGGGAGGGGCGCCCGCCATTGCCCAGGCTTGATTAGGTAAACAAAGCAGCCGGGAAGCTCGAACTGGGTGGAGCCCACCACAGCTCAAGGAGGACTGCCTGCCTCTGTAGGCAGCACCCTGGGGGCAGGGCACAGACAAACAAAAAGACAGCAGTAACCTCTGCAGACTTAAATGTCCCTGTCTGACAGCTTTGAAGAGAGCAGTGGTTCTCCCAGCACGCAGCTGGAGATCTGAGAACGGGCAGACTGCCTCCTCAAGTGGGTCCCTGACCCCTGACCCCCGAGCAGCCTAACTGGGAGGCACCCCCCAGCAGGGGCACACTGACACCTCACACAGCAGGGTACTCCAACAGACCTGCAGCTGAGGGTCCTCTCTGTTAGAAGGAAAACTAACAAACAGAAAGGACATCCACACCAAAAACCCATCTGTACATCACCATCATCAAAGACCAAAAGTAGATAAAACCGCAAAGATGGGGAAAAAACAGAACAGAAAAACTGGAAACTCTAAAAAGCAGAGTGCCTCTCCTCCTCCAAAGGAACGCAGTTCCTCACCAGCAACGGAACAAAGCTGGATGGAGAATGACTTTGACGAGCTGAGAGAAGAAGGCTTCAGACGATCAAATTACTCTGAGCTACGGGAGGACATTCAAACCAAAGGCAAAGAAGTTGAAAACTTTGAAAAAAATTTAGAAGAATGTATAACTAGAATAACCAATACAGAGAAGTGCTTAAAGGAGCTGATGGAGCTGAAAACCAAGGCTCGAGAACTACGTGAAGAATGCAGAAGCCTCAGGAGCCGATGCAATCAACTGGAAGAAAGGGTATCAGCCATGGAAGATGAAATGAATGAAATGAAGCGAGAAGGGAAGTTTAGAGAAAAAAAGAATAAAAAGAAATGAGCAAAGCCTCCAAGAAATATGGGACTATGTGAAAAGACCAAATCTACATCTGATTGGTGTACCTGAAAGTGATGGGGAGAATGGAACCAAGTTGGAAAACACTCTGCAGGATATTATCCAGGAGAACTTCCCCAATCTAGCAAGGCAGGCCAACATTCAGATTCAGGAAATACAGAGAACACCACAAAGATACTCCTCGAGAAGAGCAACTCCAAGACACATAATTGTCAGATTCACCAAAGCTGAAATGAAGGAAAAAATGTTAAGGGCAGCCAGAGAGAAAGGTCGGGTTACCCTCAAAGGGAAGCCCATCAGACTAACAGCGGATCTCTCGGCAGAAACCCTACAAGCCAGAAGAGAGTGGGGGCCAATATTCAACATTCTTAAAGAAAAGAATTTTCAACCCAGAATTTCATATCCAGCCAAATTAAGCTTCATAAGTGAAGGAGAAATAAAATACTTTACGGACAAGCAAATGCTGAGAGATTTTGTCACCACCAGGCCTGCCTTACAAGAGCTCCTGAAGGAAGCACTAAACATGGAAAGGAACAACCAGTACCAGCCATTGCAAAATCATGCCAAAATGTAAAGACCATCGAGACACTAGGAAGAAACTGCATCAACTAACGAGCAAAATAACCAGCTAACATCATAATGACAGGATCAAATTCACACATAACAATATTCACTTTAAATGTAAATGGACTAAATGATCCAATTAAAAGACACAGACTGGCAAATTGGATAAAGAGTCAAGACCCATCAGTGTGCTGTATCCAGGAAACCCAACTCATGTGCAGAGACACACATAGGCTCAAAATAAAAGGATGAAGATCTACCAAGCCAATGGAAAACAAAAAAAGGCAGGGGTTGCAATCCTAGTCTCTGATAAAACAGACTTTAAACCAACAAAGATCAAAAGAGACAAGGCCATTACATAATAGTAAAGGGATCAATTCAGCAAGAAGAGCTAACTATCCTAAATATATATGCACCCAATACAGGAGCACCAAGATTCATAAAGCAAGTCGTGAGTGACCTACAAAGAGACTTAGACTCCCACACATTAATAATGGGAGACTTTAACACCCCACTGTCAACATTAGACAGATCAACGAGACAGAAAGTCAACAAGGATACCCAGGAATTGAACTCAGCTCTGCACCAAGCAGACCTAATAGACATCTACAGAACTCTCCACCCCAAATCAACAGAATATACTTTTTTTTCAGCACCACACCACACCTATTCCAAAATTGACCACATACTGGGAAGTAAAGCTCTCCTCAGCAAATGTAAAAGAACAGAAATTATAACAAACTATCTCTCAGACCACAGTGCAATCAAACTAGAACTCAGGATTAAGAATCTCACTCAAAACCACTCAACTACATGGAAACTGAACAACCTGCTCCTGAATGACTACTGGGTACATAACGAAATGAAGGCAGAAATAAAGATGTTCTTTGAAACCAACGAGAACAAAGACACAACATACCAGAATCTGTGAGACGCATTCAAAGCAGTGTGTAGAGGGAAATTTATAGCACTAAATGCCCACAAGAGAAAGCAGGAAAGATCCAAAATTGACACCCTAACATCACAATTAAAACAACTAGAAAAGCAAGAGCAAACACATTCAAAAGCTAGCAGAAGGCAAGAAATAACTAAAATCAGAGCAGAACTGAAGGAAATAGAGACACAAAAAACCCTTCAAAAAATTAATGAATCCAGGAGCTGGTTTTTTGAAAGGATCAACAAAATTGATAGACCGCTAGCAAGACTAATAAAGAAAAAAAGAGAGAAGAATCAAATAGACGCAATAAAAAATGATAAAGGGGATATCACCACCGATCCCACAGAAATACAAACTACCATCAGAGAATACTACAAACACCTCTATGCAAATAAAATAGAAAATCTGGAAGAAATGGATAAATTCCTGGACACATACATTCTCCCAAGACTAAACCAGGAAGAAGTTGAATCTCTGAATAGACCAATAACAGGAGCTGAAATTGTGGCAATAATCAATAGCTTACCAACCAAAAAGAGTCCAGGACCAGATGGATTCACAGCCGAATTCTACCAGAGGTACAAGGAGGAACTGGTACCATTCCTTCTGAAACTATTCCAATCAATAGAAAAAGAGGGAATCCTCCCTAACTCATTTTATGAGGCCAGCATCATTCTGATACCAAAGCCGGGCAGAGACACAACCAAAAAAGAGAATTTTAGACCAATATCCTTGATGAACATTGATGCAAAAATCCTCAATAAAATACTGGCAAAACGAATCCAGCAGCACATCAAAAAGCTTATCCACCATGATCAAGTGGGCTTCATCCCTGGGATGCAAAGCTGGTTCAATATACGCAAATCAATAAATGTAATCCAGCATATAAACAGAGCCAAAGACAAAAACCACATGATTATCTCAATAGATGCAGAAAAAGCCTTTGACAAAATTCAACAACGCTTCATGCTAAAAACTCTCAATAAATTAGGTATTGATGGGATGTATTTCAAAATAATAAGAGCTATCTATGACAAACCCACAGCCAATATCATACTGAATGGGCAAAAACTGGAAGCATTCCCTTTGAAAACTGGCACAAGACAGGGATGCCCTCTCTCACCACTCCTATTCAACATAGTGTTGGAAGTTCTGGCCAGGGCAATTAGGCAGGAGAAGGAAATAAAGGGTATTCAATTAGGAAAAGAGGAAGTCAAATTGTCCCTGTTTGCAGACAACATGATTGTATATCTAGAAAACCCCATTGTCTCAGCCCCAAATCTCCTTAAGCTGATAAGCAACTTCAGCAAAGTCTCAGGATACAAAATCAATGTAGTACAAAAATCACAAGCATTCTTATACACCAACAACAGACAAACAGAGAGCCAAATCATGAGTGAACTCCCATTCACAATTGCTTCAAAGAAAATAAAATACCTAGGAATCCAACTTACAAGGGATGTGAAGGACCTCTTCAAGGAGAACTACAAACCACTGCTCAAGGAAATAAAAGAGGATACAAACAAATGGAAGAACATTCCATGCTCATGGGTAGGAAGAATCAATATTGTGAAAATGGCCATACTGCCCAAGGTAATTTACAGATTCAATGCCATCCCCATCAAGCTACCAATGACTTTCTTCACAGAATTGGAAAAAACTACTTTAAAGTTCATATGGAACCAAAAAAGAGCCCGCATCGCCAAGTCAATCCTAAGCCAAAAGAACAAAGCTGGAGGCATCACACTACCTGACTTCAAACTATACTACAAGGCTACAGTAACCAAAACAGCATGGTACTGGTACCAAAACAGAGATATAGATCAATGGAACAGAACAGAGCCCTCAGAAATAACGCCGCATATCTACAACTATCTGATCTTTGACAAACCTGAGAAAAACAAGCAATGGGGAAAGGATTCCCTATTTAATAAATGGTGCTGGGAAAACTGGCTAGCCATATGTAGAAAGCTGAAACTGGATCCCTTCCTTACACCTTATACAAAAATCAATTCAAGATGGATTAAAGACTTAAACGTTAGACCTAAAACCATAAAAACTCTAGAAGAAAACCTAGGCATTACCATTCAGGACATAGGCATGGGCAAGGACTTCATGTCTAAAACACCAAAAGCAATGGCAACAAAAGACAAAATTGACAAATGGGATCTAATTAAACTAAAGAGCTTCTGCACAGCAAAAGAAACTACCATCAGAGTGAACAGGCAACCTACAAAATGGGAGAAAATTTTCGCAACCTACTCATCTGACAAAGGGCTAATATCCAGAATCTACAATGAACTCAAACAAATTTACAAGAAAAAAACAAACAACCCCATCAAAAAGTGGGAGAAGGACGTGAACAGACACTTCTCAAAAGAAGACATTTATGCAGCCAAAAAACACATGAAAAAATGCTCATCATCACTGGCCATCAGAGAAATGCAAATCAAAACCACAATGAGATACCATCTCACACCAGTTAGAATGGCAATCATTAAAAAGTCAGGAAACAACAGGTGCTGGAGAGGATGTGGAGAAATAGGAACACTTTTACACTGTTGGTGGGACTGTAAACTAGTTCAACCATTGTGGAAGTCAGTGTGGCGATTCCTCAGGGATCTAGAATTGGAAATACCATTTGACCCAGCCATCCCATTACTGGGTATATACCCAAAGGACTATAAATCATGCTGCTATAAAGACACATGCACACGTATGTTTATTGCAGCATTATTCACAATAGCAAAGACTTGGAACCAACCCAAATGTCCAACAATGATAGACTGGATTAAGAAAATGTGGCACATATACACCATGGAATACTATGCAGCCATAAAAAATGATGAGTTCATGTCCTTTGTAGGGACATGGATGAAATTGGAAATCATCATTCTCAGTAAACTATCGCAAGAACAAAAAACCAAACACCACATATTCTCACTCATAGGTGGGAATTGAACAATGAGATCACATGGACACAGGAAGGGGAATATCACACTCTGGGGACTGTTGTGGGGTGGGGGGAGGGGGCAGGGATAGCATCGGGAGATATACCTAATGCTAGATGACAAGTTAGTGGGTGCAGCGCACCAGCATGGCACATGTATACATATGTAACTAACCTGCACAATGTGCACTTGTACCCTAAAACTTAAAGTATAATAAAAAAAAAATGAAAAAAATAAAAAAAACATTTAGGAGACCTAACAAAAAAAAAAAAAATATATATATATATATATATAATGCTTTCGGCTGGGTGCAGTGGCTTATGCCTGTGATCCCAGCACTTTGGAAGGCCGAGGTGGGCGGATCACGAGGTCAGGAGATCGAGACAATCCTGGCTAACATGGTGAAACCCTGCCTCTACTTAAAAAATACAAAACATTGGCCGGGCGTGATGGGTGGGCGCCTGTAGTCCCAGCTACTCAGGAGGCTGAGGCAGGAGAATGGCATGAACCCGGGAGGCAGAGGTTGCAGTGAGCTGAGATCGTGCCACTGAACTCCAGCCTGGGCAACAGAGCGAGACTCCATCTCAAAAAATAAATAAATAAATAAATAAATAAATAAATAAATAAATAAATAAAATAATAATAATGCTTTCCCTCCCCTACAAGAGTAAATCATATATTTCAACTTTAAATCTTTAAGCTATATTGACCTCATCTTGAAAACAGGAGCACTAAACTGGACAGACTAGAGTTACAAGCCCACATGCAGTGGTTCAAGGAGGTTGGTCTTCAATCTGGTGGGTTTGATCAGGTCACTACCACTCTGTATTCAAGTCGAACTTAAGATTTAAAGCAGTCTTCTTTGGCCTATAAGTCAATCAATACATTCACTTTGAGTTATGCAGACAAAATAATCCTTCCAAGAGCAAGTAAACATGTCTCAGTTGGCTTTAAACTGGAAAGGTCACATTTTGTAATAAAAAAGATAAGGGCTTTCGCTTCTAAGAAAACCAAAATCCAAATGCGGAGTTTGCCACTGTGGTTGTCCTTCGGCAGGTTACCTAGCTATAAAATGGAATACCTTCAAGGACACCTGCAGCCTTTATGATGTCTTTGTGTGGATAAGGGAATAGTGCCCCTTGCTCAGGCAGATGCAGCCATTTAGCCCCAGGGTACAGTTTGTTGAGAAGAATACAAACTACACTGACACTTCCATCCCTGCACCTCTGTTCCTCAAACTTCTCTTGAATTTACCTTTGCTTAGCTCGATTCTGGTAGCAATGTTTTTGTCCTACAGGGCCAAACTGCTCAGTGGACATTGGCCTAGATCTTGTAGGCTTCTCACCATGGCTTAGGAAGCTCCTGTGATCTGGCTGTTCCTCAACTTCCTCTCACACATCACTCTCCTCCGGGGTCACCTGGCTCTGGACATACCGCCTTTCTGTCTTTTCCATGAACAAGTGAAGCTCTTTCTTGCCTCAAAGTATTTGCATATGTTGTTCCTTCTACCTGGAATTTTAAAGCAAGGCTGTAAATTGGTGTCCAGTGGGCTACTTCTGGCAAGCAGGTGTATCTAGTTTGGCTTGCCAAACTTTTTCTAATTTTTTTTTTTTTGAAACAGGGTCTTGCTCTGTTGCTCAGGCTGGAGTGCAGTGGCGCAAACACAGCTTACTGCAGCCTCAACCTCCTGGGCTCAAGTGATCCTCCCACCTCAGCCTCCCAAGTAGCTGAGACTACAGGTGCGCTACCACACCAATTTTTTTTCTTTTTTTTTTTTTTTAAATAGAGAGGAGGTCTCACTATGTCGCCCAGACTGGTCTCACATTCCTGGCGTCAAGTGATCCTCTCACCTCAGCCTCCCAAAGTGCTGGGATCACAAGTGTGAGCCACCACACTGGGCCCTAATTTTATTTTTAATTTTTGTAGAGTTGAGATCTTGCTATGTTGCCCAGGCTGGTCTTGAGCTCCTGGACTCAAGCAATCCTCCCACCTCAGCCTCCCAAATTGCTGGGATTACAGGTGTAAACCACTGCACTGAAATAGCTGACATGTATAATCTGAAAGACTTCACATAAAAATTACATTTCAACTCAAATATAGTATATTTGAATGTTTTTCCTCTAAAAGCCATTTTCTAGCTTATCTTGGAAGATCACAAGGTATAGCAACACAGGGCCTACCTACCCCATATGTAAAGGGCTGATGCCCTCCCTCTTCCTCACTCTTTGGACAGAGCAGGAGACTCCTGACGAGACACAGTCCCCATCAGGCCCAGTGCACTCTTTTCATCTGTCTGGCATTTGCATCTACCATCTTGATTTAAACAGAGGAACAAGAGGAGCTAGCCTTTTCCTCCTTCAGGTAGCAACTTACATGCCACTTCCTCAGAGACTTTTTCTTACCTCCTGTCCTTGATTACATTTTCTTCTAACTCAGTCCCTTATTTCATAGTTGTAAGTGGATATAAAATTGCTGTTTTTACAGGTCGGGGATGGTTAAATATCAGTAACTGCACATGATTCAACCTAGTAATACAATTTGTATTAATTATTCTGTTTTCCAGTGTTTGTGTTTTCCTACTGGAAGTCAGTTCATTAGGGCAGGGACTTGGCTACTATGATATTCTGAATGACTAGTACACAGCGCCTGTCAAGCGCTAACATATTTGGATGAATAAATGGAAGGACTCCTCCCACCAGAAGTCCTTAGCAGCTCCAGAACGTACACAAAGTACATCTTAACCTCTCCTGAGGAGAGCAGCGCAAGATATAAACAGACTTTCCTAACCGACAGCCCAAGACATGCTACCAGACCTCCTCACCCTCTACTCATACAGCGGATACCGTTGGCTCTAGTGCTGGAAATTACTCCTAAAGCATGATAGATTCTGAAACTCCTCTGTGAATCAGCATCAAGACCACTACTGCACTGAACATCCACTGAGATACGCCCTCGGCCCTAAAGGCAAGGGGTAGGGAGATGGTACTTGTTCCTGAGGCGACTGCTGACAATTACAATAACCTCTATAACCTTGTCACTGTTAGCAAGAGGTTGGTCACTACCTAGCTCTGAGTGCCTCTTGTTACTCGTCTCATTGTCATAATTATTTAACTCTTCTGTTTCTTCCTCTAGATGTTTTAAATTATTTATGATGATGTATTAAATTATTTATGAATCCTCAGAGCCTAACTTGAGGCATCTAATAAATGTTTAATGAATGAATAACATTATTTGAATGGATGACATCACTCAAGTGCTTCGTGGAGCCTATTTACTATAGATGGCAAATACGGGAACAGATTTTCACTTTACTAGGCATAATCTCAGTGACTTGAGCAGGGGTATGGAGTGGGGCTCATGCCAACGTGTCAGATTTAGACATATGGAGCTGACAGAGGACACTGTTAGAGACAGCATTTTCTTGTTCTTGTTATTCTTGGAGCATAAGAATTATGTGTAGATTTGGGGAAAACACTTTGCAGAAGACACACAGTTAAGTGACAACTACTCTAACTCAAAGAAATTGCTCTTTTCAATGATGTTCTTGTTGCTGAAACCAGTTTACATTTTAAACATCGTAATAGATTTTTTTCCCCATGTGGCACTGGTGGTCACATGCAGTCACCTTTCTGTCCTACACATCTGTGGGGTCCTCTCTTGCTTTGGCAGTACTTCATGTTGGCACTCTCCAAGGTCCTATACTAAACCCACCAATTCTTTCCTTACACTTTCCCCTTGGGAAATTTCATCTGACATTCCATCAGCATTCCAAACTCAAATTGTCCAAAAAGAAATGTCACAGGCACACCCAAACCTGCCCTCCCTCATGATTTTCTAGTATTTCACGGTACTACCTTCTGAATCCCAAACTTTACGTTTTCAATACAAATGGGCAGTCCCAGCACACACTCCACATCCTTCTGTGACTCGATATATTTGCATATGCAGTTACTTCTTTCCAGAAACTTTCCTATCTTTGCCTCCTCGATTAAGAGTAACTCATCCTGAAAGACTTGGCTTAGGGATCATCTCCCACAGGAAGCCTTCCCTGGAGCTCTGCAGTAAGATCAGGTGCCTTCCTTCTGAGCTCTCAGAGCTCATCTATCCATTCGTTTATTAAATAGGAGCATCTATGGCATTCCAGGCACTGCTCTAGGCCCTGGGCATATACCAGTGTACACAACAGTAAAATTCCTGCCCTCATGGAGCTTACATTCTAGTGGGGTGAGATAGATACAATACAAATAGGTAAATATATAGTATGCTAGATGGTAAGTGCTACAGAGAAAAATAAAGGCAAGAAATGGGTACCAGATACTTGAGGAAGGTACAATTTTAAATAGGGTTGTAAAAGGCGGCCTCATTGAGGTGGCATTTAAGCAAATTCCTGGAGGTGGCAAGGGAGTGAATCATAACAATATCTGGGAAAGTGTCTTCCAAGCTGAGTAAGAGGAGTTGGACCAGCTGGCTGCTTTAAAGAATAACAAGGAAGCCAGTGTGACTTCAATTTAACAAGAGAAGAGGAAATCAGCAGAGGAGGCCCAAGAGCTTCGGCAGGGACCAGAATAGATTAGGCTGCAAATGACCGCTGAAAAGAACATGGCTTTTACTCAGAGATGGGAAACCTCCGAAGGATTTTGAGCACAAGTGACATGGTCTGACTTACCTGTTGTAAGATCTTAAAAGACTGTAAAATGGCAAACAGGAAATCAAGAAAACAGAATGGAAGTCTTTTGCAATCATCCAGGCAATCCTGTGGGTGGAACACTGATGGCTGTGGAGGATGAGGTGGTCACATTCTGGATACATTATGTATCTTGAATGCTGGGCCAACAGAATTATGATTGGACTGGATGGAGATTATGAGAGAGTCATAGATGTGGTCAAGGTTTTGCCTAATTAGCTGGAAGAAGGGACTTACCATTCATCAACTGAGAAGGGGAAGACTGAGGCAGGAGCAAGTTTAAGGAGGGAAGATCTTGAGTTTAACATAAGTTTGAGATGCTTATTAGATATCAAACTGGAAATGTTATGTAGAGAGTTAAATATATACATCTGAAGTTCAGGGGAGAATTTGGTTAGAGATTTAAGTTTTTCAGTCTACAGGTGGTATTTAAAGCAATGACACTGGATAAGGTCACTAAGAGATCCAAATGTAGACAGAAGGACTGAGACTTGGCACACTATAATATGAAGGGGTTGAGGAAGGAACCTCACTTATTCATAACACACAAACACATATAAATTATGTATTTTGTGTACCGGGAGAAAACCATAAACTATTTACTGCTTAGGAGCATGTCTTTCTTATCTCCATATGCTTTGTATAGGCCTGGCACACACTCAACAAACATGGGGAGTGATACCTTCTAAGAGAATCATAACTAGAATCCTTAAAAGGTAAACAAAACATATTAAAAAATGGAACCCAAAGGACTTGGCTACAAATATGAATATTCATAATACAAAAGGATGAAAACTAAAATGACAGAAGTTACTATTTATTAACATTTCCAATATGCCAAGGCTGTAAACAAAGTATTTCATGTTTATTATTACAATCAACACTCACAAGATTAATAGTGTTACTTCTGTTTGATGAGACAACTCAGGCTCAAATGGCCAAGTGGATTCCCAAGGTCTCAGAAGTGGCCAGGCCAAGATTCAAACCCGAGGTGGGAATCTAAAACCCATGCAATTACCTCAACATCATGGTGCCTCACAGCTATCCCAAAGATTTCTCTTATTTTTTTTGAGACAGAGTTTTGCTCTTGTCACCCAAACTGCACTCGGCTCACTGCAACCTCCACCTCCTGGGTTCAAGCGATTCTCCTGCCTCAGCCTCCTGAGTAGCTGGGATTATAAGCAGCTGCCACCACATTTGGCTAATTTTTGTATTTTTAGTAGAGCAGGGTTCCACCATGTTGGCCAGGCTGGTCTCGAACTCCTGACCTCAGGTGATCCACCCACCTTGGCCTCCCAAAGTGCTGGGATTACAGGCGTGAGCCACCACGCCTGGCCCCAGAGATTCTCTTAATGCCTGTCAGACTATGTATCTAATGTGCTGTGAACTGATAAAACCTGGATCTAAACAGCCTCTGTAAAAAAAAAAAAAAAAAAAAAGTTTGTTGAAAAAGCAGGGAAATTTGGTACAGGATCCCTATACCCCTAATTTGGGGATAACCATAGGCTACAGAGTCTATATTTTGACTCCTGACAGTTTCTAAGCATGCCTAGAAAAACCATGCAGAGACAGGTGTCAGGATCAGACCTCAGTGGCAGCGACTGGCTAAAACAGCAATGGCAAGATGGTGACCATTACAGGCTAAGCCCTTCTGAATCTCTCTGGTACACAAATGAAGAACGTAATGTGACTCTTGGGGAAAAGGAATGGGGAGAGGGAAATCACAAATTACTAAGACTGATGTTTCTTCTATGTTATTAACATGAACTATCATTAGTACTTTTGAGACAAATCCTAGGCTGTACCCCCCCCAAAATACTTGTGGTGCAAGAAAATCATTTAAGAACTAAGATCAGGCTGGGTGTGGTAGCTCATGCCTGTAATCCCAGCACTTTGGGAGGCTGAGGTGGGCAGATCACTTGAGGCCAGAAGTTTGAGACCAGGCTGGCCAACATGGTGAAACCCCATCTCTACTAAAAATACAAAAATTAGCCAGGTGTGGTGGCACATGCCTGTGCTCCCAGCTATTCAGGTGGCTGAGGCAGAAGGATCGCTTGAACCCAGGAGGTGGAAGCTGCAGTGAGCCAAGAGTGCACCACTGTTCTCCAGCCTGGGCAACAGAGCAAGACCCTGTCTCCAAAACACACACACACACACACACACACACACACACACACACACACACGAAGATCAAAGTTTATAGGCACAAGAACAATATCTAAAACCTAAGCTCTAAAATCAAAGAACATTTCCTTAGCTTCATCAAGAAATATCACATGAATAAACACTGAATCAAAGTGACCTAAAGTTGAACTAAGTGGCCTCTCATTTCTGTATCTCCTGCACATTTTATCTCAGTTTTTCTTCTGGCACTTAACTACCATACTTTCTATACCTCAATTTGAGTCCAGGACTCAACTCCCCGATTAACCACAATTTTCTTGGCAGAGTTGCAAAGTCTCATCTATTCATCTATCTCCCATAATTCCAACAGTGCACAAACAGCAATTGCTCTGAAAATCACTGATTAAATGATTCTGAATGCAAATGTATATTATGTCTATATATGTCTTATTTCATGGAAAAGGGAATAAACATCATGCCTTCTTTTCTCCTAATTCAGCATTCCTTTAATAGTACTATTAAACCAAAAATATTTTAAATATCTAATTTTTAAGAGCTAAAGCATAATGGTTGAAAAATAAGAGGTGGCAGACAACATTTTCCTATCTGTATACATCTCACTAGTTATCTAGAAGACATACTTACTCGCACAGTCTTCCCAATGCTTGAAAACATTCCAAAAATTTACATACCTTAACCTCCTGTAAAGATGCAAACCTACTTTTCCAAAGGATACATTTCATACAAAGCCTTTTATACAGCTTATGCCCCCCAAATTCATTTTAAATATCCTTAAAAGTACATTAAACTATATCCAGAGGATTAGGTTCTGGATTCTAATTCCAGGTCTTATATTGTCTGGTACGAACATTTTACAAAATGGAAGTATTATCTCAGCTTATTTTAAGAATGCATATAAATTACTAAATGGACCGGGCATGGTGGCTGACACCTGTAATCCCAGCACTTTGGGAGGCCAAGGCAGGTGGATCATAAGGTCAGGAAATCGAGACCATCCCGGCTAACACGGTAAAACCTCGTCTCTACTAAAAATACAAAAACTTAGCCAGGCATGGTGGCGGACGCCTGTAGTCCCAGCTACTTGGGAGGCTGAGGCATGAGAATGGCGTGAACCCGGGAGGTGGAGGTTGCAGTGAGCCGAGATCGCTCCACTGCACTCCATCCAGCCTGGGCGACAGAGCCAGACTCCCAACTCAAATAAATGAATGAATGAATGAATGAATGGACAGGGATTTATATTGTACCTATCAACAAAAACGACTACTTTTAAAAGATGTTAATATTTCTTGAAAAATGACAAGCAGTTTAACCAACCTAAAGGTTTTAAGAAACCCAAGTGAGCTACTATCAAGTACATTTGCAAATATTAATGGGATTAAAAAGTAAACTATTATTTACTTTTACATACAATGAACGATTATATGTCCTTCAACAGCAAATGCTTTAAAAATACACAAATTTTAGGCTGGGCACGGTGGCTCACACCTGTAATCCCAGAACTTTGAGAGGCCGAGGGGGACCAATCACTTGAGGTCAGGAGGTCAAAACCAGCCTGGCCAGCATGGTGAAACCCCGTCTCTACTAAAAATACAAAAAATTAGCCAGGCGTGGTGGTGGGCGCCTGTGGTCCCAGCTGCTCAGGGAGGCTGAGGCAGAAGAATGGCGTGAACCCGGGAGGTGGAGCTTGCAGTGAGCGGAGATTGCGCCACTGCACTCCAGCCTGGGCGACAGAGCGAGACTCCATCTCAAAAAATAATAATAAAAAACAAAAAAATTAGCCAGGCATGGTGGCACACACCCTTAGTCCCAGCTACTTGGGAAGCTAAGGCAGGAGAATCGCTTGAACCGAGAGGTGAAAGTTGCAGTGCACCAAAATCGCACCACTGCACTCCAGTCTGGGCAACAGAGAAAGACTCTGTCTCAAAAAAATAAATAAAATAAAGTTCCTGAGAAGAAACCATCTACCTGTAACTTAGATTCTATCAAAAGATTTTATCTACCTGTATTTGAAAACCTTTATGGCCTAAAAATTGAGAACTAGATTGTATTAGGAATTGTCTGAGAGAAACAATCAAAAGTAAGAAAGAAAAAAAAATCTAAGATGTCATTTGGGTACCTCTAGCAAAATCTAAATTGATGAGCATAATCAACTACAGTTTTTGACTTTTAAAAAATCTAGGCTGGGAGCAGTGGCTCACGCCTGTAATCCCAGCACTTTCGGAGGCCGAGGTGGGCAGATCACCTGAGGTCAGGAATTTGAGACCAGCCTGACCAACATGGAGAATGGAGAAACCCCATCTCTACTAATAGAAAAATCAGCCAGGCATGAGAATTGCTTGAACCCAGGAGGCCGAGGTTGTGGTGAGCCGAGATAGCGCCATTGCACTCCAGCCTGGGCAACAAGAGTGAAACTCCATCTCAAAAAACAAAAAAAAAGAAAAGAAAGAAATCTAAAGAAATTTCCAAAGTGAGTTGTTTAGAGTTGTCACAGCCAGGAAATAATTGTGCCTGTATATTCTGAGATAATCTCTGAGTTATGTTTTGGTGAACATAATCCTGTCATAATGAGCTGAAAGAGTTATTTTTCTAACCCCAAACTGTTTATATATATATATTAAAAAAAAAAAACAAAAAAACAAAACCCTTCGAATTTCTTCTAAAAGCCAGTACATTATGACGGTCATCTGAGAGCAAAAAGAAGTCTGATAAACTATTGTTATAAGCATTATTCTGAGGTTAATAGTTTTCAACTATAAACCAGTATTAATAATTCAAACATACACAGATATTAAGCCTCGGTTAGGCATACATTTTTGTGAAGATAATGGATCTAGAATGGAAGTGTCCATAATCTGAATCCAGAGAAATGCTCTGAAAAAGGACAATCTGATTCAGAACTATAAAATCAGTTATAAAAGCTAGAGTACGAGAGCATAAGACTTGGAATTAGAACCCAGAACCAAATCCATTTGTTCTTGCATGTCTTTAATTTCTACTTCTATTGTGCCACTAAAGAACCCATTCCCAAAAAGTCATGGATAAAAGAAAAGAAACTGAGCTTTTAAGTGTCTCAAAAGAGGTCGGCTGGAAAATAAGTTCAGAAGAAAATACATTACCACAAACATGAACAATATAGCAAACATGAGAGCAAATTACACTTAGACATTTCCTTTATCAGAATTTCCTTTAAATTCATTCCATGGCCACGGCCTTTCTTAGGCTAACTACAGTAGACATAGCTCTTCTATTATGATATCTCCTCTGCACTTTCTAGTATACTTTACATCACAACATGAGTTTTCTTTTTCAAGCAAGGTTTAGTTATTGTTCCCTTCTGTAGCTGTGCCTTCCCAAAGCTACCAGTTGTCCTCAAATCAAATTAAAACATCTAAACATAGGATTCAAGGCTCCATAAATTCCTGGGCCCAAACCACTCCAGCTTTATCATCCTACAGTCAATGCACACTGGCTCACATTTTCTATCTATTTACTTTCATTTCTACAGTCTAGAGACTAACCATATACGTATTCTCTCTTCTGCCGTGCCTTTTTGTAACACCTTCTTCATTAAAAACTATTTTTCCTCTTCAAAAAAACACAAACACCAAAAGCACAGGCAACAACAACAAAATTGGACTTCATCAAAATTAAAAACTTTTGTGCATCAAAGAAAACTACACTATATCAAGGGCAAAAAGGCAATTCACAATGGGAAAAAAGATTTGGAACTCATATCCGAAAAGGAATATTCCAAATCTGGGATAATGGATTAATATTTTGAATCCCAAATATAAAGAATTCCTACAACAGAAAAATAAACAATTTTAAAAATGGGCAGAACTTGAATAGACATTTCTCCAAAAATGATATATAAATGGCCAATAAACACATGAAAAAAGTCTAACTTCTTTTATGATTTGAGAAATGTATCAAAGGAAAATGCAAGTCAAAACCACAATGAGGTACTGCTTCACCATTAGGATGGCTATCATCGAAATCAAGCAAGCAAGCAAATAAGCAAACAAACAAAAAACCCAGAAAATAACAATTGTTAGTGAGGATGTGGCAAAATTAGAACCTTGTGCACCGCTATGTGAATATAAAATGGTGCTGCTGCTGTGGAAAATATTACGACAATTCCTCAAAATATTAAACACAGGGCCAGGTGCGATGGCTGACGCCTGTAATCCCAGCACTTTGGGAGGCCAAGGCGGGCAGATCACCTGAGGTTAGGAGTTCAAGACCAGCCTAACCAACATGGAGAAATCCTGTCTCTACTAAAAAAAAAAAGAAGAAGAAAAAAATACAAAATTAGCAGGGCATGGTGATGCATGCCTGTAATCCTAGCTACTCGGAAGGCTGAGGCAGGACAATCGCTTGAACCCAGGAGGCACAGGTTGCAGTGAGCCAAAATCGCATCACTGCACTCCAGCCTGGGCAACAAGAGCAAAACTCCATCTCAAAAAAAAAAAAAAAAAAATTAAACACAGAATTAACATATGACCAAACAATTCCATTTCTGGGTATGTACCCCAAAGAACTGAAAGCAGGGACTCTAAGATATTTGTACACCAATGTTCAAAGCAGCAATATTCAGAGTAGTCAAATGATAGCGGTAATTTAAGCGTCCATCAATAACAGATAAATGGATAAAATATGGTATATGCATACAATGGAATATTGCTTAGCCTTAAAAAGGAATAAAATTCTGATACATACCACAAAATAAATGAACCTTGCAAACATGCTAAGTGAAATAAACCAGACACGAAAGGACAAATATTGTATGAGTTCACTTTTATGAGGTACTGAGAAACATCAAATTTATAGAGACAGAAAGTAGAACAGTGGTCACCAAGGACTGGGGAGGAGGGGGAATGGGGCATTACCATTTAATGGGTACAGGCTTCAGTCCGGGAAGATGAGAACATCCTGGAGATGGATGGTGGTGATGGTTACACAACAATGTGAATGTACTTAATGGCACTGAACTGTACACTTAAAAAATGGTTAAAATGATCAATTTTATGTATATTTTACCATGATAAAAAAAGATTCAACTGTAAACTTTTAACTTTATTAATCTTCTCAATATTTAATACAGATATTATAAATTACTCATATTTGACTGGTCAGTTGGGTCTAAAATGAGTCTTCCTAGGTTAGAAAAACTTTTCAAATTAGAGACTCTTTTAGGATAACTTTATTAACTGGTGTTTAAAATTTGGCCTATGAAATGAAAATTAAGTAATTTATCAGAAAACAAGCATACCGAAACGTATACTGAGTATTCATTCATATTCCCTGTCAGTTACTAATTTTCCTGCTTATTGATCTTCCTTTTATTGTGTAAGTTTCCTTCATCTCAAAACTGTTTTTATGAAAATAGCTAAAATTTAAAAGTAAATAATTAGGTAAATGCAATGATAGCATAGAGAATTCAAATGCTAGACTTGAATTTCATAGACTTTTCAATATATATAAAAGGAAAGTGAGGGAGGAGATAGATATTCCCTTATGATTCTGAAAAACACGATTCGTAAGTCTAAAACAATATAAAACATCATATTTAAGTTGAAAAAAATAAAAGGGATATCATAGCATATATTGTAATACAGTGCAAGAAGAATTTCATATAATAAATCCATGTTTTATCAAAAGAAACTTTTCCAAAAATAGTCACATAAATAATCTCAGAAATTCTGATCGCATATTACCACTAGGAAGATGGACATTTGGCTATACTGATTTAGTAAGTAAAAAACTAAAACCAGTATCACTATTTTTAGGAGCAAACTAAATGGCATGCATAAATATAAAAATGAATCCAAATATTTAAAATAATGATTAAATAAAAGTGAAGAACAATTAGAATAGGGTGGTAAAAATAAGTTGCACTGATAGAAGCAACTAGCTAGCTACAAACATGGAGGAATCTGGGCATACAAATAACAGGAATCAACAATATGGCATTGCCATTTTAAAAGAAATGATATTGTAATAGATAAATGCAAATGATCTAAGGCTAAGATAAGTTAATATTTGAAGTCCCCTATATAGGCCAAAACAAAGGGTCACAATCATCCTAATCTTGCTTCTAAGTCCTTGAATATAGCCAGCTCTTAATAAAAATGTATTGGCTAAATGACGACCATTAAATAAGAACCCGGAGCCATCAAGTAGTTAGGGATCTCCACAGCCAAAACATAAACCTGAATGCAAAGGATGTGTCATGGGGTATCACCTTAGTCAAGATCTTTCATGTAAAAATTGTGTAGGAAATACTTCAACTCCTAAAGTAGTCCATATAACCCCAAATCAGAAAACTCTTGTATCACAGAGGTTAAGGGAAATCAAAGTATTGATGAAATAAATGGCAATTTTAACAGATAAATGTAAATCTGAGTGTCTACTACCCAAATGGAAAGTAGCTGAACCATACAGCCATGATCTTTCCACAGAGAAAATGGTAGTTCTTATATCTTGATACATGGACATAGTAAGAAGTAGGTCTACTAAGGAAAAATTGGGAGTTAAAATTATTTAACTGGAAAAGCTAAGGATAAGAATGTGTTAATCTTTAACATATGGAACATGATTGTGAGCCAGCTTTTCCTAGTTACTACCGTAGACTGTGGGGGGTCAGGCTGCCTGAATATTTCATAAAGTTATCAAACACATTTGCAGAATCCAAAGAGCTTTTGTATGAGCTAGAATACTGTCATTCCATCTGACAGACCACATTAGAATATTTGATAGGTTAAAAAAATGGAAGTGGTACAAACTAAGAAAATGCTAAAGTTCTGTTCATTTAGAACAGACTTAAGAGAGGAACCTAACAGTACAGCTCCACACTGAACTGTTTTCTCTTATTCTTACTAATGGTATCTAAGCTTTGGTTTACTCATTAGTTCAGTATGTTAATGCTAAAGTTAGTAATCCCTTAGACTTTAGTTTCCAGCTTTAACTTTTAAGACTAATTGTTTTTATTGTGCATATGTAAAATGGGATGCCTGTGAATTTAAAAAATTATTTTCATTTCTAAAAACATTAATAATCAACACGGTGATCAATACTGGGACAGAATACAGTGGGATTTTAAAAAAAAACACAATAATATTGAAACACTTCTAATGATAAGAGTGACTTCCAATAAAATCTAACATAACTTTATAAGGGGCCATTCCAGTTCTTAAAACTCTAATTAGACATAAAGCAAAATATTATTTAAAATTCCATTTTCTGACAGGATCAGAGTAAAAAAATCACTATGTGTCCTTGAGAACAGAAATAATAAAGTGACAGTTAAATATTACTATCAACAAAAAAATCTAGCTTTTACTATTTTTATAGATTTATCACTTATTTAAGTTAAAAATTAGTAAGAAGACTTGAAAAAGGCAATTTCTAGATTTATAGTAACTGTTCTATAATACAGCTTCAAAATAAGAACATGTACTTACATAAATATACTTAGCATACAGTTCTTTAAAGAATGTTGAAATGTTAATAGTGAGATCAATCAATGACAAGAAACTGTATCTTCCTCAGGAAAAAGAAACTAACCACTATACAATAAAGGCAATGACTGGAAACCCTAAATTACGTTTTGTTGTCAACAAAGTCAATTTAATTTAATAATTTAACTTTTCCACAGAATTAATCACTATTACTTCCATACCAAAGAGGTATCGGGGAAAGAGTAGATCTATGAGGATTTAAAATTATTTCCTATCTACTTCTTACTTTTAAGTTGTGGTGATTCATGGCTGTGATAAAGATTGTAATTTTCAAGAAACATACAAAAAATCCATGTTAAATAACAACAGTGGACCTTGAAGGCATGAGCTTTTGTCACTTTATTGTTAACCAATGAATATTATCCAAAATTAGAGATGTAATTGTAACTTAATTGTACAACACAAAATTATGCTAATGGTAAAAGCCTACTGGGATTTACCAAATACTCATTAGTGTATTTTTACATTGACTATATGAACATGTGCTCGCGACTGCTAATAAGTTATAATTGGTTTAATCTCTAAGAAATCCATATTGCAAATGGTTCTTGTTTAGAAAAATTCACACAGCCTTAAAAATGGATTAAATCCATTTTAATCCTAATCTACAAATAGATCATAAACAGCAAAATATAACTGATAATTTTTCAATACTGTATCAAACTGATGTAGCTATGGTAGTGCACATAATTCAAAATGAGGAAAATTAACAAAAATCCAATGAAAGTTCAGGTTTTTATCTATTATGCAATTGCTTTAAAGTGAACATTTATGTCTCAAAACATGAATAGTAGGGTCCACCATCCATTCCTTTGATGTACTGCAAGTAGGAATATTCTCTTCCATAGGATTCTGAAGCATGTGCACAACCATGGTACAACAGTCACTTCAAGGTTAACCAGCTATGTTTTGTCCTACAAAGTTCAAAAAATATATTAAACGCAACCTTTCTTTTACATAATGTCTGCCCAGATTAATCCTTTTAAAGTCAGCAAAATCAAAAAAGCACAAGAGATATTTTCAGACACAACTTGAATCTACTGTGCATGAAAATGTTTAATAAAATGGCAATTTTAATAGATAAATGTAAATTTGACTGTGTAATACCAAATGGAAAGTAGCTGAACCACACAGAGAAAACAAGGCTTTACGTATCTCCAAATTTAGCTGTTTTACAATAAACAAAGTATTAGAACATGTGAATATTAGAACCTCCTTCTAACTGGAAAGATTTCTTCAGTAAGCTATAACCGAAATTAATATAAACTAAAATTATAATTTCTAAAATAAGAATTAACAAACCAAATTTAAGTATTTTTAGTCAGAGATTGAAACAAAATAAGCACAGTGATCTAGAAACCAAATATACTGATTATGTAACTATCGTATCAAGGTACAGACATTCTTCACATGCTACAAGGTTAGCATTTCTCTCTCTCATACACACACAGAGTACACACACACACACACACACACACACACACAGTCTCTCTCTCATTCTCTCTCTCTCTTGCTCAGCCATACAACACCCCTCCAGGATGATAGTATACCAGTGAGGAGCTTACAATTTTAATACAAATCAGAATCCCACAGTTTGACTCGACAAAAAGGCAGTTAAAAATTTAGCACTCTTAAGATATTCTGAAGGAAAATGAAATTTCGAAAGTATTTCTTGATGATCGAGGCTATGGTTATGAATTATAAAACATATACCTTACACACTCCATTGTGTTTGAACAACCAGTCATCACAGATGTAGTAGTGAGGTAGTATTGTTGTCCCCTCCTCGGGACTGATGTTTTTATATGCTGCCCTTCCAGAAAAGGTCCAGGTTTTAAAAAATAACATTAGTTACCAACAAATGTATATTTTCTTTTTTTAACTAATCATTTGTTTTTCTAAATCAGTCTATAAAAGAACAAAACTTTTAAAATCTTGCAGAGGCTGTTTCATCAGTAAACTCTCCTAGGGAGCTACTACTGCTGTCTAAACCTCTGTGAAATGGTAGGCAAAAAAAGCCATCAAAGGATCACAGGAGATAAAACACCAATCAGTGTAAGCTGTTAAAGATGACTGTGATTAAATAACCAAATATCAAATATCCAATAAGGTAATTAAATTTAGATTAAAAAAAAACTAAGCACCAGCTGTACATACATTATTAAATGTTCTAATCTCTTTCCTGATTCATAGCCATATTCTACATGATGATCAAAGACTGTCCACTGTGCTACCTACCATCATTTTAAACACTGCCTGATCTGTATGATGGTGGAATTATGGCTATGGACATGGCAGATAAGAGAAGGGCACACTGAGAAAATGTGAGTGAGAGAGAATGTGGAAATAGGTTAAATATGGAAAGGGCAAGGGAAACCCATTAAAATGTTCACCATTATCCTTTAAAATGTACACAGAACTGAAACCACACATACACATTTGTCAGACGTGATAATTAGTGTTAATCTTCAACAGAAAAAAAAAAGAAAAAGAAAAAAAATGTGAAAAGAGGCAATGGAACACCATTCTCCATTCCCTGGACCAAAAGAAAAAAGAAAACCAAGCATGATATCATACTGCCTTAATGTTGAAGAGCTCCCCTTAAATTTGTCTTTTAGCTAGCACAGTCAAACTGGTGTAAGTGCTTTGGCAAGGTGGGATGCATTCCATCATATCTGCAAAGGCCTGCTTTTCTCTGTTGGTGGTTCAGCTTATGAAGAACATATATGCAAAATAACAGCTCTCACATTGCTTCAAACTCATCGATACGCTGCTTTGTATTGCCTTGTCGAATCTGTCGCAGAGTCTTGTACTTATCACGGCCTGCTTTAACATTCTCAGCATGAAGAACATCATTTTGTGTTTTCTTGGTTTCATCTCTGGCTTGGGCTAATTCTGAACTTAATGCCTATTTAAAAAATAAAAAGTACAACTATTATTTTTTTCTTAGATTTAAAAAAATTTATGAAAATGGCTTTAAGATGCAAAAATACATATACCAAATCATTTCCACTGTGAAACCTTTTTCTTTAGGTATAAGTTTGTTTTAGTAATAGTGGTGGCAGTGGTAAGGGAGGAATACACATGGCCTTTCCACATTTATCAACCATGGTATTTTGTACATTATTCTAAATTTCCTTAACTTTCTAATCTAATACTTGAAATGGCTAAAAAGTTCAATGTAGCCATTACAGACTAATATTACTATGAGATTTAAAATCTATACCTCAAGGGAAGCCTTCTCCAAAAGTCTTAATACATTTATTGTAACTATCACCTCATTTTCTTTTAATATTTAAAGATTTTAACAATTAAAATATTAGATAACTTATTGGGAAAAAAGAAAGCTCATAATATTAAAATCCTCTACTTTGACCTAGTTATGTCCATGTAATATACTGACCTTTTGCCAATATAAAATCTCAACAAATAATTAAGATTATGTAATGTCTTAAACATAGTATATTAACTATCATTCTTTCCAATGTACATTTTATTTTATTTTATTTTTTTGAGACAGAGTCACTTACTATTGTCCAGGCTGAAGTGCAGTGGCATGATCTCGGCTCACTGCAACCTCCACCTCCCAGGTTCAAGCAATACCTCAGCCTCCCAAGTAACTGGGATTACAGGCTCATACCACCATACCCGGCTAATTTTTGTATTTTTGGTAGAGGCAGAGTTTCACCATGTTGGCCAGGCTGGTCTTGAACTCCTGGCCTCAGGCAGTCCACCTGCCTCGGCCTCCCAGAGTGCTGGGATTACAGGTGTGAGCCACTGCGCCTGGCCCTCAATGTACATATTACTGATCAAAAACTAAATTCACGTTTTTCAACATGACATTAGAATACTTTCTACCTTTTAAAATGGGTCAAGCTGTAATTAAATAACTCACTAGTTAAGGTCTGATTATACAAAGCTAACAGGTATTTGCTAATGGGTTCACACAACGGAAGAAATGAAATAACATGACTATAGGCCAAACACCCACAAACCAATCACAAGGGCAGCCAGTATTAAAACTTCTATATTCTTTTTAACTAAGTTTGTCTAAGATGGGGAAAATGCAAACTATATTTCAAATGCACATACAACTGCAAATTTTAAATACCTGAAGTTGCTTCTTAACACGCTCATTTTTCTGTGTTTCGGTTACACGTTCTTCCTCGCTTCTATGGTTCATTACCCCTTCATTTGATAATTCAGCACTAGCTTCAGCATTATTCTCATCGTGTTCATCATGTTCGTTTTCTGTTGGAGGAATGACTGGTGGTGGTGGAGGTGGAGGGGGGGCAGACATCACAGTTTTTAACTCTTCTTTGGTCTTTTCCAAGTCTTCCTGGGCTGCAAAAGCCTGAACATTAAAAATACGTTTATGAGCAACTTACTTCAAAAATTAATAATCAAAACAATCAAGTTATACTCCCTTTTTAATAGAAACTGTATTTCAAGGTAATGAAAATAGGCCCTATTTATGAAACCTCTATTTTCATAAAAGAATGTCAACAGGTAAAAGAGAAAATCAAAAACATTATTATGCAAACCCTATTAGAATTACTCTGTGAGCTTCAAAGTGACAGATTAAAAGAAAAACAAGCATACATGCAAAAAAAGAACTATTAATTCTGGCAAGGATTATCAATTGTTTGCTAAAACTGTTGTGCAAATAGTTGATGAGAAATAGATATTCATATAATGCCTAAGAATCTCACACCCAATAGATTTTATTTGAGCCACAAGGGGAAAATGTAACCGAATAACGGAGGAATGAGACTGTCGTTACTCAAATCCAATGATCACTAAAAAATACTAATGGTGAGTTAACTAGATATTAAGTGTCTTCTGATATGATACAACCTGAAATATCTAACATCACCAATTATTTGGGTGATCATATTATCTTGGTTTACCTGGAAAAGTCCTGTTACACTGTTGTCCTGGTGTAATTATGAACAATACCCCCTTTTTCTCAAAAGTACTCCAGTTTAGATGTTCAATTATATGGAAGTCTCACCTTTGATGCACTGTAGTCAAAACATTTAATTTGAATTCCCCAGGTTCTAGATCTAACTTCTGGTTCAAAGGAAATACTGGAGTTAAAGGATAAGGTCAATGACACAAGGAAGTAACTAAACAAATATAGGAGGTGAGACATTCTGTAGGTCCCTTCAATAAATCAAAATAATAAAAAGAGAAACTGCCCTCCATTAAAAGAGACTTACAGCAAATACAGACAATGCAAAGTCCTCTGAACACTTGTCTGGCAAATTAGCTATGAGACTTTTTGGGAAATTCTTAATATAGTCTAATATTCTGAGATGAAAATTGACTAAAATGAAATAGTACATACAGTAAGATTTCATGTTGAATATATAAACAGGAAGTATCCTGGAAGAATATGTACTAAGGTTTTGCAGTATTTCCCCTAGTTTATGGGAATACAATTGTCTTTTGTGTGCATTTTCTAATTTTCTATAATTCACAGACTTGATATCTGTAATATGCTAATTTTTTAAAGTTTATGTGTCTCTAAATTTCATAAATCATCCCTAAAAGGGATCTAAAAAATTCTAATAAACAAGTAGAGTAACTGGGAAATTAACAGTAGCATTCCTTTTGTAGTTTTATTTATATATAACTAATTTTCAATACATATAAAATTACCCAATGAAATTTAAACTGCTACAAAGATTTACTTAAGAGTGCAAGAAAACTGTTTTCTGTATAAGTACATTTTATTGTAGAAAAATCATCTTCTAAAACTAAATATCATCTTTGGGGGTAAAAAAATTATCTTTTCAGTTAAGAGTTAATGTTGTTTGAATTAAACTCTCATTATCTTATATTCCCCCACTCTCCAACCAAAGCCTGATTTTACAATTGTGTGCTACTTTAGACAACAGTGGTTTCATCTACTTAGGACTCATATTAGAAATCTCGGTGTCAGCTGCACACAGTGGCTTACACCTACAATCCCAGCACTTTGGGGGCTGAGATGGGAGGGCTGCTTGAGGCCAGCAGTTCAAGACCAACCTGGGTTACACAGCAAGACCTCCATTCTCAACAAAAATAAAAATGATGGTGCATGCCTGTAGTCTCGGCTACTGCAGAGGCTGAGGTGGGAGGATCCCTTGAGCCCAGGAGTTCAAAGCTGCAATGAATTATGATTGTGCCACTGCACTCCAGCCTGGGACACAGAGTAAGACCATGTCTCTAAAAAAATAAAAATAATTCAACTTCATATCCAATCACTGGTTCCCATGCCTTTTTGTGACCACAAAATGTCTCTTATATCTTCCCATTCCTCTTTATTCTCATTTTCACATCCTCAGTTTGGGTCTTTATCTCTTAAGTATCCACTATCCCAATCCTTTCTTCACACTGATCACTACATGGTTTTTATAAAATCATATCTGATCATGTTACAATCCTGTTTTGAAATCTTCTAAGCCCCAAGTCAATCGATACTCCCACTGCCTTGCTGTAGCAGAGCATTTATTTAAAGCCTTTCACAATTCCCTATTATCAAACTTGAGGGCCACATCTCCTAACATTTCTGAACAACACTAAGCCTCGGCTGCTTATTGGTTATCCTCAAATCTATTATATACATTCATACTTCCTATACTCATTCAGTTCCCTCTGTCTAGAATGACTACTTCTTCAGTCTCTAACTATTCCCAATTTTACATCCCAATCTTTTGTACCCCCAAAATTTAATTCATTATTCAAGACCCAGCTTAAATGTATATGGGTCTCCCGACAACTCTCTGGTCCCCCAGAAATTAATCACCTCTTCTGTGTTCCCAAAGTACTTGGTTTATATCTGTAGATAGATATTTACAATACACATAACACGAGTATCTTTCCCACTCTAAATTATGACAGTATCTTACACTTATCACTACAAAGTCAGCATAATCCTGGGTATAAAAGCTATTCAATAAAAGCTAGTAAATGAATAAATGATTACTTTGTGTTGCCACTCAGTAGCTTCCTCTTCCTTTTTCTTCTTGGCTTCCTCTAGAAGTGCAATCTTGGCAGTGAATTCAGCAAGTTCTGCTGCCTAAAGTAAACAATATAATTCCAAAATTAAAATAACATATTTTGAATAATCTTATAAGTCAACAAAGTTTTAATGCACATGCTTAGGCTGTTTATGTTTTTCTTAGCCTTCCATTTAAAAAAATACAGTATTTCTTAAGATCTTAAATAGCTTATTTACAATAAGTCCTTTAGGTAATGAGCTAAGGAGACAAAATTAAAAAATTACTATTATTCTACAGACTAGTTAATCCTGCTTTCAGTAGCAGGAACTTAAAATGTGTAACTTAAAAGCTTTTTTAAAAAATTTCCATCAATAAACTATTTGTTAAAGTCCACAAAAGATAAAATATTTATCTAATGCTATATACTTTAAATGGCACTTTGTCAAATCATCTCATTTAATACCCCAATAATCCTAACAGGTAGTATCATTAACAGGTAGTATCATTCCTCCTTTTTTTTTTTTCAGACAGAGTCTCGTTCTGTCACCCAGGCTGGAGCCCAGTGGCACAATCTCAGCTCACCGCAACCTCCGCCTGCCAGGTTCAAGCAATACTCCTGCTTCAGCCTCCCGAGTAGCTGGGATTACAGGCGTGCACCACTGTGCCTGGCTAATTTTGTATTTTTAGTAGAGACAGGGTTTCGCCATGTTGGTCAGGGTGGTCTTGAACTCCTGACCTCAGGTGATCCACCTGCCTCGGCCTCCCAAAATGCTGGGATTACAGGCGTGAGCCACTGTGCCCGGCCATCATTCCTCTTTTCAAAGGGAGGGAACTGAGGCTCAGAAAGACCCAAAGACACATACATAGCAAGTACATGTGTGAACTAATATTTAAATCCAGGATCTTTTAAGTGACACGCTTACATCTAATTATTTGCAAGTCCACTAAATAAAAAAACCCAACCAATTATGGCCTCATAGGAACTATAACATATTATATATCTATAATATATTATATAACTATAACATATATCTATATTATATAACTATAACATATTAATTTATCTAAAGCAAAAGACGCCAACTGACTTATTACCGAACCTGTCCAATGTCAAAGTGAATCAGAACCTTTTGCTGACAGTAGACTCCATTTACAAATAATCTATAGAAAAATGCCTTATTCTTTTGTATTTTTAGGTTTTTGTTTAGGCAGAAATAAATTTTCTAGGTTTTTGTCTACATTTTGTTATTAAGTTACATGTTATCTTTGGCTTGCTCTCCAGAAAGCACAAAATGGTTGCTTTTCTTTTTTTCTTTTTTAGAGGGTTCACTCTATGCTTTTATTTAAACTTTTTTCTCTAAGAAGACAGTTCCTTACTAGCTGCTCCTGATTCTTCATCTGGTCGGCAGCTTGTTTTGCTATGGCAGACTTTGCCTCTTCAGCAGCTCGACGCTCCTTTTCAAGTCGTTCTGCTTCTTCTTTTGCTCGTTTTCGTTCTTGATCCAGTTCTAGAGCTTTTCGAGTCTGTTCTTCTAGTTCTATGAAATATGTGTATTCCCCCCAACAGTGATTAATTCCAATCATTCTCATTATCAAAAGAAGCTAAAATAGTAGCAAGAAATCAAATCTGTTCAATTTCTAAAAGTTAGCACACATGTAAATACATATATACCTCTTTGTTTTCTTGAGACAGGGTCTCGCTCTGTTGCCCAGGCTGAAGTGCAGAAGCTCACTGCAGCCTCGAACTCATGGGCTCGAGCAATCCTCCCGCCTCAGCCTCCCAAGTAGCTAGGACTACAGGCGCTATACCTCGTTTCCAACTTGGCAAAAGCCTAATAATTTTTAAAGAGAAATGAAAATCTTCTGCAATTCAAGTTATGTAAAAAGGCTACAAGCACGTAACTATTTTATTTTTAAAAAATAATCTCTCCATCTGAAGTTTTGACCTCAGTAAACAAATTGCCATGTTTCAGAAATCTATAATACATTTCAAAACTTCCATTAAGGTTTTACTTATCTAAACTAATAAGTAAATCCAAGAAATTAAGATTGAAAACAGTATTTACTGACCCCAAAATAGGAATTTTGATGTGATTATATGAATTATTGAAAAATGTGAGTTATTGGTATATATTCATTCCTAAAGCATGAAGATAAGCAATATTGGGAGATAAATAACATGAATTTTAATCCTTAGGTGCATAGATCACTAAATCAACTCTTTTCTTATTCCAATGAGTTGAACAGGAAAGGAAAATAAATTTTTAAGAGAGTTTAACAGTACTAACTTTAAATATTATTTTGACAATTATTTAAGCCCTGTGACAGAAGACAATAGAATGCCACCTAGTAAGACAGTACAAGGTCCTACAAAGAATTATTTTCCCTTACTGTATACTAAGAAAATCTATATGTCATGAAATTTGAAAGCTAACTGTAACTTACAAGCTTTTACTTACTGTTCTTAATTTTCTTGGTCTTGATCAGAACTAGTTGAGTAATTGCAGTTAAGACTTGGAAGGTTTTAGGCCAGGTGTTGTGGCTCATGCCTGTAATCCCAGCACTTTGGGTGACTGAGGTGGGTGGATCATTTGAGGTCAGGAGTTTGAGACCAGACTGGCCAACCTGGTGAAATCCCGACTCTACTAAAAATACAAAAATTAGCCAGGCATGGTGATGGGCGCCTGTAATCTCAGCTACTTGGGGAGGCTGAGGCAGAAGAATCTCTTGAACCCAGGAGGCGGAGGCTGCAGTGAGCCAAGATTGCACCACTGCACTCCAGCCTGGGCGACGGAGCAAGACTCTGTCTCAAAAAAAAAAAAAAAAAACAAAAAAAACACTTGGAAGGTTTTGAGAGGGTTGGAGAAGAATGACTCTTTGGTTAGGCTTTGGTTAGGCTCACGCCTGTAATCCCAGCACTTTCGAAGGGAAAGGTGGGAAGACCGCTTGAGGCCAGGAGTTTGAGACCAGTCTGGTCAACAGAGTGAGACATCATCTCTTCTTAAAAACTAAAATTAAAAAAAAAAATCAGTAGCTATTTATATATAACAACAGTAAACAATCTGAAAAAGAAACCAAGAAAGCAATTCCATTTACCATAGCCAAAAAAAAAAAGTAAAACACCTAGGAATCAATCTAACCAAAGAAGTGAAAGAAGGACATTGGTCTAGGCAAAGATTTTTTGTGTAAGACCTCAAAGGCACAGGCAAAGAGAGATAATGGGTGTTACATCAAGCTAAAAAGCTCTATACAGCAAAAGAAACAACCAACAAAGTGAAGAGATAAACAAAGAATAGAAGAAAGTGTCTACAAACTGTCTATCTAAAAAAGGACGAAAAACCAGAATATATAAAGAGCTCAAACTCGATAGCAGAAAACCAAATAATCTCGTTTACAAATGGGCAAAACATCTGAACTGACATTTCTCAAAAGACGTACAAATGGCCAAAAGCTATATGAAAAAAATGTTCATCACTATAATCACAGAAATATAAATCAAAACCACAATGAGATATCATCTCACCCCAGTCAAAATGGCTTGTATCAAAAAGACAGGCAAGGCTGGGCAAGGTGGCTCACGCCTGTAAATCCCAGGACTTTGGGATTTACAAAAATTAGCTGGGCATGGTGGCACATGTAATCCCAGTTACTTGGGTGGCAGAGGCTAAGAATCACTTGAACCCGGGAGGTGGAGGTTGCCTGGGTGATAGAGGAAGACTCTGTTTTTAAAAAAAAAAAAAAAAAAGGCAGTAACAGATGCTGGCGGGGATGTAGAGAAAAGGAACACTCATACACTGTTGGTGGGAATGCAAATTAGTAAGGCCGCTATGTAGAACAATATAGAGTCCTCAAAAAACTAAAACTACGGAATTACCATAGTATCCAGCAATATCCAAAACATAGTATCCAGCAATATCCAGCAATAGTATCCAGCAATATCCAGCAATATCCAAAACAAAGGAAATCAATATATTGGAGATAGTTGTACTCCTACGTTTATTGCAGCACTATTCACAATGGCCAAAACATGAAGTCAACCTAAGTGCTTAAAGAAAATGTGGTATACATACACTATGGAATATTATTCAGCCATAAAAATAAATGAAATCCTGTCATTTGCAGCAATATGGATGGAACTGGAAGCCATCACGTTAAGTGAAATAAACCAAGCACAGAAAGACAACTATTGCATGTTTTCACTCATATGTCAGAGCTAAATCTCATAAAGATAAATAAACTGGTGGTTATCAAAGGCCAGGAAGTGGGTGGGGGGAGTTGAAGGGAGGAGAAAAAGAATAGAAATGTATTTATTACTACTGAACTGTATACTTAAAAACGGTAAAAATAGGCCGGGCGCGGTGGCTCACGCCTGTAATCCCAGCACTTTGGGAGGCCGAGGCGGGCGGATCACGAGGTCAGGAGATCGAGACCATCCTGGCTAACACGGTGAAACCCCGTCTCTACTAAAAATACAAAAAAAATTAGCCGGGCGTGGTAGCGGGCGCCTGTAGTCCCAGCTACTCGGGAGGCTGAGGCAGGAGAATGGCGTGAACCCGGGAGGCGGAGCTTGCAGTGAGCCGAGATGGCGCCACTGCACTCCAGCCTGGGCGACAGAGCAAGACTCCGTCTCAAAAAAAAAAAAAAAAACGGTAAAAATGGCCAGGCACGGTGGTTCATGCCTGTACTCCCAGCACTTTTGGGAGGCCGAGGTGGGCAGATCACCTCAGGTCAGGAGTTCGAGACCAGCCTGGCCAACATGGCAAAACTGCATATCTACTAAAAATACAAAAAATTAGCTGGGTGTGGTGGCGGGCGCCTGTAACCTCAGCTACTCAGGAGGCTGAGGCAGGAGAATCACTTAAACCCAGGAGGCGGAGGTTGCAGTGAGCCGAGATCACACCACTGCACTCCAGCCTGGGCGACAGAGTGAGACTCTGTCTCCAAAAAAAAAAAAAAAAAAAGGGGCGGGGGGGCAAAGATGTGTACATTCTGTATTATATGTGTATATTTTACCTCAATAAAAAATAAATAATATAAAAATTCTATGTGGCTATTTGGCTATAAAGACAAAATGTATACGGCACTGGATGTTACCATAGCGATATTCTACGATTACTCATTTTAGAATCTGCCTTCTAAAATTCAGATAATCAAGCTGGCCTATCAAACTTTTCTTTCTTTCTTTTTCTTTTTTTTATTTGAGATGGAGTCTCACTCTGTTGCCCAGGCTGGAGTGCAGTGGCACGATCTCAGCTCACTGCAACCTCTGCCTCCTGGGTTTAAGCAATTCTCCTGCCTCAGCCTCCGGAGTAGCTGGGATTACAGACGTGTGTCACCACACCCAGCTAATTTTTTTATTTTTAGTAGAGATGGGGTTTCACAAGGTTTGCCAGGCTGGTCTCGAACTCCCGACCTCAGGTGATCCACCCGCCTTGGCCTCCCAAAGTGCTGGGATTACAGGTGTGAGCTATTGCACCCAGCCTCAAACTTTAATAATTAATTCTTTTCATCTGATTGACTGATATATAAAACAACACCCACAAAGCTCATGGTTTTATCTTCCATCTAAACAAGCAAACAAATAACTAAAGAATTGAAAGTAGGGTCTCAAACCAATACCTGAATATCCATGTTCATAACAGTATTATTCACAATAACTAAAACACAAAAGCAACCTGAGTGCCCATCAACAGATAAGCAAAATGTGGTATACAAATAGAATATCATTCAGCCTTAAAGGAAGGCAATTCTGACATATGCTACAACGTGGATGAACCTTGAGGGCATTATGTTAAGTGAAATAAGCCAGTCACAAAAAGACAAATACTGTATGATACCACTTATACAGGTAGAATACTCAAAATCACAAAGACAAAAAGTAGAATGATGGTTGCCAGGGGTTGTGGGGAGGGGGGAAATGGGGATTGTTTAATGGGTGCAGAGTTTTAGTTTTACAAGATGAAAATAATTATGTAGCTGGATAGTGGTGATGGCTGCACAACATTCCCAATATATTTTGCATCAGTGAACTACATTACTTAAAACGGCAAAAAACTGGCCGGGCACGGTGGCTCATGCCTGTAATCCCAGCACTTTGGGAAGCCTAGGCGGGCGGATCACATGAGGTCAGGAGTTTGAGATCAGGCTGGCCAACATGGTGAAACCTCGTTTCTAATAAAAATACCAAAATTAGCCAGACATGGTGGCAGCCACCTGTAATTAGGCAGGAGAATCGCTTGAACCCGGGAGGCAGAGGTTGCAGTGACCCGAGATTGCACAATCGCACTCCAGCCTAGGGGACAAGAGCAAGACTTTGTCTCAAAAAATTTAAAAAAAAAAAAATTAAAAAAAAAAAAAGCCAAAAACCTCAATGCTTTATTTTCTCTCATAATAAAAATTGTTTCTGTATTATGAGACAAAAAAGAGAAATAAGTCTGGGTTACAAAGTTAAATTTTGAAACATTCCCCAATATTCATTTTATCAGCTTTTTGTAATAAAGGTCAATTTGAAAAATGACAGATAAGGCAATAGCTATTTTGTGATATATTAAGAATTGTATAAAAGTGTAAGTTTTAAAAAATGTTTAAAATGAATTCTGAAAACATCAGGTCTACTCCAGTCCCTCCTAAAAAAGGAAGCTTTTTAACAGTCATATAGCCCATAAATGGTTTCTGCTGTTTCCTCTCCAATTAACTGAGTTAATACAGGAGTTAGCAAACTATGGCTCATGGAGCAAACCCAATCCAATGCTTTTTTTTTTTTTTGGTAAATTAAGTTTTACTGGAACATAGCCACCCTCATTTGTTTAGGTATTATAGTACACAGCTGCTTTCACACTGCAATAGCAGAGCTGAATAGCTGGGACAGAGACCATGTGGTCTGTAAAGCATGAAATATTTATCATCACTGGTAATCAAGAAAATAAACTACAGACAGAGTATCCTAATCCAAAAATCTGAACTCCAAATTACTCCAAAATCCTAAATTTTTTGAGCATTTGCATGACACTCAAGGGGAATGCTTACTGACAGCATTTCAGATTTTGGAATTTTGAATGAGGGATGCTCAACCAGTAAGTATAATGCAAATATTCCAAAATTTTAAAAAAAGAAAAAAACCAAAAACCAAAATCCTGAAATCTAAAACACTGTGGTCCCCAAGTATTTAAGATAAGGGATACTCAACCTGTATATTCACTATATACTCACCAGAATGGCTAACAAAACCAAACCCTAACAATAAAAACTAGTGGAAGAAGTGATAAGGACATAGAGCAAATGTACTTTCAAACACTAGTAACAGGAATAAAAACTGATCCATGTCTGGGCACAGTGGCTCAGGCCTGTAATCCAGCAATTTGGGAGGCCAAGGCAGGCAGATCACTTGAGGCCAGGAGTTGGAGACCAGCCTGGCCAACAAGTATATAACCCTGTCTCTACTAAAAATATAAAAATTAGCCGAGCGTGGTGGTGCACATCTGTAATCCCAGCTACTCAGAAGGCTGAGGTATGAGAATCGCTTGAAGCTCAGAGACTGAGGCTGCAGTGAACCGCGATCATGCCACTGCACTCCAGCCTGCGTGACTGAGCAAGACCTTGTCTCAGGAAAAAAAAAAATACATGCAATATAAATGTCCAAAAAGCACATAGAAAGACACTCAACGTCACCAGGTATTAGAGATATGCAATAAAAACTATAAAATACCACTTCACACCCATTAAGATGACTATAATCCAAAAGACAAACATTAACAAGTATTGGTGAAATGTGGAGAAATCAAATTTGCTGGTGGCAGGGTAATATGGTACAGTCACTTTAGAAACCAATGTGGCAGTTCCTCAAAAAGTTAAATACAGTTACCACATGACCCAGCAATTCCACTCCTTAGGTTACACCCAAAAGAAATGAGGACATATGAACAACAAAAACCTACACAATGAATGTTCATAACAGCATTAGTCACCTTAGTCAAATAGTGGAAACAATAAAAAACATCAGATTTCAAACAAATAAATAAAATATACCATATCCATAAAATGAGTTTGAGACCAGCCTGACCAACATGGCGAAACCCCGTCTCTACTAAAAATATAAAAATTAGCTGGGTGTGGTGGTGGACGCCTGTAATCCCAGCTACTCAGGAGGCTGAGACAGAAGAATTGCCTGAACCTGGGAGGCGAAGGTTGCAGTGAGCCAAGATCACGCCATTTGCACTCCAACCTGGGGCAACAGAGTGAGATTCTGGCTCAAAAAAAAAAAAAAAAAAAAAAAAAGAGAGTGGAGTGCTGATAAATGCCACAATATGAACGAAACTTTAGAATATTATGTTAAACAAAAGAAGCCAGTCACAAAAGACCACATTTTGCATGATTCCATTCATATGATGGTCTAGAACAGACAAAACTTTAGAGAAAGATTCGTGGTTGTCTACAGCAGAGAGAAGGGGTACTGAGAAGAAATGGGAGTGACCGCTAATGGGTATGGGATTTCTTTTTGGGATAATGAAAATGTTCTAAAATTTATTATGATGATAGCTGTACAACTTTGTGAATATACTAAAAACCCTTAAACTGTATACTTCAAATGGGTAATTACATGGTGTGTAAATTATAAGCTATATCTCAACAAAGCTATTAGAAAATGATAAACAAAACTAATCTCTATATGATGGTATAAGTCAGAATGACAGAAATCACATTTGAAGTTATAAGAAAAAGAGAAAAGGAGACTGTGTGAGGGCAGATAATTTTGTCTATCATGTTCAGGGCACTTATGGGAGTAAATTCACTTCGTAAAAATTGAGCCTCATACTTGAGAAATACGTATATTACTGTATCTGTACTTCAAAGTTTTTTTTTTTTTTTTTTGAGACAGAGTCTCGCTCTGTCATCCAGGCAGAAGCGCAGTAGTGCAGTCTTGGCTCACTGCCAACTCTGCCTCTTGGGTTCAAGTGATTCTCCTGCCTCGGCCTCCCTAGTAGCTGGGATTACAGGCACCTGCTAATTTTGTAATTTTGGTGGAGATTTACACTCCACCGTGTTGGCCAGGCTGGTCTTAAACTCCTGACTTCAAGTGATCTGCCCGCCTCAGCCTCCCAAAGTACTGGGATTACAGGCATGAGCCACCACGCCTGGCCAAATTTTTTGTTTTTTAAAAAATAAAACTATAAGGCTGGGTGCAATGGCTCATGCCTATAATCCCAGCACTTTGGGAGGCCAAATGCAGGAGAATCACTTGAGCCCAGGAGTTTGAGGCTACAGTAAACCTTGATCACACCCACTGCACTCCAGCCTGTGCAACAGAGTGAGAACCTGTCTCACCAAAAGAACCCACCTAGAAATTTTCTTTTTAATCTCAGAATGCTAAATTAGGGATTATTTCCATTTTAGAAATTAGGATCCTAAGGAAATTAAGATGTTAAAATGACTTGCTTATAGTCATATTCTAGGTTAATGACAGAAGTAAAGCTTTTTAAAATTGTAAACAATATATATCTAAATTAGACACTCCCCTCCTACCCACAACTACTGCTTTCATAACATTATCATGTTTCCTTTCCTTGTAGCACTTAAAACTATGTAAAATAATTGTATTATTTAATATATTGCTTTGTCTTCCCCCAGTAAAATGTAAACTCCAGGAGAATAGGAACTCTTTTTGTCCAGTACTATAATCTCACTACTAGAAAGGTGCCTAGTACACACAAGGTGTATCCAAAATGAATGAAATCATTATACCAACTCTTTTCTGTGGTTTATCTTCTTGAAGATGGAATTCACTTTGATATTTGCTGGGACAGTAACTGAATGCAGGTCTGGTGCTATATATATAGATATTTCATTTTTTTTGAGACAGGGTCTCACTCTGTTGCTCAGGCTGGAGTGATCCTCCCACCTCTCAGCCTCCTGAGTAGCTGATACAACAGGCATATGCCACCACACCTAGCTCACTTTTATTTTTCGGAGAGATAAGATCTCACTATGTTGCCCAGACTAGCCTTAAACTCCTGAATTTTAGCAATCCTCCTGCCTCAACCTCCTAAAGTGCTGGGATTACAGGCATGAGCCACCGCACCCAGCCTAGGTTATTGCTATTTATTCTCCTAGAAGTATTATTTCTAATCCTCTTGGAATTGAAATGATCAATCAGCTTGCGCATTTATAGCAATCTTTGTGGCTTTCCCCTCTAGCTACTCTCCCTTACAATTATTCTACTCATTGCTCAAGAGTACGTCTCCACCACAGCAGGCTGGTGTAAGAAATCAAAATATATCTTAAATAAGACTGAGTATCCCTAATCCAAAAAACGTGAAATCTGAAATGCTACAAAATCCAAAACTTTTTAAGCACCAACATGGCATTCAAAGAAAATGCCCAGGGCCGGGCATGGTGGCTCACGCCTGTAATCCCAGCACTTCAGGAGGCCGACGCGGGTGGATCACTTGAAGTCAGGAGGTCAAGACCAGTCTGGCCAACATGGCGAAACCCTCTCTCTACTAAAAATACAAAAATTAGCTGGGCCTGGTGGAGTACGCCTGTAATCCCAGCTACTTGGGAGGCTCAGGCAGGAGAATAGCTTGAGCTGAGATCATGCCACTGTACTCCAGCACAGATGACAAAGTAAGACTGTGTCTCAAAAAAAAAAAAAAAGCTCCGATTTTGGATTTTCAGATTTGAAATGCTCAATAGGACAATGCAAACATCCCAAAATCGGAATATTTCTGTTCCCAAGCATTTTCAACAAGGGATATTCAACCTGTGTTGGCTATTTCCAACAGAACTGAATAGCTTGTTTTACCAATTGTAAGAAAGCAGATTATTAAATAGAGCTTTTATAAAGAGTGTAGACTTCATGTTACCCCTGAGAGCCTGCTGCTTAGAGAGGAGAAAAACATTTTATTGATGCAATACTTTTTTTTTCTTGCTTTCTCCACTATTCGCTGAGTGAAAGTGGTATATCCTAAAGTTACTTAATATAAACCACATATTATAAATCTAGTATATCCTTTCTATATACAGTAGCACTTTGGTTATATATTGCCTAAGAAGTAAGTTCTTCCAAACACATTACCAAAAACAAACAAAAAACGTTATAACACGTCTATGTGTTGTGTATTTTCTAGTAGAATAAAGTAAAATATTTTTAGGAATTGAGTTCCAAAAAAGTTCATATAGTCAGAATAGCTTAAATTACTTTAATTACTTAAATGCCTTACTTATACAGCCATAAAGCATTGCATACTTTTCTTTAAATGCCATAATGTATTGCATATGTGTTTTTTGTTTATAAAGCCCATATATACATTTACAATTATTTAAGAATACATATGAAAAATATTTGCATGTTTAAAACAAAAAACTAAAAAAAGAAAAATATCTGCATGTTTAAGAGAAACATCAGCACTGTATAAATGAATGTGCCTTAGTGAAACATGTTTATGATGTGATTCCACTAAGTATTAATTTGCCAATTAAATATACAATTGTCCTATATAACAAATAAGGTTTAAGAGTACTAAAAAAAATACCACTATCTGACAACAGAGCAATAATAATTTTTAATCCATTTTCAAAAAAGAAACTTTTACCTTTCTGAGCTTTAATTGTCTGCTCTTCAATTTGTTTTAGACGTTCCATTAGCTCTTCCTTTTCACGTTCTATTCTTTCCTTTTCCTTTTCTGCTATTTCTCTTTTCTTCTTTTCATTCTCTAATTGTGCCCTTAAAAGGAATTGCAATTGCTGTTACAAATTAATACACAAAAATATTATTCATGTGATGGAATACTACTCTGCCATAAAAAGTAACAAAATAATGTCTTTTGCAGCAACTTGGATGAAGCTGGAGGCCATGATTCTAAGTGAAGTAACTCAGAACATACAAATGCCATATGTTCTCACTTATAAGTGGGAGCTAAGCTATGAGGATGCAAAGACAGAGTAATATAATCGACTTTGGTGACTTGAGAAGCAATGGTTGGGAATGGGGTGAGGGACAAAAGACCACATATTGGGTATAGTGTACATTGCTCGAGTGACAGGTGCACTAAAATCTCAGAATACACAATGATAGAACCCATTCATGTAAACAAAAACCACCTATATTCCAAAAACTACTGAAATAAAATAATAATAATTGGAAATAGTATTCATGTGAAACCTAAGAACTGAATCAACTAAGAAGAAATGACAACATAAATATTTTAACAGGGTTTTCATTGTATTACACTTGTGTTCAAAATAGCATATGTAGTTAAAAGTACAGGACTATGACATACATACACTCATGTACGTACATACATGTGCTGGGTTCCAATGTATTACTTATTGTGGGTTCACAATAAAGACCACTGAGACTATTTTTAAAAAATATTAAAAACTTAGACATTTAGGAACATCCTCAAAGGATGAGTTTACAAAACTGCTAGTAAAGTATAACTGTCAAATATATATTCCTGCATATAGAACATGCTTATAAGGCACACTTTAATGGGGGAAAAATCAGATTTACCATTTGCATACGGGATGAACTCTGACAACAAATTAAATGTCAGCACCAAAAGAGTTAACCACACAGTTGCCATGCCCCAAGAAAATATCTTCTTTAGATTAACCGGAGACCTCCACTGGGGAAATAATAAAGGACTGAAGGGAGCAAACAAAGGCATGTATCTTAAATAAAAGGGAGGGCAACAATTTTCAATCATTAAAAATGAATTAATCCAAGTTTAATTTCTTGGGTAGTACCCATTTATGCCTAGATACAAGACAACAAATCAATTTCACCTCCCTTCACAATTCCATTAGAATGACAGTAGGTGGCTAATGATCTTAAAAAATATCATCAGAGCTCAGTGGGAAAAAATGCCTTGATCATTTAGCTGCACCTGCCATGGGCCTGATGAGAGTGTTTCTTTTAAATACTGCCAAATTCATTCACCAAACATCTACCAAGAGCCTACCATGGGTCAGAATCTATGTTAGGGGCAAAAATATAAAGAGGAATAAAAGTCACATGGGGAAACTCTTATTATCAGACAATATTGTTTACTTAAGTTGAATCAATATTCAAATCACTACTTTAATAACTTAAAAATCAGTTATGATTTCATCTCTGAAATTTATCTGAGTATGCTTTAATGTTCCACAAAAAGAGCACTGCCACCTACTGTCAATTCTGAATTTCAAGCACAAAACCCTGTAGTTTCTCAACTTGCAGTCTCTGATAAACTTATCAGAAAAGTTTTGCTATCAAAAATTTCGCCCTTATTTATAAACCTACATTTTAAAATTCCTGCAGCTCCTAGATACCCATTTGCCCCTAAAACAGAAAGAGAGCTTACCTTTGGGGCAAACAGGTAGAGGTGTCACAAGTCAGCAAGAGGTCAAACACTGATGGTGACCTCCTAGTGCATGCACTAAGCTAAAACATAACGGGTCACCACACCTTGCTGCTGGTTTAATGAATCCTTCCACCATTTAATAATCTAGAGAGGCTGGGCATGGTGGCTCACCACATTGTGAGGCAAAGGCGGGAAGACTACCTGAGGTTAGGAGTCCAAGACCAGGGCAACATAGCGAGACCTCATCTCTTCTAAAAATAAGAATAAAAAATTAGCCGGGCATGGTGTGTGTACCCATAGTCCTGGTTACTCAGGAGGCTAAGGTGCGAGGATCACTTGTGTCCAGGAGGTCAATGTTGCAGTTAGCTATGATCGTGCCACTGTGCCCCAGCCTGGCAGGCAACTGAGCAAGACCCTGTCAAATAGAAAACAAAAAAACTAGGGCCTGGTGGTCATTCATGTAAGGGAAGCTCCATCTCTGTTCTGGAGTTCCCTATGCCTACGAGGTACTTTCGCAACAGCAAGGAGGAAGAGCCAGTAACTATTCCTAACCCCAGTATTTGGGCTCACTCTGCAGGACATTCACCTCTTTCTCTTTATCCTATTTCAATTTATAAAGCATATACAGGCAGAGAGATTTAAGGAGATACAAGCTTCCACACTTCTAGAAGACGTGAGTTTAAGGGAAAGTTTGTGTTTCCCAATCTCTCCGGGCAAAAGAAAGGCCTGGTGGCCCCCACAGTGGCTGCTGACCTTTCTGTGTTCTTTAGATAGCTGAAACATCACGCTTTGTGTGAAAGCAAAAGAAGCAAAAGCACAGTACTTTTCAAGTAATTGCTAGTAAGGCCAAAAGCTATTCTTGTCCATGCCAGGTTGTCTGCCACCCTAGGATGTTGATTAGACTACCCAATCACTCCCCAGCCTCTATGCAATCACATCCAGTTCTGCCACAGTTCCCAAGCCAACTACCTCCCTCCCTCCTTTCCCAAGGTCCCAAGACAATTCTCGAGGACTTACACTGCAAACCAGATCTCAACCAGAAGTCTACCATCATATTCCACCAACTAAGAGCCTTTCAGACCCAGCTCTGGCATATATGGCCCTTTCTGCAGATGGATGTGCTGGTTTTATTTAGCTTTTCCCTATTGATGTTTCATTTGTTCTTCAGGGATGGAGGTGAAGGAGATATGGAAGCAGAAAAAAAGAATCAAGATAATCTGGCCATATGCAAGTTGGGAGGGGGTGGGGAATGGTCTTCCTACTGAAAAATGGAATAAGTATACAGCAGATATTTAAACTGATTATAATATTTAAAACATGTTGTAGTTTACTGTACTCTGTGAGGCTCGTATCTCACATTTTATAAGAATCCTACCCTGACAATAGCCATCTCCAGCCAACACTTCATTCAAATAATACAAATGCCTTCAGCCCTTTACATTACTCAGTGATATCTAGTTTTTGTAGGCCTGTCTTGTCTCCTTTATGAAACCAGATCTTGCTGCTCCCCTAAATGCTGTTCATTTTAGAGGACCTCACTGGCCCATAGGCACACCACACATATTTTTATCTCTACATATTCATCTATGTTGGCTTCTTCTTCTGAACGTATCTCTTGCTCTCTCTAACCTTCAAGCTTCAGTCCCACTTTCCTCATGAAGTCTTTTGTGATTACTGTAACAATAGATGCAGATATTTTTATTTGGAGTTTGGGTTTGAAAACACTCATTTCAATGCAGTTGTTCTATTTCAAGGACATAAATCACATTAATAAACTATTATTCCTTGTATTAATATGCAAAAAATTACTTTAGAATATCTTACTTTTTAAAGATCAAATGGGTCTAATTACACTTTTCTTCCATGAATATTAAAAACATATCCAACTTAGTTTATAATAATATTAGGAATTATTATAATGGCTATTTTTTATTAAGTACCGGGTACTTTGCTAAATGCCTGTATACCACTGTCATGATTTCTTACAAAAACGCTTGAAGGTAAGAATATTATTTTCATAGTAAGAGCAAGGAAACACAGGCTCAAAATTATCTGTTCGATTGAGTGTTAGAAGAGGAGTCAAGCCCAGATTTATCTAGTTCCAAAGCCTGTGTTCTTTGTATGACACTAGCCAGCCTTGGTGCAGAATCTCCCACAGCTAACCTACAATTGGTACATAGGTATGTAACTCTAAACTGTAAACTTGGGGCTTTCAGTTTTCACATGTGGAAACAATTTTAGCCATACAAAAACGTGCAAAAATTATCAGTCATAATTCAATTTGGATGCCAATAATTTAAGAGCTTCAAAAACTACATGGAATAACCACTCATAGTGTATAAGGTCATTTTCATTGCCAAAAAACCCCTAGGTTATAAAAATTATAGGGAGTAAATATAGCCAAATATACCAAAGTATTGTAGGGAAAGAGGTCTCTTTGCTACTCTTTCCCAACTACTGTTCTTGCCCAAGAGAGTCTAGCAGCACAGGCAGCATACCTCTGGGCATTCTCCCAGGTATATCTGCTGGCTACTTTGCCAATGGGCTTAATCAAAATTGTTTCCACACATACAGCTGCCATTTCTCTCTCTCTGACCTGTAAAGCAGGGAATAAATGACTCAGCATGCCATTTCTGAAAGACTGCCAATTCCTAGGTGACTAGAATAATATATCTCCTAGGCATTCAAACTGAATAAAAGTTACTGAATTCCAACTGAGTATAAAGCAGTCAATAAATGCTTACTAATGAAGAGCTCTAACATTTATCCAGGAGAACTACGGATTATTGTGCCAAAAAAGAAACTTAAGTCTTCCACTTCCATCTAAGCCTTAGAGTAACTAAAATATAGCACCATTACCAAATGATACTAAGTAAACATACTACCTGTACTAGAAGCAATACAGTATTTCTCTATAAGCCATGAAATAAAGGATATATAGATAAATATAGTAAGTTGAGAATGTAAATAATATATCAACATTATGAATGAGCAGAACAGTTAGGCATACTATAGAGTGATGAGTATGAGATACAGGAACTGTATATAAAATAATTCCTCATTTATCTCATGCTAGAAAACCTTTAAGAGACAGTGAAATCTTTAAGACGATTTAAAAAAATTAAGTGGAAACTAAAAGAAGTCTTCCCTTTGACAGAGGGAAATGCAAGGCTATGTGTATAAGAATGTACTGTATAGAAAGTAAAGCCCAATAAAGAGTATTTTTAAAAAGCATTTAAGATTAGAACCACAATGTAATGCTACAGCACATGAGCACAATAAAAAAGGACATAGCCCATCAAAGTAACAATCCAACTCATTACTCTTTTTTTTATTTTTATTTTTAAGAGAAAGGGTTTTACTACACTGCATGTTGCCTGTTGCCCTGATTGTCTTCAAACTCCTGTACTCAAGCAATCCTCCTGCCTCAGCCTCCCAAGTAGCTGAGACTACAGGCACATGCCACCATCCTCAGCTCACCAACTCAGTATCTTTAATGATGGGATTAGTAATTACTGACAAGCTTCAAACCCATATAAAAAATGTTTTGTTATGTGGTTAACTTCTCTAAGGAAGATAATTTGAGTTAATATGACAAAATAGGTAAAAATCAATAAAATCTCTTACACAGAACAGTTGTTGAATAAGAAAAAAAATCATTCAATATAAAACCTAAAACTATAGTAGCAAAATGGTATCTAGCAGATGGCTTCCTTCTAGATACAAAGTACCTTATATCCAATATTTAAAATACATATGTTTAGGGCTCTTCAAATTTTTTTTAAGGACTTACTCTATTTCTTAGACTATCACGTTGTTCCATAAAGATTTATTCAATAAAGGTTAACTTTAGTTTGGTCTCTAAATTTTTTCAAGTAAAGCACAAAGTTGAAATTAATCTAAAACCAGATTTGGAAATTAATGTCACTGGACCCAGTAATCTGATTCCAGGGTTGATATAAATTTTATTCACTACCATTCAATTTTAAAAATTATCAATTTAATATATTTAACAGTTTCTTTTTTAAGTCTAAGAGAAACAGAGTTAAAAAGATTAGGGTCTTTGGCAGGGAGTACTGATGTTACCCTACTTGGCACAGTGACGTTTCAGTTGTGTTCTACAATGTCACTGACATTGTTTCAAAGTTAAATATTCAGCACATTCTTACCCTGAAAAAATTAAGAAATATAAGTCACAAGCAAAACAATTTTGAAAGTTTCAAACTACTATATCTAAAACAATGTCTATCAGTGAAAAGCAAGAAATGAGTCACAAAAAGCTATTTTCTTCGAGATATGTGTCAAAGATTTCTAACTTGAAAATTATACATACTCGTTTTAAAGGACAGAGTGATAATACTGTCTTTGAATTTTAATATAATGAAAATATTAATAAATACAAATTTAAGGTACATTTAAAAAACTGAGCAGTCTTAAATTTTAGATAGCCTACTCCTATCAATTAAAAGTGAAAGGTCATAAACCCCATACCTTTCCAACTGCTTCTGATGTTTCTCCTCCCTAGCCTGAGCCTTCATCTGTTGTACTTCAATAGTATCAGGCTTCCTTCTTCGCATGTATAGTTCATGGTTTCCCATACATAAGGCCAAAATCCGCTTATTGATTCTCAGACGAGGTGCATAAAACACAAAATCCTAAACATAAAGTATTCTGAATTTAAAATCTTCCTCAAGGATACTGTCTCTCATAACAATCTGTACTAAATTTTAACATGAGGTATGAATTTTAATGTCATATTACATATAGTTTAGAAATAAGAAATCATACAATTTCATAACTCCCAGTGAGCATGACATACTTTCACATAACTGGTTCCTCACCTTTTCATATCCAACCAGTTTTGTAAAGAGGCTAATATTCTTATCCTTGCAATACATTAAATGTCATTTATTCCTTTTTGTTCTCGAAAGTAACTATGAGCACCTGTTCCTTATACACCATTTGCCATTAATGTCAAAATTGGTTCTTCGTTCATGGCTGTAGAGTTTTTTTTAACCTAGAATTGTTCTTTTTTTTTTTTGAGACGGAGTCTTGCTGTCATCCAGGCTGGAGTGCAGTGGTGCCATCTCAGTGCACTCCAACCTCTGCCTCCCGGGTTCAAGAAATTCTCATGTCTCAGCCTCCCTAGTAGCTGGGATTACAGGCATGCACCACCACATCTGACTAATATTTGTATTTTCAGTAGAGATGAAGTTTCACCACGTTGGCCAGGCTGGTCTTGAACTCCTCATCTCAGGTGATCTGCTCCTCTCGAGCCTCCCAAAGTGCTGGGATTATGGTCCTGAACCATTGCACCCAGCCTGTTCTTCTTACTTTTACCTTTTCAGTAACTAACAGGGTTAGGATACTAGAGTATACTTGACATTAGAGGAACTTTAAAAATCTATTTAAATAAAAAGATTTCTTAAGTTCAAGGCTTCAAGTTACAAAAATACAAAGTTCATAAAGCAAAACTGTATAAACGAAGTTAATTTAGAATAGGGCTACCTCTACTACATTCTAGCCACCAATGAAGAAACACTTTAAAATTGCTTCTTAGGAATGGTGTTTTCATTAGCCTCCTAATAAATATTATCTATTTATAACTGAATCTCAAATAAAATAAAATTCTAATATTTACATCTTACTTTAAAAAATTAAATCTTTGGATTTTTATTAACATATTATTTCATCACTGGGAAAGCTGACCTATGGAAAGAGAATGGTCCTCAGAAGCAATTTAATAAATGAACACTGTTATTCTTCAAGTGATATCATGGGAAACTAGCAGATATTAAACAGTTAATACACAAAATATTAAAGAAATTACTTACAGGTGCCTTTTTGTCGATTGGCTTTATAACAAATTTTTTGTCATTAAATGAAATATTTCTGATTTCACTCCAGGGAAAACCAATTTTAGGTGTTAACCTTAAAAAATGAAAGCATCTCCTTAATTAAAGGCAGGAAACAATGAATAAAATTCCTGTTTAGGACCTAAACTGACTGAATGACCAATCTTAAGAGTTCCAGATTTTCAAAATGTATTAACTTATTCATAACTACAGTTGACCTTATCTTTTAAGGGGAAAACTGATAAATCATATAAAACAAACAACTGTCCAAAGATTTCATAAATGTGTCATGAACCTTAAAAGCAGTGTATTTTCCTAAAATTATCTAAAAAAACTACCTGGTGACCCAAGTGTAGAACTGAGCCTCCTGGGGTTTGAACTAGCTGTTCAGTTTTTATTGTTTGGATTCAAGCTACAACTACAGTTTAAATATGTGTAAGAAGTGGGAAGAAAAAAAAAGGCCTTTATAACTTCTCATGTGAATTACGGGCAAGTTACTGCAAATAAAAAAACAGTACTTCCTTCCTGTGTTTAATTTGAAAATGTCTGGATATTCACGAATATACTAAAAATACTTAATTTTCAGTATATTTTGAAAGAATCTTATGGTATATGAATTATATCTCAAAAATTTTAAACACTCACATACATAAATATTTGGATAAATGATAGAGATGGAATTCAAACTCTTGAGACTATACACAGCAGTTGACTCCGTTTTACCACCCTACACACAAAGATATAGGGAATCATATTGGAATAAGTGATTTTGTTTCTGCCTTTTCATGTATTTTACTGTTTCAGACTACCTATCAAATGCATCACTATTGTCCTATTGTCCTAATAACTAAGACTGAGAAATGATTTTGACACCTATACTGGCCAGAAGACATCTTTTAGCCAGGCTTCTGACAACACAGCATGAATTTTTACCTATTTATATTCCTTTTAGTTCTCAAGCAGAGTAGGTACTGCAGCACAGCAGAGTCTTTTCTACATAAAACATTCTTTACTCAATAAGCATATTAGAGGACCCTCTAATGGCCCCTGATATAAGTCAAAGTAACATGCTTAAAACGGAGACTGCAGGAATGCAACATAGTATTTTAGAGAACACTATGCTACGTTTATATGCTACTTTGAAAAATTCTAAAGCAATTGCCTCATATAATTCTCATAACACTCTTGTGAGGTAAGCCTGGAAGCTAATACAATAACTTTTTTAACATTTAAAAAAATTGCTCCAATATGTGCCAGAACCACCACCACCAAAAAAATTAAGAAGCCAGGCACAGTGGCTCACGCCTGTAATCTCAGCACTGGAGAAAGCAGAGGCGCAAGAATTGCTAGAGGCCAGGAGTTCAAGACCAGCCTGGGCAACATAGCAAGATCCCATTCTCTAAAACAAAAGAAAAAGATTCAGTTTACAAAAATTAGTCTTGAAGTCATTTTTGCTTTTCAAAAATTTCTCTTCTAAATGATATAACCTTCTAACTTGCTTTGTAATAAAAACATGAGAAGATATTAGGGTAAAAATAGTAAAATGCTCTTGTTTGGAATCACATATGCTTTGAAATTAGTATTTTATTAGATATCTGTAGTAATAAAAATTAAAATTCTGGAGCCAACCTAGAATAAAGAATAATGCCTTAGGAAAAGGCATTAATTACTGGCATAGACTTGCATGCTTATGTGGTATGGTAAATAAATTAAAGTCTAAGACAATTGAGTTATTAATCCTGAAAAGTAAGAGTCTGATGTATTTTATATTGCATGTGTATGTGTATAATATACCGTCTCTATATAGTATTTACCCATGTATTTGTATAGTACATATACATGTATATGTAAATATACATATATTATACATATAATAAAATATTGATGAATTATATATGTATAATAAAAAACTATTTGGTCAATTTCAAGATATAATTACAGTGTTCAATATGTGTAATACAGGGATATTCTATTGTATTAATGTCCAAACATATTTAAAACAATTCCTATATATAAATGTTCAAAAAAATCCTCTAAGATGTGATAGACATATTTATTAAATCCATTCTCTCATTGCTCCTGATTTCTTATGTATGTTCAATTTCAATCTATTTGTCAAGCATAATAGCATTTTAAAGAATTATTTCTCACCTATCGAGGGAGCAAATTTTAATTAAGTTACTAGACATAACTCACAAGAGCTAAAAGCAGCACAATTCAAATAAAAGTCAATCATCTCATTTGATAAATACACTGAAAAGTAGAACTCTGAAACTGCAAGGTGATAAGAAAATGGAGGTAAAATATCTACAAGTCTATGTGTCATTAATTCATCTTTTAGTTTGAAAATAGTAAGGGTAATCAAGACAAGAAACTACTTTGAAAAACAGGACATAAGATTAACGTCATTTAGACCACTGAACAATGACTAGTTCACTATGCAACTAATTTACTTACTTGTCGTCATGCTCATAAATATTCAGACCCAAAGCATCAACACCTAGCCACAATTCAGTTCCTTTTTTATTTTTTATTTCAAAATAGTTGACTCCATACATTTCTAGATCTTGTGCAATCTTCAGGTATTCCATCATAGAATCCTCCCTGTTGAAATAAAACTAAATGTAATATATTTAAGTAGGAGCATATCAAACTAAAGTTGCAAAATACCTGGAATTAAAAATTAGTACTTTACATAAGTCAAACAATCTTTTGGAAATAATGTAATAATAAATGTTACGACATGAAAATACTTTGAAGGAAAAAAGAAAACATAGAAAATAGCTACCCAAATACCTTAACATTCCTCTATGTTCTTCATGCCAGTTCTGTATTCTTTCTTCCCACTGTTCTTTTGTTAGTTTGTGTTGTTCCAATACACTAAGAGGACCAAAAAAAAAAAAAAATTATAATGACTTTAAGATTCAAAAGCATACACTTTAAAAGTAAAGAATCCTTTCAGTAACTTGACTGTGGTAGTTGTCAGACAATTAATACACATGATGAAATTGCATAGAACTAAATTACATACACACAGAAATGAGTGCAGGTAAAACTGATGTAATCTGAATAAGGTGGCTAGATTGTACCAATGTCAATATCTTGTTTGTAATATTGTACTGTAGTTACACAAGATGTTACCATCAGGGAATGCTGGGAGAAGGATACCAGGGATCTCTTTTTTTTACAACTGCATAATAATCAGTAATTATCTCAAAGTTAAGTGTCTAGGATCCTTAAATTCCTTGAAATAATACTTGCTCCATAAAGTGATTACAAAGATAGCTTATAGGAACCCAAACAGTTCAAAGGAATAAAACATTAGATAAAAAAATGGCTCATTGTTAATAGATAAAGACCAGACTGAAAACCAGAATTCTTGGGCCCTAATTCTTCCTTTATGTATTTACTTTTTTGCTACTAATTTTGTTGTTTTAGGTAGGTAATACTTTCAATTAAAAAGTAGAGTGAAAAGTCATACTCCAGTCCAATACCCCCCAAATAACTTGTTTTTGTATCCTTCCAGTGTTCTTAATTCAAATGTGAGCAAATACATTCTTTTTTTTTTTTTTTTTTTTTTGAGATGGAGTCTCGCTCTGTTGCCCAGGCTGGAGTGCAGTGGCACAATCTCGGTTCACTGCAACCTCTGCTTCCTGGGTTCAAGTGATTCTCCTGTCTCAACCTCCCAAGTAGCTGGGATTATAGGTGTGTGCCACGATGCTCTCGGCCTCCCGCGTAGCTGGGATTACAGGCGTGCGCCATAATGCCTGGCTAATTTTTCTTTTTTGTGTGTTTTTTTGGTATTTTTAGTAGAGACGGGGTTTCGCCATGTTGGCCAGGTTGGTCTTGAACTCCTGACCTCAAGTGATCCACCTGCCTCGACCTCCCAAAGTGCTGGGATTACAGGCGTGAGCTACCACGCCCAGCCAAATACAAACATTATATTCTACTACTACTATTTTAACACCAAATCAGCAAAGTCAACATGATTATAAGTTACCTACTATGCACACTACAGTTTGTGACTTCTATTCTCTTTGGCTCATATGATAATTATTCACCTTTATTTACCAGATCCTACTTTACTGACAGCAGAAGCTGTGGTGTTAAAATATTACTGTTTTACTATATAAAAAATCTTGCATGAAACCCAAGGATTTCTTGGCAGCATAAAGGAATGATAAAATCTCCCCCTGGATAAGTTACCTACTACTTAGAGTAAATTCCTTAAAGGGGTCTCAGACATACTGTTATGTTCTTATTATACTCTGCTCCTTTCTCTAGGCATCTTTTCCAAGCTCTTGCTTTTGGGGAGAAGAGTTTCATCTTCCTTCTGAGAGAGCTTAGGTTTCCACAGTTTCTTGTCTTTCTTGCTGTCTGGCCTCTGGGCTCACAGAGAGGCATGCAATCAGCCTTGGAGACATAACCCAGTGCAGTCAATTGCTTACCATAATTATATGCCCAATGCCAGTACTAAAGAGGGCCTCGAAAATTTGTAGAGTGAATAAATGAATTAATCAATTTTTCCCAACCCCTATTTTTTTTTCTTTTTCAGAGACAACTTTCTTTTATGGACTGTCCATTATACACTAACCTCAATTTCCATACCTGACATCCACTGCCCCCAGTCTACCATAATCTGGCTCAAACACCCAATACTCTATGGTAACTGTTCTTCTTTTTTTTTTTTTCTTTAGACAGAGTTTCGCTCTTGTTGCCTAGGCTGGAGTGCAATGGCATGATCTCGGCTCACTGCAAACTCCACCTCCCGGGTTCAAGCGATTCTCCTGCCTGAGCCTCTCCAGTAGCTAGGATTACAGGCATGCACCACCACGCCCGGCTAATTTTGTATTTTTAGTAGAGACGGGGTTTCTCCATGTTGGTCAGCCTGGTCTTGAACTCCCAGCCTCAGGTGATCCGCCCACCTCGGCCTCCCAAAGTGCTGGGATTACAGGTGTGAGCCACCACACCCGGCTGGAAACTGCTCTTCTAAGGTCACTACCAAGCTCCTTATTCCAACAGATACTTTAGTTCTCCTCATATTTGACCTCTTGGTACCATTTGGCAGTGCTGACCATTCTCTTCATCAAAGTATTCTTTTACCTTGGCTTCCATGATATAATACTCTTCTGGTATTATTCTTGTTTTCTGAGATGGAGTCTCGCTCTGTCGCCCAGGCTGGAGTGCAGTGGCGCCATCTTGGCTCACTGCAACCTCCGCCTCCCGGGTTCCAGTGATTCTCAGGTCTCAGATTCCCGAGTAGCTGGGATTACAAGCATGTGCCACCATGCCCAGCCATCTTCTAGTATAGAATTATTCTTGAATCTGTGGCCAGTGTCTCAGTACAGTTGTCCCTCCATATCCATAAAGGATTGCTTCCAGGACTCCCCTTGGATACCAAAAACTGTGGATGCTCAAGTCCCTGATATAAAATGGTGCAATATTTGCATATAACCTATGCACATCCTCTTGTATACTTTCAATCATCTCTAGGCTAATAATACTAATACACTATATTATTACTACTATGTAGTATAATAATACACTAATACACTACAAATGCTATGTATTGTTATCCTGTATTTTTAAAATTTTGTACCTTTTCATTGCTGTGTTATTTTTTTCACATATTTTCAATCTGTGGTTGGTTGACTCTGTGAATGCAGAACCCAAAGACAAAAGCTGAGGTCCAACAAGATCTGTCCTAGGTCTTTTTCTCATTTTTATGTACTTGGTAGGTTGATCTCTTTCATTCTCATGGTTTAATTACCATCTATTCACTGATTACTCCCAAAACTGTATCTATAGTCCAAGACTGTTTCTAAAAGGTCTGCACCCACATATGCAAATAAATACCAGATATCTCTCTTGGTTATATTGCACATATTTCAAACTCAATAGGTTCAAAACTGAATTCATCTTCCCCCTCAAATGTATTTTTTCTTCCACTCATTTTGATAAAAGGTATTACCAAATACCCAGCCGCCCAAGTCAGAAACCTGGTATGTAAAAGTTTATGTATATTTAGCTCTTTTCAAAGGGAAGCAATACTATCTGGTGGAGCTAATTATCTATACCACAAGAGCTAAACTTTTCTACAGTAAGAACAGATTGCTCATCTGGGTTTTTCAATACAAGAAATCAGAATGTATCAGAATCACTAAATTATTTTATTTGATTTGTTATCACCAAATAACCTAATTACTCATTTCCTCCCCAGACTGTACTTAGATACTGAGAAAAAGTGTCCGATATACCATACTGGAATAAGCCAATCACTGTGAAAATATCCTCTCTGTTCTAAACAGAAAATGAAAAAAAAATGGTATTCTAACTTTATGACTAAGTCTCATTTTAAGATAACATGGCTTGAATTAGTCCTCCATGGAATATCAACTCTGAAGGAACAACTGACCTACAAAATTAAGGAACAAATCTTGAAATAGGCATTTGCACTAGCAACCACAAGCAACCCTATCTAAAGCATTTAGCCACCTTCCTTCTTTTTAAATAGAGTAGGTTAGAGCACACCCATATTTAAAATAAACTGTGCTTGTGTGTTATTGTAGTGTTTAAGAGATTTTTTTCAATCACATGAGTTATGAAATGTAAGCCAATTACTTCATCTGCTGCTCAACCAAACAGCAATCTGGCTTAACACTGAAAGATCAATGCTGTACTTGTTTAGATAAAGCATTCCTATTCTTTAACATTTAAAAAAAAAATTAAAGTAATTCTGATTATAAAACAAAAGGTAATCCTTATATGAAATGAAATTCCACCATAATAGTCTGATTACTCAATTCAGTAATCTAAGATGAAGAATCTTAGGTTAGAATAACATTCAAAACCAGAATATAAACAGACTATCAGATATCTCATATTCCTGACTCTCTTGGTGAACAACTTACATAATTCTATCCTTTTCCAAGGTGACTACTATTGCTACAAAATTAAAGGGCGGAACACTGTGACATTTAATAATTGAATTTTGGCTGAGCATGGTGACTCACGCCTATAATCCCAGCACTTTGGGAGGCCGAAGCGGGTGGATCATTTGAGATCAGGAGTTCGAGACCAGCCTGACCAACACGGTGAAACTCCATCTCCACTAAAAATGCAAAAATTAGCCAGGTGTGGTTGTGTGTGCCTGTAATCCCAGCTGCTCAGGAGGAGACTGAGGCAGGAGAATCGCTTGAATCCGGGAGGCGGAGGTTGCAGTGAGCCGAGATCGTGCCACTGCACTCCAGCCTGGGCAACAGAGCAAGACTCCATCTCAAAGAAAAAAAAAAAAAATTAAAAAGTAATATTTGATGTTCCATCTTCTAGATTCCATCAATACTACTAAATAACACGTTTCACACTTGACAATTAAAACTGTAAATCATATAGTTCATTAATTATAATCATAAACTAGAAGGTAGCCAGAGAAGGATTATTATCCCCACTTTGCAGATTTAGATACTGAGCTCAGAGGTTTTAGGTCATGTACCTAAGGTCACATATATAGCAAAGGGTGGAATCGGTACTCAAAATTTAGGTCTTCTGATAATTTTTTCCTATGCCATATTATTTTAAAATAGCCATTATAGAAGCAGCAGTACACTGTAGATAAGAACAATGCACCAGCCTAGGAGTCTGAAAACCTAGTTTAAAAAGCCTTTTCAGAAAGTCAGAAAATTCAGCCAGGAGCAGTGGCTCACGCCTGTAATCCCAGCACTTTGGGAGACCGAGGTGGGAGGATCACTTGAGGTCAGGAGTTCGAGACCAGCCTGGCCAACATAGTGATACCCTGTCTCTGCTAAAAATACAAAAATTAGCTGGGCATGGCGGCAGATGCCTGTAATCCCAGCTACTCGGGAGGCTGAGGCAGGAGAATCACTTGAACCTGAGAGGCAGACTCCAATCTCAGCGAGCTGAGATTGCACCACTGCACTCCAGCCTGGGTGACAGAGTGAGGCTCTATCTCGGGGGGGGAAAAAGTCAGAGAATTCTATGAAGAAAACACAGCCTGCCACTTACTCTCACTTATTAAGCACCTGCCTGTGTTAGAATTTGTACCAAGCAGCAACAGTCACATCCTTTCCTCAAGTCCAAATTATCACTGCCTCCATTTATTGCTTACCCTATGGGAATGAGGAAAGAAGAGATAGATCAACCTTAGGTAATTACAGAGCATATAAATCTATGGAGGTGCTAGGTAATGATTTTTAGAAGTATACCCCATGATCCAGCTGGCAACTTAAAATCTGGAAAAAAAAAAAAAAGAGGCCAGGTGCGGTGGCTCATGCCTGTAATCCCAGCACTTTGGGAGGCTGAGGCGGGCAGATCACTTGAGCTCAGGAGTTTGAGACCAGCCTGGGCAACATGATGAAACCCCATCTCAATGAAAAATACATTAAAAAAAAAATTAGCGGACATAATGGCATGTGCCTATAGACCCAGCTACTCAGGAGGCTGAGGTGGAAGGATGGCTTGAACCCAGGAGGCAGAGGTTGCAGTGGGCTGAGATCACGCCACTGCACTCCAGCATGGGTGACAGGTCCAGACCCTGTCTCCAAAAAAAAAAAAAAACCTGAAAAACGTTTTATTTATAGACTTCTAGAATACAATTTTCAGACAATATAATGCAAACGCATGTTTCACTTACCGCTGGGGTAGGAGTCTATCATTAGCCAGGTAGCCTGGCTTATGAATCTCTTTATTGTAATCTCCATACTTGGCTTGGACAGCATAGGAAGCCAAAAGAACTGCAGTTTCTGGCGGGCAATATATCTCATCATTTAAGATGGCTTCTTTAACTTGCAAGAAGAAGAGTCTCTGGGTTATTTCTTGAATTAATTCCTCAGAAACATCTTCAGGAAAGAATTTAGCTCTAAACTTGAACTGTAAAGGATTCTCTTTTTTAACATCCTGCTGTGTTACCTGGAAAAATAATTTCAAGTATAATCAACAAAAATCTTAAGTTTACAATAATTAGACCTAGTCACATCAAATTCTTTTTGGAAGAAAATGAAGTGAAATAGATTCTAAATCTATGAAGATTTTAGTGTGTAATAGTCTAAATCTGTAAACAAATATATGTGGTAAAAGATTCTATGCTCTTGAATGTGACCTATAACTCAGATTCTAATAACCAAATTGAAAACTTTTTTTCATATTCTTGAGAAGCTTATCCTACAGGTATTTACATCAAAATTGAAGTACTTAGTATGCCATTTGTAATATCTGCTTTAATATTTGTTATAGGCTAAGTTTTCAAATAGGAAAAGTAAGCATTTCTTTTTTTTTTTTTTGAGATGATAAGCTGATGGTGCCTGATTGAATTTAAAAAAACATGGTACCTCATAATGATTAACAGATAACTACAAAAGGAAGCTTGCAATCAGTCAGACTTAGCTTTTCCAGCACAAATTCATAACTTCAACTTAACATAATTATTAGTTTAATGTTATCGTACATATTTTACCTTTTTATTTAGTTTAAGCCATGTAGAATAACCTTTGCTGTCTACATACTGCAGCCCAAAAAACCAGACCTCACGCAAACCAACTGTTTTCACCACCTAAAACACAACAACAACAAAAAAACACAATTTCAGTCCAACATACACATTGTGTCTAGATGATACTACACTTCAAAAGGAGAACAAAACTATGTAAGTATACGTATATTCCTTTGCCATAGAAAAGGCTTTCCCTAAATTTAAGATATTAAAGGAACATTTTTGAAAACTCAAATTCAAGTTTTCTATACTCAATTTTTCTTTTTTTTTTTTTGAAAAGAAGTTTTTTTTTTTGTTTTTTTTTTTTTTGTTCTTGTCACCCAGGCTGGGGTGCAATGGCACAATCTTGGCTCACCGCAACTTCCGTCTCCATTCAAGTGATTCTCCTGCCTCAGCCTCCAAAGTAGCTGTGATTACAGGTATGCACTACCACGCCTAGCTAATTTTTTGTATTTTTAGTAGAGATGGGGTTTCACCATGTTGGCCAGGTTGGTCTCAAACTCCTGACCTCAGGTGATCTGCCTGCCTCGGCCTTCCAAAGTCTTGGGATTATAGGCGTAAGCCACTGCACCTGGCCTCTAATCCTCAATTTTGTAGTGTCACTTCAATCCTCTTACTTGATCCACTTTTTCATACCTCCTTTTCCTTATCTATCATGACCTCAACAATAACAAGAGTCTTGAAAATATATATATATATATATATAGTTTTCATAATCATACGTTCCAATTTCTATTTACCCCCACAAGTACCCTATTGGTATATTTAGGGCAAATGGTATCATTTTGGTGATAAGAAAAGTCTGATATATTCCATGTTCTACCTTCACTGAGCAAGAAACCATTCTTAGAACATACCATAAATTCCACCCTTCTACAATTTTGCTGATGTTTTTTCCTCTGCCTAGAATGGGTCTTCTGTATTTTTATGACTTATTGAACAATTTATTCTTTAAGGACAAGCTCAACTAACGTGCCTTCTGTGAATAAAGCTCTCCTACCATCTAGATAAAATTAATCACTTGTTCCCTGATATTCCCATAGGACTTTATCTATCCTGCTATTAGAAAATTTACTCTATCATAATTGTGTTATTAGCAGTGTGTCTATTTACCCTCCTTGACTGCATAATACTTATGGACAGAGATTATTGATTTATGTGTCTTAAAATCCATAGCATCTCACAGAATGATCAGCCTGTGGTAGATACTCAAAAGTAAGACTAAGTAGGCTGTGCGCAGTGGCTCACGTCTGTAATCCCAGCACTTTGGGAGGCCGAGGCGGGCGGATCACAAAGTCAGGAGATCAAGACCATCCTGACTAACACGGTGAAACTTCATCACTACTAAAAATACAAAAAAAAAAAAAAATTAGCTGGGCGTGGTGGCATGCGCCTGTAGTCCCAGCCACTTGGGAGGCAGAAGCAGGAGAATGGCGTGAACCCGGGAAGCGGAGCTTGCAGTGAGCCGAGATCGTGCCACTGCACTCCAGCCTGGGCGACAGAGCAAGACTCCGTCTCAAAAAAAAAAAGAAAATAAAGTAAGAGTAAATAAAGTGGTGGAGTTAGGATACACACCCAGGACTTACCCACACCTAACAAAAGCATATGTTTTTTAAAAAAATCTGTATTTAAAATAAAATGAGGAAAATGATCCAGGGGAGGTAAAAGTTCATTAACATTTTAAAAGCTTTACAGAAAGATTCAATATCAGTTCTTAAATAATAAACATTCTTGGTTTTTTGTGGGAGTTTTTGCTTATTTTTTTTTTTTAAAGACAGGGTCTCACTCTGTACCCACAATGGAGTACAGTGGTGTGATTCACGGCTCACTGGAGCCTTGACCTCCTGGGCTGAAGCAATCCTCCTGCCTCAGCCTCCTGAATGGCTGGGACTAGAGGCACATTCCACCACACCTAGTTAATGTTTTTTTTTGTTTTGTTTTGTTTTGTTTTCTGTAGAGGCAGGGGTCTTGCTATGTCGCCAAGGCTAATCTTAAACTCCTGGCCTCAAGTGATCCTCCCACTTCAGCCTCTCAAAATGCTGGGATTATAGATGCAAGCCACTGCGCTTGGCCCTTGGTTTGTTTGTTTGTTTGTTTGTTTTGAGACGGGGTCTCACTCTGTCACCCAGGCTGGAGTGCAGTGGTGCAATCTCAGTTCACTGCAACCTCCACCCCCACCCCAGGCTCAAGTGATCCTCCCACCTCAGCCTCCCGAGTAGCTCGGACCACAGGCATGCACCACCAAACCTAGCTAATTTTTTATATTTTTAGTAGAGATAGGGTCTCACTATGTTGCCCAGGCTGGTCTTGACCTCCTGAGCTCAAGGGATCTGCCCACCTCAGCCTCCCAAAGTGTTGGGATTATAGGCATGAGCCATCGTGCCCAGCCTGTTTTTTAAAAAATAATGTTAAAACATTTGGCAGGGCAGGGTGGCTCACGCCTATACCAGCACTTTGGGAGGCCAAGGCAGCTAGATCACTTGAGGCTAAGAGTTCAAGACCAGCCTGGTCAACATGGTGAAACCCCATCTCTGCTAAAAATACAAAAATTAGCCAGGTGTGGTGGTGCACACCCATAATCCCAGTTACTCAGGAGGCTGAGACAGTAGAATTGCTTGAGCCCAGGAGGCAGAGGCTGCAGTGAGCCGAGTTCGCGCCACTGCACTCCAGCCTGGGTGCCAGAGCGAGACTCCGTCTCAAAACACACACACACACACACACACACACACACACACACACACACACACACACAAATAATCTTAAAACATTCCAGGCTTTTGGTTTCAAGACAGCAAACTGAACCCTTCCATTTACTTTCCCACTCTTGAAAATTTTCACTGAAATGACAGAAAAAAAGAAAAAACACTGGCTGGGCACAGTGGCTCACATCTGTGATCCCAACACTTTAGGAGGCCAAGGCAGGAGGAGCTCAGGAGTTTCAGAACAGCCTGGGCAATGTAGGGAGACCTTGTCTCTTAAAAAAAAAAAAAAATTAGCTAAGTAGTCAAGCAAATCTGTAGTTCTAGCTAATCAGGAGGCTGAAGTGGTAGGATCACTTAAGTCCAGGAGGTCAAGGCTGCAGTGAGCTGTGATTATGCCACTGCACTCCAGCCTCAGTGACAGAGCAAGACCCTGTCTGAAAAAAAAGAAAAAAAAAATTAAAAATAAGAAAAAAGCATTTAGAAAATGTTACCATCAAAAAAGCAAAAAGTGGGCCAGGCACGGTGGCTCACGCCTGTAATCTCGGCACTTTGGGAGGCTGAGGCAGGTGGATCACAAGGTCAAGAGTTCAAAACCAGCCTGGCCAACATGGTGACACTCTGTCTCTACTAAAAATACAAAAATTAGCCGGGCATGGTGGCAAGGGCCTGTAATCCCAGCTACTCAGGAGGTTGAGGCGGAGAACTGCTTGAACCCGGGAGGCGGAGGTTGCACTGCATTGAGCTATCGCACCACTGTACTCCAGCCTGGGTGACAGAGTAAGACTCTGTTTCGGGGAAAAAAAAAAAAAAAAGCAAAAAGTGAGAAATTTCTAGAAGATGTGGAATATAAAGTCTCATACTGATAATGCAAAAGCTGATCAATGTCAAACAATGAAAAATTCAATGTGGACAAAAGGAGATTCCAAATAATCTAACTTTGGTAAAAGACAGATTGCCCCAGCAGTGCCATAGAAAACATTCAAGCTTGGAGCGGCAGGAGTAGTAATGTACAGGTCAAAAGCAGCAGAGAGAAGTATAACAAAGCAGCTGGGCTCAGCTTCTGCCTCCACACTCTGTGAGATTCACAATGGTAAGTAAAAGGGAGATGCCCCACAGTGGGCACAGGGGATAATAGCTTAACTAACTTTAGACTATTACACAAATACAAGGAACAAGAAAGCTCAGCTGTGAAATTCCCTAAAAGGCCCTGTCTCCCCAGTGGTTCTCTACTTCTTCAGAAGGTGCTCCTAGAATGTTTTTTTTTTAATTAATATATTTTAGTGAGGCTGTCCTTTAAGCTCCCATAAACTTCTGATCACATACTTTTAGAAGTGAATCTGCTTGGGCACGTAACTATAACATAGGTATATTTATTTACAAGTTACATACTATCATGCTAATACACTATAAAGCATATATTTTTAAAAATGTTTAAAAATACATATTATATATACATATATATATATTTTTTTAATTAATTTATTTATTTTTTTGCCCAAACTGAAGTGCAGACCGCAACCTCTACCTCCTGGGTTTCAGCAGTTCTCCCACCTCAGCCTCCTGAGTAGCTGGGATTACAAGTGTGCACCACCACACTCAGCTAATGTTTGCATTTTTAGTAGAGACAGTTTTGCAATATTGGACAGGAAAAGGTACAGTAAAAATATGGTATTACACTCTTGAACTCCTGACCTCAAGTAATCCTCCCGCCTTGGCCTCCCAAAGTGCTGGGATTACAGGTGTGGGCCACCAAGTCTAGCCTAAAAATATATTTTAATACTTCTTTCACCGTAACAGATGTTCTTGCACACTCTTTGGGGGTATGAACACTCTTTACACTAATCCCACAAGAAGCAGCTAAAGGAGAAGGCTAGTCAAGAAAAAAGTCAGCAAGAAGCAAACCAAAGGACTTCAAGCACTCAGAGTCCCCAAACACAGAGCAGCTGGCCTCGATTTAACATCATAATCAGACATGGGGCTTTACTACACATGTACTCATGTAGCTATGTGCTCTCATTTTAGAGGACCCAGTTTACCCCTGGCTTGACCTGAACCTGCCAGCTTATCCCACACACACTACATACAAAAGTAAAGTCTGCATTTTTCGATCCTTGCATTTGAGTTCAAGGAAAGTTCATCACTGCATTTGAGTTCAAGGAAAGCAGTCAGGAAATAGAACAGGGACTAAAGAACTGCTGAGAAGAGTCCATAACAGATAACAATACTCAATAATCTAGACCAGGCTGGACGGTGGCTCACGCCTGTAATCCTGGCACTTTGGGAGGCCGAGGGAGGCGGATCACTTGAGCTCAGAAGTTCAAGACCAGCCTGGGAAACATGACGAAACCCCATCTCTACCAAAAATACAAAAAAAAATTAGCCGGGCATGGTGGAGCACACTTGTGGTCCCAGCTACTCAAGAGGCTGAGGTGGGAGGATCGCTTGAGCCTGGGAGGCAGAGGTTACAGTGAGCCGAGATCGCACCACTGCATTCCAGCCTGGGGCGACAGGAGTGAGAGCCAATCTAAAAAAAAATTTTTTTTTAATAAAGAAATAAGTAATAATAACCTGGACCATTTACAATATGAACTGTGTGTGCATGTGTGCGTGTGTGTGTGTGTAGTCAGGGTTGCTTAACGATGGGGATACATTCTGAGAAATGCATCGTTAGACAATTGCATCATCGTATGAACATCAGAGTATACTTAAACAAACCTAAATGGTATAGCCTACTACACACCTAGACTATATGGTACAGCCTGTTGCTCCTAGGCTACAAACTTGTACAGCATGTTACTATATTGAATACTGTAGGCAACTCTAACACAACTGTTAAGTATTTGTGTATTTAAACGTATCTAAACATAGAAAAGGTATAGTAAAAATATGGTATTACACTCTTACGGGACCACTGTTGCATAAGTGGCCCGTCACTGATCGAAATGTCATTATGCGGCACATGACACTGTATTTATCTACATAAATAGAAAGAGATATACACAAAACCATCAAATACTGTTCTACGCACTTTACATAGATTTTCATTTAACTCTCACAATAAACCTCTGAAGAAGTAATGTTACCATCATCCTAATTGTACAAACGAGAAAAATAAGACAAAGAGATTAATTTGTCCAAAGTCAAACAGCTGCAACTACAACTATTGCAGGCAGTGTGACTCCAGTGCCCACACTTCTAAACCACTGTACATCACTGCCCTATAATAAATGGTTTCATTTTCCTGTATCCAAGTGAAAGTAATTCTACTTAATAAAAAACAAGTTTTATTTCTCAGTATACAATACCAAAGAGGATAACTTGCTGATTAGTTTTTGGCTGCCACAAACATCTCACTTACTATAAATAACATTTCAATTTGCTATGAAGTACAATAAATGCTAACTCTATTCACATTTTTTTCAAATAAGATAGACTGTATATTCACAAACAGGAGGCACAGAAGAATCAACAGAAGTGGATATTATACCAGAACAAAAGTGGTTTGGAAAAAAGAAAAAAGTGGAGATTGGTTCACAAGGTGTGGTGAACTTAGCTCTTTATGATTTTGCTTTAAAATTTTGCACATCCACACAAAAAGCTTTTCATGATCCAAAAAGGCCTTATCAGGACTTTTAAATTTATGAATTACCAAATCAGGAGATTAAGTATATTACTTGTCAGGAGAATAAACAACTTTAGAGAATTTAGAATTTTTATTTCATCAGATTTGAATCTGTATTTGACAGAATGACAACTAACAAAACCAAAGTATCTAGTGTTACTTACTGCTGAAATGCTAGAAACTCTTTCCTTCTTTAAGATCAAGTTATTCTGACTACAGGCTATTGCTCTCCTGCTCCTAAGAAAAAGTGTACGTGAAGTTTATATAAAAGTTATCCTCCTCTAAGTTTCATGCCACACATGATATATACCACCTTCCTCTGTCTTTGCAACAGTTTCTTCATGTTCTTACTTAATCCCTGGGGCCAATCCCTTACCTCGTTTTCTCAGCAAAACTTGCTTACATTGCAATACAACATTATCTGGGAAGCTTAAATTTTAAAATACTGATAATTTAGAGTAGGCCCAGACAATTAAATCAGCATCTCTGGAAGGGGTTTCCAAGCACTGTCTCCTTTCCCTTTTTTTAAAGCTCCACAGGTGACTAATACGCACTCAAGACTGAGAAGAAAGATAAGATCAGTAGTCCCAGTTCCTTAACATACCGGATACCTGACCTCCATATCCCAACCTTTGCCTCATACATTATGAACCTATGACACCAAATTGTTGTTAGGGATCTCTGTATAGCCTATACAGGTTGAGCATCCCTAATCCAAAAATCCAAAATCCTAAATGCTGCAAAATCTGAAACCTCTTCAGTACCAACATGACTCTGCAAATGGAAAGTTCCACACCTAACCTAACGTGATGGGTCGCAGTCAAAACTCAGTATGCATAAAATTATTTAAAGGATTTTATAAAATTACCTTCAGCCTATGTGTATAAGTTGTACACAAAACATAAATGAATTTTGTGTTTAGACTTGGGTCCCATCCCCAAGATATCTCATTATACATATGCAAATATTCCAAAATCTAAAAACATCCAAAATCTTCTGGTCCCAAGCATTTTGGATAAGAGATGCTCTCAACCTGTAATTCCCTATGCCTTTCACTCCTGCTGTTCCTTCTGCCCAGGATTCCTACTCATTTCACTCAACAACTTTGTGGATTATCCTTGAATCCCTTTTAGTCACCATTACAATGATTCTCATAAATGTTAAATAAATACCTGCTGAAAATTATTTTCAAGAAGTCCTCTCCCACAAATGTAGGAATGTGAAAGAATAAAGAATATCCCTACTGCTGTAGTAGGGATATCTGAATAGCTACTATGAAAAATTCCAAGTGGTACACTGTTGGATTATCAGCAAAAGTACAGAAAAACAGAGAAAGAGGTATGCAACAACATTCACACTATGGTGTCAAAAGTTGCATATTTCATGCAGTGTAATACCTGGTCAAAAAGTTGTTTGCCAGTTGTATTGGGCTGAATGGCAAATTCCAGCTCAGCATCCATTGTAGTTACTCTTACGTTGATCTGTAATAAAAATAAAAGGAATAATAAGTAGAAGAGAAGTTATTAGGCGTGAGAAAACTTTTATGATTTTCTTTATTAAAGTGATAAAGTTTTATTTTAATCACAAGAAATCTTAAATCTATTTGAAAAACAAAGAGCTTATAAAGTCCTCATTTAGGAACATCTATTGAATACTTAACATATACTGGGCACTAAGCTATGGGCTTTCCATACTCTCATTTAGCCCTTGCTATAATACTAGGAGATACTACCTTTATTTCTACAGAAACGCAAAGAGTTTCCATTATTCACCTAAGGACACGTGGATATTAAAAGGCAGAGCAAGAGCTGGACATGGTGCCTCACATCTTTAGTCCCAGCACTTTGGAAGGCCAAGGTGGGAGGATCTCTTGAGGTCAGGAGTTTGAGACCAGCCTGGGGAACACAGCAAGACTATGAAAAATTTAAAAATTAGTTGGGTGTGGTGGCATGTGCCTGTTATTTCCAGGAAGCTGAGATGGGAGGATCACTTGAGCCTAGGAGTTTGAGGGCTGCCGTGAGCTATGATTGTACTACTGAACTTCAGCCTGCACAACAGAGCAAGACCCTGCCTCCAAAAACAAAGCAAAACAAAAAAGGCAAAGGAGGTATTTAAATTGAGGTCTAACTCCAAATTCTTTGAATGTGATTCACTATCCCATATTTCTTTCAACATGAAAATCAGATTTCATTTTATTCATACTGTAAATACATTATTCGCTTTAGGAAAGCATTTATCTACAGTGCTTTATTTGCTAGATTCTATTTTTTGTTGTTTTTAGAGACAGGGTCTCACTATGTTGTGCTCAGGCTGGAGAGCACTGGCCATTCATGCGTGCAATCATGGCACACTGCAACCTTGATCTCCTGGACGCAAACCTATACTCCCACCTCAATCTACCAAGTAGCTAGGAGCACAGGCGTGTGCCGCCAGGCCTAGCTCCAAACTCTATTTTAAATAATAATTTTATTGTGTAAATACCTAATATCTCAAAAACTTAACACGCCTTACCAAAATAATTTTACCACAGAATAGCATCTTCACCTAGAATTCTTCACATGATCCAAATATATCTTTTTAGCTTTTTAAATTATTTTATCTTTTATTAACTTATTTCTCCTTTAATTTTCCCACACTTCATTTGCTGTTTCTGTATCGATTTTCTAACAATCTTTACTTTTCCCTTAACCAGTATAAACCTGTAGCGATTCCTACTAACACTGTTTCTGTAACAACTGTATTTAAAATTTTATATTAATACGTATTACTGCATTTGTTTTTATGTATCTTTTTCCATCAGCCTGTAGGTTTACTGAGGACACAGCTTGTGCCATTTTATCTAACTTTAACTCACACTATAAAAACTCTAAATCAGACTTCTTATTTCCCCATATGTCTAACAATCACAACCTCAGCACATTATAGCTTTCACCTGGAATAACTTCTGTAATCAGATCTTACAGATTCATCCTTCTTTAAAATAATCTTATTTTTTTCTTTTCTAAAACTGTATCTTATTAAGAAATGATATATACAAAACATCTATCATATATAAACAATGAAGAATAATAAAACGAAACCCATAAATCTACCATCCAACTGAATAACAAGAAATGGTAAATAATGTTGCATATACCACTGTTATTTGTTCTTTGTAAATACCAACAGGTAATCACTAACCTAAATTTTGTTATTATCTTGCTTTTAAAAAAATGGTTCTAACGTAAATATATGTATCTGTTTGTAAAATAGCTTCATTTTTCTTGATTTTTAGCTGTATTATAACTGCACGATATTTGTTGATCAAGTTTTCTTTCTTGATGTGGGCAATGCTTACATGGGTATATTCACTTTACGAAAATTCATCAACTACACACTTTTTTTTCCCTGTTGCCTAGGTTGGAGCACAGTGGCAGAATCCCAGCTCACCGCAGCCTCAACCTCCCGGGCTCAAGCGATCCTACCGCCTCAGCCTCTTGAGTGGCTGGGACTACTGTTACTACACACTTCTCATATATTCTGTTTGGTATGTATATTCTACTTCAATAAATTCTTTAAAATTGCACTATACTAGTTTAATTTTTCACCATATGTTTCTAAGATTCATTGATGTTTTTGTAACTGAACTTTCACTGCTATGCAACATTCTGCATGTGGCCAAACAAACATTTACTCACCCATTTTCCTGTCAATGAACACTGTTTCCAATTTTTTGGCTATTAAGAACAATACTGCTATGAACATTCTCGTACATGTCTCCGAGTGTCAGAATTTCTCCAGAATATACTCAGAATTCTTGAGTAATGAAGTGTGCACACCTTCTACTTTTACCACATAATGCTGAATTGTACAATGTAACTGTGTCAATGTATACTCCTGACAGCATTGTATAAGAATTCTTGCTTTTCTGTATTTCCAGGAACAGTGGGCATTATCAGATTTATTAATATCTGACAATTCAGTTAGCAGAAAATGGTATCTCAATATGGTATTAAAGTGGGATCCTCGATTGCTGATGACATCCACATTTCTGTACATGGCATGTGCATACAGAATTTTAAGATGGCCCCTGGTGTCATGCTCATGATTATGTTGCATTACATGATTAAAGGGATTTTGCAGAAGTACTTAAGATTACTAATCAGCTGACTTTAGAACAGGAAGATTATCTAGGAGGGCCTAAGCTAATCAATTTATCTGGCTGGTTGCAGAATAAGTTATACCTTGATTTCAGCCTTATAAGACTTTGAAGCAGGGAACTCAGTCACATCATCCCAGATTTCTAACCTATAAAACTGTGGGATAATACATGGGTGCTGTTTTATAACACTAAATTTGTGGTAATTTGTCATAGACCAATGGAAAACTAGTACAATACGTTTAACTGACCACTCATTCTCATCTGCGAATGTTCACGCATACGGCTTATTTTTCTATTGGGTTGTTTTTTCTTACTTTAACGTAGGAAGTCTTTATATATTCTTGATACTGATCCTTTGTCAGTTATTTCTTACAAAAGAACCTCCCATATTGTGGTTCGTCATTTTACTTTCTCCATAGTGTCCTTTATGATAAACTGACATTCTTAATTTTAATGTTGAATTTATAAATATTTTACACACAGATACCAGTTTTTTACCATCCTTTTTTTTTTTTTTTTTTTTGAGAAAGCATCTCACTCTGTCACCCAGGCTAGTGTGCAGTGACGTGATCTCAGCTCACTGCAACCTCTGCCTTCCAGGTTCAAGTGATTCTCCTGCCACAGCCTCCCAAGTAGCTGGGATTACAGGCATGCACCACCATGCCTGACTATTTTTTGTATTTTTAGTATAAACGGGCCAGTATAAATGTTGGCCAGGCTGGTCTCAAACCCCTGACCTCAAGTGACCCACCTGCCTCAGCCTCCCAAAGTGTTGAGATTACAGGAATCAGTCACTGCACCCAGCCAATTTTTTGCCATCCTTAAGAAATCCTTCCATACTCTGGAGTCATAAGGATATTCATATATTTCCTATTTTGATTTTCACAATTTTCAATGATTTTTGCTTATGATGTTAGAGGTCCAATTTCATTTTTTAATCTCCATATGAATGAAAATAATACAGGGTTTTTTTTTAATCCCAACATAATTTATTAATTAGTTCATTTATTCTCCAAAGTCTGTGCTGTCACAAATCAAGTATCTGCATAAGTGTGGATCTAATTTTGTTCCACTGGTCAATTAAACTACTCAATATCATATTGTCTTAATTAGTACTTCTTTAAATAAGTCTTGATATGTGGTAGGGCAAGTCTCCATTATTCTTCAGAACTATTTTGACTAGTCTTGGATCATTATCTTTGCTCTTGGTTCCATATAAAACTGTGAACTTTACAAAATACACCATTTATGATTTAGTATTGGAACAACACGAAATTATTTGGTATCTTTGGGTAAGAATTAACATTTTTATTAATATAGACTCTATACATGACTATGGTTTTCTCACTGTACATTGACTTAGATCTCCTTTAATGACTTTCAAAATCTTTTGAAAGAAGTGCTTATAATTTGCTCCATATAAATCAGTTTACTCATTTGTTAGGTATTTTCTCCTAGATCATTATGGCTTTGTGGGTATTGTAAATATGGATCCACAGTTCCTATTCCATAATTTTGACATCCTAAAAGCACGGAAACCTGAAGATGAGTTAATTTTGAGGAAAAATCTGACATGAAGTGATATAAGACTATCACTTGTAGTGAATTAATTTATTCCACTTCACGTGACTATTCACTCATTAAACTATAGAAATACAAATGTTTTAGAGGTGATGCCATAGACCTTGATGGGAGTTTCATGTTATAATGACATATGCACATAATATATCGTATATTCATCTTTCTAAAATCCAAAAACTTCCACATTCTGAAACTTATCTAGCTTCAAGAGTGTTTTCTCCACAAGGCAAGTTCTATACTTCCAGAATCTTTAATGAATCAACAACACACAATTGATATCCAACTGCATATAATTTTGACTCTTTAAGGAACAATAAACACTCTCCACTCAATTATACTGGCAAAGAGTTTTCCAAAGTAGCTGTAAACGTTCACATTCCTAACAAAAATACAATAAAGTCGCAGCTGCTCCACATCCATATCTACACTGGATTATTACCAGTCTTTTTTTTGTTGTTATTTTTTGTTTTGTTTTTTTGAGACAAGCCTCACTCTGTCACCCAGGTTGAAGTGCAGTGGTGCGATCTTGGCTCACTGCAACCTTCGCCTCCTGGATTCAAGCGATTCTCCTGCCTCAGCCTCCCAAGTAGCTGGGATTACAGGAATGTGCCACAATGCCTGGCTAATTTTTGTACTTTCAGTAGAGATGGGGTTTCACCATGTTGGCCAGGCTGGTCTCGAACTCCTGACTTCAAGTGATACTCCCGCCTCAGTCTCCCAAAGTACTGGGATTACAGGCGTGATTTACCATGCCCGGCCTACCAGTCTTTAATATAGCTTCTTTTGTGAAATATCTGCTCAAATATTTTGTCCACTAAAAAAAAAAAAAATCTGAGTTGTGTTATTATTCAACTGTAAAAGAACTTTATATGGCAATTATTTTCTCCCACTGTCTTGCCTTTATATGTTTTTATTGCTGTCTTTCAAGAGCAAAAGTTTTTAATTTTGATTAAGTCCAACTTTTTCTTAATGGTTCAAATTTTCTGTGTATTACATAACAAATTTTCGCCTACTCTAAGATCACAAAAATTTTTTCCTATGTTTTCTTCTAGATGTTTTACAGTTTGAGCTTTTGCATGTAGGTCTATAATCCATTGAGTTTATGTTTGTAAATTGTGAGACAACAGTCAATGTTCATGTTTTTCTGTATGGATAACCCTTTGTGCCAATACCATTTGTTGAAAATAATTATAGTTCTCCAGTAAATTGTGTGACACCCTTGTCAAAAATCTAATGAATACATATGTGTATATGTGTGTTGGTGTATTTTCATTTCACCGATCCTATTAATTTATTCTTTCACCAATACCTCAATGTCTTATTTTAGTGGCTTAAGAATAAACCTTGAAATCCAGGAGTGTAAGTTTTCTTTTTTTTTTAATTGCTTTAGCTACTCTGTACACATTTTGGCATATCCATATATTAATATATTTTAGAATCAGCTAGTCAATTTTAATCAAAGAAGACTGCCTGGATTCAACTGATTGGAACTGAATTTCATTTACGAACACTTTTATGGAGAACTGACATCTTATAAAGATCTCTATACATATTTTATAGTTCTCTATGTATTTAAATCTTTAATTTCTCATAGCTGGTTTTCAGTGTAGAGATCTTGCACAGCATCTGTACATTTATTACTAAGTGTGTCATGTTTTTTAATAACTAAATAACCAAACTAGTTTTATATAAAAAAGGCCATTGATTTTTTTTTAATACAATCTTGCATCTGGCAATCTTGCTAAATTCAGTTATTGGTTCTAGTATTGTTTTATAGATTTATGAGGATTTTCTACAGAAACAATCATGTCATCTGCAAATAGGAAATTTTCTTTTTGATCTTTATGCCTTTTTTTAATTCTTCTCTCCCTCTAACAATGCATACTTTGCGACCTGCTGAGTCTTTAAGTCATTCTGAAGTGTTATCCGTGCTAGAAAATCCCAAAAATGATAACTAATGACTTTCTTTAAAATTATAATTGGCCAAAAGAAACATTCAAAAAAAAAAAACAACTCACTTTATTAGATTAAGAAAAGAACATTTACACCTTAAGAATAAAGGAATCCTTAGTCAAGAAGAACCAAATAACTATAAAACTAAGTAAAATAATCACATGTGTACCCTTAAATAAAAAAAATCTAAGACTATATAATATCAGTATGGGTAACACTTGCATCTAAACTACAATTATGAGAAAACTAAAATGCATAGATCTTCCTGACCTCTCATTATTTCCTCCCATTTAACAATGTTACCATTTACTGGGCACTAAATATATATCAGATTCTTCTAACCCTTACCATACTCCCTTGGGTAACTAATTATATCCCATTTTATATGCAAGGAAATTAAAAATTGGACAGATTGAGCTAAATTAACAAAGGTCACCCAGATTGGTGGCAGAACCAAGGTAACAACTAAGACAGTTTGACCTTAGAACTCATGACCACATAATACCATAGTATTATGGTCTGGCCAACATGGTGAAACCCCATCTATACCAGAAATACAAAAATTAGCCGGGCATGATGGCAGGTGCCTGTAATCCCAGCTACTCAGGAGGCTGAGGCAGGAGAATCACTTGAACCCAGAAAGGAGAGGTTGCAGTGAGCCGACATGGTCCCACTGCGCTCCAGCCTGGGCAACAGAGCAACACTGTGTTTCTAATTAATTTGGCCACATTAATCTAAAGAGAAATAACAGTAGTATCAGTGCCTTTTTCTTCCAACAACTCTACCAACATTCTTTGTCTTGTTCCAAAACGAATTTAATGATATCTTATTATTGAGACACTGTCAAATGTAATAAAATACACTTACTGGTTTCGGCATTTTCTTTCTCTTTTTGTTACCTTCTTTAAAAATTCTCCACTTCAATGAATTCTGTTATCACTTTCTGTTAAAAAAAAAAAAGCATAATCTATTATCTTTTTATATAAGGTTTCTATTTTAACTATAATTTGTGTAAGATATAAATTAAAATATTTGAAAAGGTGGATTTAAAGTAACAAGGAGTGATTTCATTCTCATTTTCAATATCTTCTACTAGCATTGCACATTCCCTAAGAAGACTGAAATCTGAAGATTAAAAATACCACACATCTCAAATAACATGTTATAAACACACTGATCTAACCAGAAGTTTTAATTACAGACAACAAAGAACAAGGAAACATCACTGCTTAGAGCCCAAAAGCTTGCTCTCTGAGTCAGGTTCATCTCTGTATCCAGGATGTTAGAGAAAGGAACAATAAAAGTGAAGACAGATGGATTCAGACTCTGAAGAGCTTAAGAATACTTATTCAATGTTTTTTTTCTGTACTGCCAAAAACAAAAGGAAATTCTGATTAATGTAATCTACAAAAAAATGGAAGAAACTAATTTTTTTTTTTTATTTTTTTAAAGATGGGTCTCATTCTGACATTCAGGCTGGAGTACAGTGGTAACACCACAGCTCACTGCAGCCTAAACCTCCCAGGTTCAAGTGATCCTCCTGCCTTGGGCTCCCAAGTAGCTAGGATCATGAGCACGTGCCAACATGCCCAGCTAGTTTTTTTATTTTATTTTTTTGTAGAGGCAGGGTTGCCCTATGTTGCTCAAGCTGTCTCAAACTCCTGGCCTCAAGCAATCCTCCCAACTGTGCCTCCCAAAGTGCTAGGATTACAGGCATGCGCCACTGCGCCTGGCTTATTTTTTCTTCTTGTAAATTTGAAAATATGAATGGAGAAAAATATGAATAGCTTATTCACCCAATGTGTATGAAACAGGCAAAGCTCTGCACACTAACAACCTGCATTCAGCTAGCACAGCGGCTCACATCTGTAATCCCAACACTTTAGGACCTGTAATCCCAGCTCTTTGGGAGGCCAAGGTGAGAGGACTGCTTAAGCCCAGGTGGCTGAAGCTGCAGTGAGCGGTGATCACACCACTGCACTCCAGCCTGGGCAACAGAGCAAGACCCTGTCTCAAAAACAAACAAACAAAAAAATGTTATTGATTGCTGTTTAAGATGCCATAACTAAGGCTGGGCATGGTGGCTCATGCCTATAATCCCAGCACTTTGGGAGGCCGGGGCGGGAGGATCATTTGAGGTCAGGAGTTTGAGACCAGCCTGGCCAACATGGTGAAACCCCATCTATACCAGAAATACAAAAATTAGCCGGGCATGATGGCAGGTGCCTGTAATCCCAGCTACTCAGGAGGCTGAGGCAGGAGAATCACTTGAACCCAGAAAGCAGAGGTTGCAGTGAGCCGACATGGTCCCACTGTGCTCCAGCCTGGGCAACAGAGCAACACTGTGTTTCTAAAAAACAAAAAAAGAAAAGATGCCATAACTAATAAAAGAGAAATTCTCTAAGTTGTAATAAAAATGAAATTTAGGTAAGGCCATTTCCCTAAATTCTAGTCAATCACAAGTAACTGATTACCAATAAACCTCTTCAGAGGAAATTTCCTCCTGAGATTTTTTTTTTTTTTTTGAGATGGAGTCTCACTCTGTCGCCCAGGCTGGAGTGCAGTGCTCGCAGTGGTGCAATCTTAGCTCACTGCAACCTCTGCCTCCTGGGTTCAAGCGATTCTCCTGCTTCAGCCTCCATAGCTGGAATTACAAGCGTCCACCACCACACCCAGCTAATATTTGTATTTTTAGTAGAGAAAGGGTTTCATCATGTTGGCCAGGCTGGTCTCAAACTCCTGAGCTCAAGTGATCCGCCGGCCTTGGCCTCCCGAAGTGCTGGGATTACAGGCATGAACCATTAGGCAATGAAATTCTGCTGGAGGTATAAACCCCTCATTTCTTAATTCTTATCATTTCCTAGCTTATTCCCATCTACACTCACCTACCTTCATGAACCTAAATGTATTTCAGTCCAATTTTTAAATTCTATACCCTCTTTTCATCCCAACTACTATTACTGCCTTAGTTCAGGTCTTATCATCTCAGGTCTTGATTAAAACAGCCTCCAGGCCAGGCGCGATAGCTCACGTGTGTAATTCCAGCAATTTGAGAAGTGGGAGGATCACTTGAGCCCAGGAGTTTGAGACCAGCCTAGGCAACATGGCAAAACCCCATCTCTATCAAAAAAAAAAAAAAAAAAAACCAAACAAACAAAAAAAAAACGAGCCAGGCATGGTGATGGAAGGAATGCTTGAGCCTGGGAAGTGCAGGTTGAAGTGAGCTGAGATCACCAATGCACTCCAGCCTGGGTGACAGAGCAAGACCCCATCTCAAAAAACAAACAAACAAAAAATGACCTATAACCTATTGGTTCAGAAAAATTGCTTCATCTCACATTTCATAGAACAATTTTATTCAAATTCTTCACACATATATAAGACATGTGTGTCTGCATCAAAACTTTGGCCATTTTTTGAATCATAATAGTTGTTTAGATTACATAAGCATTTTTTTGAATCAGTAATACAATCACTAAAGGTTTTATCCTAAGCCAAAATGGCTTGTCCTAAGTTACGTGGGCAATAAATGGCCAAACTACAAGTCTTTTGACACCTAGCATCCAGAGTTCTACAACGTATCAGCCTGTCTTCCTTTTTTTTTTGATATGAAAAGACTGCTAACTAATTTCATTTGTGGAAATATACCTGAAGAAAATATTAACAAATATGTATAATGATACAACTACAAAGACTCTAATTATAGTACAATTTATAAAAGTATATGTAAAACTGAGAGTTTAGCTAGGTCAGTCATGGTATATCTAAGGATCCACTAGATCACAATGCAGCCTATCAAAATGTTATAGAAAAATACTAAATGACATAGGAAGATATTCACAAACCACTAAGTACAAAGGCAGGTATTAAACCCATCCATAGTAGCCAGGCATGGTGGCTCACACCTGTAATTCCAGCACTTTGGGAGGCCAACGCAGGAGGATCACTTGAGGGCAGGAGTTCAAGACCAGCCTGGGTAACACAGACAGATTGTGTCTCCACAAAAAATAAAAATAAACCAGGCATAGTAGAGTGCACATGTAGTCCTAGCTACTCAAGAGGCTAAGGCAGGAAGATCACTTGAGCCCAGAAGTTTGAGGCTGCAGTGAGTTATGATCATGCCACTACAACCCAGCCTGGGCAACAGGGCAAGATTCTGTCTAAAATGTAAAAAATAAAACATTAAAAAAAAATCCACAGGATATCATCACTTTTTTTAAAAAAACAAAGGAATGAATGAAAAGACCAGAATGATTATATTCTAAAATATTAAGAGGCTCGAATAATTAAAATGAAATCTGTAAACTTGTAAAATGAAAATGTAGAGGTTTTGTCATAAACTAATTTCTTTTTTTTTGGAGATGGAGTCTCGCTCTGTCACCCAGGCTGGAGTGCAGTGGCGCGATCTTGGCTCACTGCAACCTCCGCCTTCCAGGTTCAAGCGATTCTCCTGCCTCAGCCTCCCAAGTAGCTGGGATTACAGGCGTCTGCCACCATGTCTGACTAATTTTTGTATTTTTAGTAGAGACAGGGTTTCACTATGTTGCCCAGGCTGGTCTCGAACTCTTGACATCAGGTAATCTGCCTGCTTCGGCCTCCCAAAGTGCTCACAGATGTGAGCCACCACACACACCCGGCCTAAAAAACTAATTTCTTACGATGAAAAAAACAGAATTATTCTAAATAAGTAAACTAAAGTTGGACTCATAACTTCACAATACCATTTAATAAAATGTAAGTAAGTTAATATTTTTTTCAAAAAGAAAGGAGAAGCAGTGGCTCCTACTTGTAAACCCAGCACTTTGAGAGCCTGAGACAGATGGGCTGCTTGAGCCCAGGAGTTCAAGACCAGCCTGGAAAACATAGCAAGACCCCGTCTCTATGTTTTTTTAAAAATAATCTAAAACAAACAAACAAAAAGACAGACTTGAAAAAAATTATAGTTTTGGAAGAATAACATAATATGACTAAGAAAGATATATAGGTTATAATAAAAACAGATAAATATATTTTATTTTAAATCTCTACATAGGTAAAATAAATACCAAAATAAAAAAGAGTAGAAAAATTTGCAACAGTATAATAAAGCTGTTATGCAAAGTAATCAAATGGTTAAATATATAAAGATATTGCTCAGATTCCACTCAGTAAACACTTCAATAAGAAACTTCACCAACAAAACTTACGTTAAAAAAAACACACAAATGTTCTACTGATTAAAACTACAAATGTTTTACCAATGATATACTCATTAAACTAGCAAAATAAATATTAATTACGCATGCTAAGGTTGACGAACAACGTTGGTAAACAAGTAGGTAAGTATTGTAGGTATCACCAGATATTGGCTCCACATTTCCAGAAAGTAGAGAGAGAATACATAACAAAAGCTACACAGCTTTTTTGAATGTGAAATTCTGCTTTTGTAATAAATCCTCCAGAAGATATTTCTCCCCCCAAACTAAATATAAAAGAAAGTAATCTGTATCAAGATATTCACAGCAGCATTCTTTACAATAGCCAATGATTACAATCACCAAAGTAATGTTGATACTATGTGATAACATGGACTTCTCCAGGGTTGTGGGGGTTTTTTATTTGTTTTTTGGTATTATTAAAACAAACTGTGTCAACATTTAGATAAGGTTAAGTGGAAAGGCAGAATATGTAACTACCCATCCATCAACACAGAAAAACACAGGTATTATTATTATTTTTTTTTTTTTTGAGATGGTCTCGCTCTGTTGCCCAGGCTGGAGTGCAGTGGCGCGATATCGGCTCACTGCAAGCTCTGCCTCCCGGATTTACACCATTCTCCTGCCTCAGCCTCCCCAGTAGCTGGGACTACAGGCGCCTGCCACCACACCCGGCTAATTTTTTTTTGTATTTTTAGTAGAGACGGGGTTTCACCGTGTTAGCCAGGATGGTCTCGATCTCCTGACCTCGTGATCCACCCGCCTCGGCCTCCCAAAGTTCTGGGATTACAGGCGTGAGCCACCACGCCCGGCCAACACAGGTATTATTAAAAAGGATGTCTGAATACACAGAAAGTTAGTACTTAACAGAGTTTTGTTAAGTTTCTAATTTTAAAAATCAGAGACAGAGATAAGAATTTTAAAAACATATTTCATGAAATTGCTTATACATATCTTTCATTAGCTTCTACAACACACAGATGTAAAAATTCTACCTTAAATTTTTCAGGACAAAGCTATGTATAAATGCTATTAAAACCTATGTTTTTACACCAATTTAGTGATTAATGGAAAATATTTATATCAAGAGAATATTGTTGCCGGGCACGGTGGCTCATGCCTGTAATCTCAGTACTTTGGGAGGCCGAGGCAGGCGGATCACGAGGTCAGGAGTTCGAGACCAGTCTGGCCAACATAGTGAAACCCGGTCTCTACTAAAAATACAAAAAATTAGCTGGGTGTGGTGTGTGCCTGTAATCTCAGCTACTGGGGAGGCTGAGATAGCAGAATTGCACGAACCTGGGAGGCAGGGGCTGCAGTGAGCCAAGATCGCGCCACTGCACTCAAGCCCAGGTGACAGTGTGAGACCTCATCTCAAAAGAAAATAAAAGAGAATATTGTTTAACCTCAATGAGACATTTCTGGCTAGGTATGGTGGCTCGCGCCTGTAATCCCAGCACTTTGGGAGGCTGAGGCAGGCAGATCACTTAAGGTCAGGAGTTCGAGACCATCCTGGGCAACATGGAGAAACCCTGTCTCTAGTAAAAATAAAAAATTAGCCAAACATGATGGCACATGCCTGTAGTCCCTGCAACTCAGGAGGCTGAGGCAGGAGAATCGCTTGAATCCAGGAGGCAGAGGCTGCAATGAGCTGAGATCACACCACTACACTTCAGCCTGGGCGACAGAGTGAGACTTTGTCTCAAAAAAAAAAAAAAAAAAAAAAGAGACATTTCTAGTCTATAAATATATTAGTATGTTTTTAATTGAAACTGGCATCTATTAGTAGCAGAATAGATAATTTCATAAAATGTCACATGGAAAACAAAGAAACCTAGATGCATATCCTGGGGTTCCATCTCTAACTTGAAACAAAACCTGGTCTTTCAAGTCTTTCTTTTCTTCTATTAAAAAAAGTATAAAAATAATAATAAAAAATAAATTGCCTAAACCATTATATATCAAAGACACATATTTATATACCAAATATTTGTATATTTCCACTCTTCCCTCATAAAAATATTTACTCCCTCCTCCCCACTCTTAATTCTCTTAATTTTAATCTGCAAGTTTATTGGTTTAAACTTAATTAAACCAATTAAATCCTTAATTTTCTCCCACTCTTAAATGTCTTAAAAGTGGTCTTGCCCTGCCTCTTTTCCATACCTACTTCTCCTAAAGCAATATATTGTGCTCTTTTCCATACCTACTCCTTCAAAAGCAATAAAAGAGCAGTCATGGCAGCAACATACCCAGCAAGTCGTCTGGAGAGATGCTGCCAGCCAGCAAACGTCTCCCATCTCGAGAAAACCACTCATATGAATATGTACTCAAACACAGTGCCACACATTAGAGACAACATAGACACAATAAACATTCTCTCCTTTGTCTTTTAACTCTGAGGGTAACCCTCAGTCTCCTTTCTACCTAATGCAATGGAAAAATAGCCTCATGCTCGACACATTGAGCTCTGTTAGGTCAGTGGCACAAGACTCACACCTGTCAGGTGGTAAAACAGGTGTTATAAAGTCTAGTCCATGCAGTGCCTGCACTGAAGCATCAATAATTCATAGCAGATTGCCTGATTTTACTTTTGAGATACTCTTTTCCCTAAGCCTAATTTTAATTATTTTAAATTTTTTTCTGCCTTTTCGGACTTAGAAATGACCTCTGAACATAATTGTGGTCTCTCCAGAAACCAAAATATTCCAAGAGAACTCATCTGCCAATTTACTGGGAGAAAGCTGCACAACAAAGAACAGTATAAACTGAATAAGGCAACTCTGGCAGTCCAATCAACACAATAATGGAATCTACTAAAGAAGTTCTTAATCATTTTATTTTTCCTGCATGGGCCCTGCTGGTGAAGCCTATGAACTCTTTCTAAGAAAAGTATTTTTAAATGCATAAAATACATGCACACAATACAGAAAATTACAAAAGAAACCAATTACACTGGAATATGATTATCAAAATATAAAAAACACAAACCTTGAGTAATATATATGCTTTTTTAATACTTTAAGTAACAGTTAAGTTATTTCGAGACAGCTTTAATGTATTCCAAAAGTATCTACCGTTTCTATTAGAAACAGTCTCTGGGCTGGTTATGGTGGCTCATGCCTGTAATCTCAACACTTTGGGAGACCAAGGCAGGAAGATGGCTTGGGGCCGGGAGTTCAAAACCAGTCTGGGCAATCTACAAAAAATAAAAAAATTAGCTGTGTGTAGTGATGTGCACCTGTAGTCCCAGCTATTCTAAAGGGTCACTTGAACCCAGGAGTGATGGTGCCACTGCACTCCAGCCTGGGCAACAGAGTGAGATCCCATCTCTATAAAAAATAAAAATTAAATTAAAAAATAGACGACACAGTCTCTGGTACTGTACTGCTAATGCTAATGTTGTCTATACTCATAACAAGAAAATGTAAAAATAAAGATGTAACTTTTTCCCCATTCAAGGTCATAGGTCCCCGGGTTTAAAACCTTTAATATACAAAGAACTATGCTTATTATGCTGTTAGCTCAGTGTTAATAAATTTTATGGCAATAATAATGCACTTTTACCTAAATAATGACATGTCATCCCGTCATCCCAAAGTGAAGCAAAGAGGACAAGAATTTTTAGCTCCATTTTGCAAGTAAAGAAATAAGGCCAAAAGCAAGAAGGGTAGTGAATACAGGGAGCATCTGTAGAATGCTCACTCTCCACTCTGCCTACACTTCCTATCTTCACAATAACTGCCCTCCCCCTTCCTGCCCAAGACAGGTGTTACAATCTCTCATTCTTCTAAAAAAGAAATTAAGATTCAGATAAATGACTTGCTCAATGTCAGGGGGCTACTTAACAAGACATAAGTCCTTTAAAATCCTAGTCTTGGGCTCTTTTGATTATCTTATTCTACTTTTCTCAGATACCATTTTAGACAAGTTCATTCGAAACAATTACTAGGGCTTTTCAAGAAGTAGGCTATTAAAGCTCTCTATTGTTAGCAGGTCAAGAGACTACCTCTAAAGATGTTTTAAGTGCACATTAATAACTGGTATGATCATCTCTGTAAATGGATTTCCTGTAAGGGTGAGAGGCAGTTTTAAATAAGATATTAAGTCTTGCTCATGTAGAAATGATTTCTGGTTTAATGATATTTTCAAGGAAATGAAATATTCAACGTTTGAGTAATATACATGTTACTGAAAATGCAAAGCAAATTTCTAAAATTTATAAAGCTGAACTGCAATATTAACACCAAAGTTTTACACTGAGTTTAGGATCTCTTCTAAGAGTTTTGTAAATTTAAAAAGGAAAATCATACCTGTATTGTTCCTAAGGTGAGCAGAAAACAAAATAATACACTATCATTTGCAATTATTAAATACTAAAAGGTAAGAAAGCTAAATCCAGTTCAACTTCCTCATTTCACTCTTAAGAAAACATTAAACATTCACATAAAAATGTTTAGAAATGGGAAAACAGGTTCATGCAAGTCACTTATATAACAGGAAAGAAGCAAACACAAAATAATTCTCACAAATAATTCTACCCTTAATGTGCTTTGAAACATCAGATATTATAGCTTATTTTCAAAACAGAACAAAGTCAGTATGTTTCTTAAATGTCTTTATAATTAGACAATATTCTCTAACACAGTCAACGAGGCTATATGGCAGTTCTATTGCTATAAAAAAATTAAGCTTCTAATTTTCTAGATATTAACTCCCTTTTTTGAAAAACTGATACAATGCCTGGTTCACAGTTGGGCCTCAAAATGTCTGTTGATTTTGTTGGTGAATTAATCTTACACATAATACTAGTTTTAATTTTTCTGTTGATTAGTGTCAAGGGCAATAGTTTCCTCTCTTTTTTTATGTTGTAAAATGACCAAACTAATAAGCATCACTAAGAAGAGAGAACCAACATGAACATGGGGAACAAAAAAAGCTCCTTACAGCTGGGCGTGGTGGCTCACACCTGCAATCCCAGCACTGTGGGAGGCCCAGGTGAGCGGATCACCTGAGGTTGGGAGTTCGAGACCAGCCTGACCAACATGGAGAAACCCCCATCTCTACCAAAAATAAAAAATTAGCCGAGCGTGGTGGCGCATGCCTGTAATCCCAGCTACTTGAGAAGCTGAGGCAGGAGAATCACTTGAACCTGGGAGGCCGAGGTTGTGGTGAGCCAAGATCGCGCCATTGCACTCCAGCCTCGGCAACAAGAGCAAAACTCTATCTCAAAAAAAAAAAAAAAAAAAAAAACTTTTTACAACTAGGCCTCCCAAATTCAAGCCTTAACCATCTCTATCCAAAACTGTTTTAATAATTTCAATTAAGTTGACAATCAAATTAAAGGCCAGATAATTTGACACACTTAATGATAACTGTAATTACCATGCTGCTTGTTGATTAGATATTAGCAGTAAGCTTTCTGGTGATATATACTAACTTTGCTGAATAGCCAAACTAAGTTTTTATAGTTTTTCTAAGTCTAGAACCTATAAACAGCTTAAGTATCAGGAGTCCTCACAATGGCTAAGAAAATTTAATCCAAGCCAAAGGGATCTAAAGTCAATTAACCACAGCTGAGATTTTCTATGTTCCCATTCTCCCTTTCACTCAGAGTCCTTATGTTGACTGGGGGCGGTGGCTCACACCAGAAATCTCGGCACTTTGGGAAGCCAAGGCGGGTGAATCACTTGAGGTCAGGAGTTCAAGACCAGCCTAGCCAACACGGCGAAACTCCGTCTCTACTAAAAATATAAAAATTAGTCCCGTCTCTACTAAAAATATAAAAATTAGTCAGACGTGGTGACCTGTTTGGTGGTGTGCATCTGTAGTCCCAACTACTCGGGACGCTGAGGCAGGTGAATTGCATGAATCCAGGAGGCAGAGGCTGCAATGAGCTGAGATCATGCCACTGCACTCCAGCCTGGGTGACAAAGTGAGACTGTCTCAAAAAAAAAAAAAAAAAAAAAAAAAACAAGGGTCCTTACGTTGCATTAATGCATCCACATTATTCCATGTACTCACCAGGATTTTTTGTTATAAACAAAAATACCCACTCTGGTTAACTTATTAAAAGATTATCAGTCAATTTACAAAAACAACAGGAAGATTTAACAAAGAAAAAAAAACAGAGGAAGCAAGAAACATCCAGAACTCACAGCACAGAATACTGTGCTTAAAATGCTGCTGCAAGGAGTATTAATTAACTTATACACACTACTGTGACACTTAACAGGCCAGGTGTGGTGGCTCACGCCTGTAATCCCAGCACTTTGGGAGGCTGAGGCGGGAGGATCACTTGAACCCAGGACAGCCTGGGCAACATGGTGAGACCCCGTGTCTACAAAAAATAAAAAAGCCGGGAGTGGTGGCAAGCTCCTATAGTTCCAGCTACTTGGGAGACTGAGGTGGAGGGATCACTTCAGCCTGGGAGGTCAAGGTCACAGTGAGCTATAATCAAGCCACCGCACTCTGGCCTGGGCAACAGAGACAGTCTCAAAAAGAAAAAAAAAAAAGCACTTAACACACTTTATGAATACAATATGGCACATCTATCTGCCCATTAGAGTGAGAACTCCTGAGTATTTTACTCATCTTTCCATTCTCAAATGCAAAGAGTATGTGGCATATAATAACTGTCCAAATGTACGACTGACATCTTAAAGCAGTGGTCGGCAAACTTTTTCCGTAAAGGGCCAGGTAAGTAAACATTATAAGCTTTGTAAGCCACACAGTCTCTGTTGAAACCATTCTACTGTTGTAGCAGGAAAGCAGCCATAGATAATATGTAAACAAGTCAGCTACGATGTGTTCAAATAAAACTTTATAAAAACAGGCAGTAGGCTGGGTTTAGCCCATGGACCACAATTTGCCAAGTATTTTAACAAGAATCAACACTTTTCCTTTCATAATTTAACTGAAGTTGGTACCTACAAAGATATGAGCTCACTACATATGACTATCTGTAATGGATCAATTTTGGATATGACTTTGGGTGGGGGTAAAAAAAGGACCGAAGACATGTAATATAGATGAATAATGAAAATAACAGGGCTGGGTGCAGTTGCCTGCACTTTAGGAGGCTGAGGCAGGAGGATCACTTGAGGCCAGAAGTTTGAGACTAGCCTGGGCAACATAGTGAAACTGTATCTCTAAAAAAAATTAAAATCAGCCAAGCATGGTGGTGTGCACATGTAGTCTTAGCTACTCCAGAGGCTGAGGTGGGAGGACTGCCTGAGCCCCGGAGTTCAAAGCCCTGGAGTTCGTGGCATGGAGCTATGATCATGCCACTGTACTCCAGCAGCAGAGAGGTGACAGTGACAGAGAGAAGGAGGGAGACAGGGAAAAAGGGAGGGACGGAGGGAGGAAGGAAAAAGAAAAAAGAAGTATCTATTGGGAACAGAGTTGGAAGAAAGGGCAATTCCATTACCCTTGCCAGTTGACTGGTTAGGTATAGAATGTGCCCCAATCCTGGCCAATGAGGCTCGAAAGACATCTGCTTGGGGGTTTCTGGAAACAGTTCCTCTTATTCCTTTGGATACTGCCCTGTCTGGATGGGATGCAGCAGCCAAACTGGGACAAGGGGCTAACTGCAGGCTTGACCTCCCAGGCTCAAGTGATACCCCAACCTCAGCATTCTGAGTAGCTGGGACTACAGGTCCACACCACCGCTCCTGGCTCCTTTGCAGCAGCCAAATTGAGATGGGTAAGGGCTGTCTTAGTATGAAGTTAATAGGGAAAATCACAGGGAAGAGAGTTGGAAAGAGAAGGAGTCCTTGATGTCATTATTGAACCATTCTTGAGCCTCTGGACTTTTAGTATGCAAGACATTAAATTTTGGCCAGGCATGGTGGCTCACACCTGTAATCCTCCCAGCACTTCAGGAGGCCGAGGCAGAAAGTCCAAGGCAGGAAGTCTGAGGCAGGATGATCATTTGAGACCAGCCTGGGCAACATAGGGATACCCCGTATCTACAAAAAGGCTTTTTAAAAAATTAGTTGTTGGCCAGGCACAGTGGTTCACACCTGTAATCCCAGCACACTGGGAGGCCAAGGCGGGCAGATCACTTGAGGTCAGGAGTTTGAGACCAGCCTGGCCAACATGGTAACACCCTGTCTCTACTAAAAATACAAAAATTAGCCGGGCCTGGTGGCATGTGCCTTAAATCCCAGCTACTAGGGAAGCTGAGGCAGGAGAATCGCTTGAACCCTGGAGGCAGAGGCTGTAGTGAGCTGAGATCATGCCACTGCATTCCAGCCTGGGCAACAGAGCGAGACCCTGTCTTGGAAAAAAAAAAAAAAAATTAGCTAGGCATGGTGGCACACGCCTGTGTTGGCAGCTACTAGGGAGACTGATGTGGGAGGAACTTAAAGGATCACTTGAGCCCAGGAGGTCAAGGCTGCAGTGAGCTGTAATAGTGCCACTGCACTCCAGCTTGGGTGACAGAGGAAGACTCTGTTTTCAAAAAAAAATGAAGAAAAAAATGACATTAAATTTCCTCATTGTTTAAACCAGTTGGAGAATTTTCTGCTATTTGATGCCAATGCATCTTAAAGGATCTAAGGGCTCAAAACTGAAGAGCGCTCACTTCACAAATTTACCTGCAGTCAGTCCTAGTTGACTTAAACTTTTCACAAATAAATTAAAAAAAAAAAACATTTAAGGTCCTGAAAGCCATAGAGATTATCTACAACTCAGAAGAAAACAGTCCATTATCTCAATTACTAATAGCTTTATAAATTCTATAATCTTAGAGAAAATAAACAATGAAGTACCTGTTTCTTCAATACTGTATCTAAAATATCCTTTCAACAGGATGTTTTTTCTAAGGAGTTGGCAAACTTTTTTTGTAAAGAGCAAGATGTGGCTATTTCCCACACCAAATTATAAACCTCCTTTTTTAAAAGACACCATTTCTCATTGTCAACTATATGCCATATGCTAGAAAACAAAAAGTAAACTTCATCTTCAATCATTAATCAAGAAAATCTGTACACAAACAAATTTGCACATACACACACTTGAGAATTAGCGTAGGGAATTCTATTGTGTGCTTTTATTCAAATGATGAAAACATGAGAAATATGATTTACTCAATGTTTAACACAAGTTAATAAGCATCCTTTCAATGTCTGTTACAATATAACCCTATTTTAACAAGACTTTAAAATCACAAATAAGGGATATAAAGTATATGTTTATCCCTGCATACCTACTGGCATTTTCTATAAACAAGGAATTGCCGACAGCAGCTACCTATGGAAAACAGGACTGGGAAAGGGGCTGGGGTGTTCCAGGGAGTAAGGAGGACTTTGACCTTTTCCTTGACATTTTTCTGAGTTTTTAAACTTTGCCATAAAATATATCACTTTTATAGTTTTTTTTAAATGGCTTAAGCTATACATTCAATATAAAGATATACACCAGGAACTTAAAGTAGGAAAGGCAGGATTTCTCTAAAATAGGCTAGAAATTGAGGAACTCTCTGGGGCCAGATTGGACACCTCTATCATCAAAGCAGTACGCACACCCTGGCTGCAGCAATCAAGGAAGTTACCAGAACAGTCTTCAGCTGGATCAGTAATGCCATGAGACTTAAAATAATCTTTTAAGGGTAGAGTCCATAGCAACCCAATCCAGCTCCACTGAATCTTGTACCCCAGGGGTAGTATCAGTTAAGTACCACCTGCCAGCTCGTGGTCTGCAGGAAGGTTCCTGCCACCCAACAGTGACTTGCTTGACTTCCCCGATGCACAGAAGTAACACGAAATTATATTTATCTACACCTTACATATAAACTCCAGCAGCATATAGCTCAGTTTTCACAACCTTAATAAAACAGATTTTTTTAGACTTTGGCCTACAGGAAATATTGGTTAAAATTTGACCCCGTTTTTAAACATTAGTAGCATAAATTAAAATGCATTAAATTAAAAATGGATGAAAAAACAAGACTCTCACCATCATTTACCATTTCAGACTATTATATCAGATCACACATAGTAGGTTAAAAGATTGAGAACTGAAAGCAAAATAAAAATATATAAAGACTTTCACTTCAACAGCCTGCCAAAGATAAAAAATGAATAATAAAATCCAATTCTGGCCGGGCGCAGCGGCTCATGCCTGTAATCCCAGCACTTTGGGAGGCCGAGGCGGGCAGAACGCCGGAGGTCCAGGAGTTCCAGACCAGCCTGGCCAACATGGCAAAACCCCGTCTCTACTAAAAATGCAAAAATTAGCCGGGCATGGTGGCGCACGCCTGTAGTCCCAGCTACTCGGGTGGCTGAGGTACAAGAATCACTTGAACCCAGGAGGCGGAGGTGCAGTGAGCCAAGATCATGCCACTGCATATCACCCTGGGAGACAGAGCGAGATGGGCTAACTGGATTAAAATAAGCATCGGTTTCATTAAAAAGGACTAACTTGAAGATAAATCTTTTGACTCTAGCTCTTTAGAGGATCTAAAGTGACCTTGATGGACAGTGGAAGAAATCACAACATGGAATTCCTTGAGTAAAAATTTATCGACTTAAAAAAAAAATCCAATTCTGCTTTTGGGAACAGTGAACCAATAAACAAAAGACAACGCGTTCCCCATCCCGGAGACTAATGAGACTCAGCAAGGGAGGGAAACAACAGCAAAGTCTGTCATTTCTTACCAACAAAAGGAAAGTAATCAATTTGACTTTCAGTTAATTAATCACAATTTCAAAAAAAAAAACAAAAGGACAGACTCAACGTATTTTCCCTACACCCAAATTAATTACATCTATTCTACAGCTACTTCTGAGACTCTCCTACATACTCTTCCATGTGTGGGGATACAGGAGTGAACAAAACATTGTATGTGATTCCTAAGGTCAAGAACTCAACGTTTTTTCAATGCCACAATCAAATTCTGTCTCATTTAAATAAAACTGTAAAGAATGCCAATGTCTATTCATTCCTTGCTAATAATATACCAACTGTTTATTAAATTCCATCATATATAAAAAAGCGATTAAGCAAAGAAAGTCACTGCAATCGTCTTTACAGCATACGATTAACTTCAAAAGGAGTGTTTTACATGTTGCTGTATTTGAAGGAAAGTATTATTAATCTCTGGAAGATAAAGCACACTGGGGAAAGCAAAGAAATTCTGAAAATAAAAAACTGCAATCCTGAATATTAGTCTCCTTTCTCAAATCCAGTGATGCTGTTTTGGCAAATGGATCAAGCCATTATTTATCCAGCAACATGAACGGGGTAATTGTTCCTTCTTAGCTCCATCAGTCATATAAAAGAGTATTTAGTGTTCTAAAAAAAAAAAAAAAAAAAGAAGTATGCTCCTTAAACAATAGATTACAATGTCTATGTCAAAGTACTCGTTTATCAAATAAACCCTTATTATCTTAGACTTTTATATTTACATCCTGCCAGTCTTAGTGCCACAAGAATGCCATCGAGTTCCTCAGCAACGTGTCTTCCACCAAAATCTCAAATGTATTTTAAAATATATTTTTATGAAGTTGACTTTTAACACATTTCCAACCTAGTAACTACTCTTTAAGGAAAAAAAAAAACCACCAAATATTGGGAATGTCTGAAGAAACATGACATCTGTCTAGGAAGTGATGTAGTCTGTTTAAACTGAAAAAAAAAAAAAAACAAAAATGCACTGCCCCCTTTCAAAGTTAGTCCGGGAATTGAGTTTAGAATCCTTTAAAGGAAAAGAGGGATATCATGTACTGAACTTGTCTGGTGGGGTCTGAGACACTAAAACTGAGCGGCCTCAAGGGCCCGAGAAAGTTACAGGGCTCCGAGAGCTGCAACAGCAGCAGGTAGAGCTGCGGCCGGGAACCGCGGCCCTGGCCTGGCGGGTGCGAGCGGCGGGAGCGACTGGCGCCCCAAAGCCTGTCATGCAACATCCCCTTTGCCACTGGGGCGGAACGCACGCTCTCTAGTAATTTAACACCCCTCCTTTCAAACTGGAGGCCGGGGAACAAGTTCTAATAAATGTAAAATCGAATTCTACCTACGCTGAATATCTGGATTTTCAAACAACCCTTGGGACCATGCCAGCCCGGGCCCGGGGCCCAGTCCAGGCAGCGGGAGCCCACCGTCCCCAGGGCGCTGGGGGTCCGACACCGGCGCTGAAGGCAGACTCCGCGCCCCGAGGAAAGGAGAATCCCGCGGCGGCGAAGGTCGACTTTGGCCCGGCCAGGCACGTTCGGGCCGCGGCTCAGCCACGACTCGGGCAGGGCCTCGCGGCCCCTACCAGCCCCGGGAGGAGCCTGGCCGGCCGGGCCGTTACCACAGTGGCGCCTCGGCCAGCTGGGCGCGAGCGGAGGCGCGCCAAGCCCTGGCGGCGGCGCCACGGCCGGGCAGCACGGGCCCCGCAACTTCGCGCCGCCACCTTAGCGTCTCCGGAGGAACCGGGAGCGGGGAGTGGGGGAAGGGAGGGCGCCGCGCCTTACCCGGAGAGCGGGCGGCTTCTGCCCGCCGGCGTGTGGCTGGGGCGCTGCGCGGCGGCGCGGCTGCGACAGGGAGGGAGAAGCGGTGGTGCGAGCGCTGGCCCGCGGGAGACGAGAGGCGCCGCCGCCACCGCAGACAGCTCCGCAATATGGCCGCTCGGCGCCTCCGCGGGAAAAGGCGGGGCTGCCCGGCGCCCCCCCGCCTCCCCCTGCCGGCCGGCCGTCCTCGCGCCGCGGACTGAGCGCCAACGCCGCCGCTGGGGGCCGCCCCCGCCCCGCCCCTCCCGCAGGCTCGCAGCCGCAGGCCTGGCTCCGGGCGTGGCCGGGGGTCGCGGTCTGGGGCCGGCCAACGCGAGGTGGGTGGCTGCGGGCTCGGGAGCGCCCAGGGAAATAGGGCGAATGCGCCGGAGGGTCGAGCCCTTCCAGAGAGCGCTGGGCTCCAGCTAAACCTGCGGTCGAGGGAAGCGGAGCCGCCCAGCCCAAAGCTCGGAGTGTGCCCGCCGCCTCCCCAACGAGTGGAAACTTGAAACTCCCGCTGGTGCCAGCAAACTCACTGAGGGCGTTGCCGTCGCCCCCAGAGGAGGAATTCTTCCCAGAGGGAGCCGGGGACCAAATGAAGCGTGAGACTTGGCTGTTAGGTTTGAAGATCCTGGACTGGGAAGGAGAAAAGGGCCTACCTGAGCGGAATTTAGATTTGCAACAAAGAACGTTTACATTATTTTGGCAGGTTTTAGCCAACTAGAAAAACTTAATTTTTCAGCGACAATTTTCAAACTTCACCAAAACCTCAATGGATAAGACCCCAAATCAGGAGTGCAAATTTTAATCCAAGCAAGGATGTGTGATAATTTTTTATTACCAACGACATGCTTTGGCAGTTGGAAGGAGTTGGTTAGCAAGAAAAAGTTGGAAGTAGGGCCCCAAAGAGCCGCCAAACCTACATAATTCTAGATTTAGAGAAAGTTAGGCATTCGATCTTAAGACTAAGTCTAGCCCACTCACTTTAGTTAGTGGCTGGGATGAGACAGGAAGCTCCTGACTTCTGGATCAGTCTTCTGTCATCTAATCCATGCTGAGTCCCCTCAGTATTGTCTGCTGGGATGATTCAGGGAGCAAAACTTGCTATGAGTATACAAACAGCAAGCGCACAAAATCAGATTCGCCTGGCTTGCCCTGTTTGCAATACTTTTTTTAGCTTATCTTTTGTGAACAAACTTTAGATTCAAATAACAAAACGCCTGAGTATACTTACTTTTATAGGACAAATAACTCCTATACTTCCTGCCTTAGCATTTACCTTAGGTGAGACAGTAGCTTTTCCAGGAAATATCTGCAAATCACTTTCACTAGCCTGCCTCTTCAGTGAGTTTCCACTATTGCCCTTTGAGACCTCTCCGAACAATTAAAAGCCCCCAAGAGACTCAAGGGTTAAACTCAAGGGCCTTTAGATAGCAAATTCCTCAAGGATGGGAACCAGGTGTGTGACTTGCGACCAAATAGGTTCTTGTGGTTCTTAGGGACCACCAAAAGATCACTCCTTACCTCTCCCTAGGGTGCAAGAATTATCCTGGTTATTGTTCAGCCTACCACATCAGGTTGCAGGCATAGTCAAAGTATTACGTAATACTTCCCATGAAGTAGGTAAGAAAAAAAAGTATTATGTAAATTCCTACATAGTACACTAATCAAATGAAATTATATAACACACTTTTGCAACTGAAAGTGAAGGATTCACTGTTGTTGGTCAGGTGCCAGACACTGGTGTGAAATTCTTTTACATGACTGTCTCTTTTAATGGTTACAAAAACCCTCTGGGATAAATACTATTATTGACCCTTTAAAAAAAATCGATGAATAAGACAGCTTAAAAAGAGGTAAGTAATTTCCCCAATGTAACAAAACTAGGAAGTGGCAGAGCAGTGACCAAACCCAAATATATGTTTGACTCCAAAAGCCTTGATTTTATCCTATCTTCTGCAACAGCAAACAGACCAAAAATTGCAACATTTTAGTTGGGTATCCTATTAGTAAATATTTAAGTGAAAGATAACAGTCAAGGCTGGTGAGATAAAAAGGGTACTCTCAGACATGGTGAGTGGGAGTGTAAACTGAAATAATCTCTTTATAAAGCTATTTGGCACTGTGATTCAACCCCTAAGAACTTTCATGGCAGGGCATGGTGGCTCATGCCTGTAATCCCCGCACTTCCTGGGAGGCTGAGGCGGGCAGAGCATGAGGTCAGGAGACCGAGACTATCCTGGCCAACATGGTGAAACCCCGTCTCTACTGAAAATACAAACCTCAGCTGGGTGTGGTGGCACACGCCTGTAATCCCAGCTACTTGGGAGGCTGAGGCAGGAGAATGACTTGAACCCGGGAGGCAGAGATTGCAGTGAGCCGAGATCATGCCACTGCACTTCAGCCTGGCAACAGAGCGAGACTCCCTCTCAAAAAAAAACAAAGCAAAAAAACAAAAAGAATGTTCATAACTGGCCAGTGCTGAAGCTCACACCAGTAATCCCAACACTTTGGGAGGCTGGGGCGGGAAGGTCGCTTGAGCCCAGGATTTTCAAGACCAGCCTGATCAAAATAGTGAAACCCCATCGCTACAAAAAAAATTATAAAAATTAGCCAGGCATGGTGGCATGTCTGTAGTCCTAGCTATTCAGGAGGCTGAAGAGTCAGAAGAATCCCTTGAGCCCAGGAATTTGAGGCTGCAGTGAGCTGTGATTGTCAAAGGCGTTGACCACAGAGTGACTCCATCTTGAATAGGGGCTGGGTAAAATAAGGCTTAGACCTGCTGGGCTGCATTCCCAGGAGGTTTGGCATTGTAAGTCACAGGATGAGATAGGAGGTCAGCACAAGATACAGGTCATAAAGACCTTGCTGATAAAACAAGTTGCAGTAAAGAAGCCAGCCAAAATCTACCAAAACCAAGATGGCAATGATGGTGATCTCTGGTCATCCTCACTGCTCATTTTATGCTAATTATAATACAGGAGCATGCTAAAAGACACTCTCAACAGCACCATGACAGTTTACAGATGACATGGCAACATCACGAAGTTACCCTATATGGTTTAAAAGGGGGAGGAACACTCAGTTCTGGGAATTGCCCACCCCTTTCCCAGAAAACTCATGAATAACCCAACCCTTGTTTAGCATATGATCAATAAACAACTATAGGTAGTTTTAGTCCAGCAGCCCAAGCTGCTGCTCCGCCTATGGAGTAGCCATTCTTTTATTCCTTTACTTTTTTTGTTTGCTTGTTTTTTGAGATAAGAGTCTCACTCTGTTGCCCAGGTTGGGGTATAGTGGCCTGATCTTGGCTCACTGCAACCTCCGCCTCCTGGGCTCAAGTGATTATCCTGCCTCAGCCTCCCAAGTAGCTGGAATTATAGGGGGCTGAGCCCACGCTCACCTAATTTTTTTTTCTTTTAATAGAGATGGGGTTTCAACCTGTTGGCCAGGGTGCTCTCAAACTCCCGACCTCGGGTCATCCACCCACCTCAGCCTCCCAAAGTGCTAGGATTACAGGCGTGAGCCATGGTGCCTGGCCAATTCCTTTACTTTTCTAATAAACTTGCTGTCACTTTATGGATTCACCTTGAATTCTTTCTTGCACGAGATCCAAGAACCCACTCTTGGGGTCTGGATGGGGACTCCTTTCCAGTAACATTGTGTCCAGAATTGGTGGGTTCTTGGTCTCACTGACTTCAAGAATGAAGCCACGGACCCTCGCGGTAAGTGTTACAGCTTTTAAAGTGGCACGTCTGGAGTTTGCTCCTTCTGATCTTCGGATGTGTTCGGAATTTCTTCCTTCTGGTAGGTTCGTGGTCTCGCTGGCTCAGGAGTGAAACTGCAGACCTTCGTGGTTCAGTGTTACAGCTCTTAAGGCAGCGCGTCTGGAGTTGTTCGTTCCTCCCGGTGGGTTCGTGGTCTTGCTGGCTTCAGGAGTGAAGCTGCAGACCTTCGCAGTGAGTGTTACAGCTCATAAAGGCAATGTGGACCCAAAGAGTGAGCAGCAGCAAGATTTATGGCAAAGAGCGAAAGAACAAAGCTTCCACAGTGTGGAAAGGGACCGGAGCCAATTGCCACTGTTGGCTCAGGCAGCCTGCTTTTATTCTCTTATCTGGCCCCACCCACATCCTGCTGATTGGTCCATTTTACAGAGAGCCCAGTGGTCTGTTTTGATAGGGCGCTAATTGGTGCGTTTACAATCCCTGAACTAGATATAAAAGTTCTCCACGTCCCCACTAGATTAGCTAGATACAAAGTGTCCACACAAAGGTTCTCCAAGTCCCCACCAGAGTAGCTAGATACAGAGTGTTGATTGGTGCATTCACAAACCCTGAGTCTGACATAAAGATTCTCCAAGTCCCCACAAGACTCAGGAGCCCAGCTGGCTTCACCCAGGGGATCCCGCACCAGGGGGCAGGTAGAGCTGCCTGCCAGTCCCGCACCGTGCGCCCGCACTCCTCAGCCCTTGGGTGGTCGATGGGACTGGGTGCCGGTGGAGCAGGGGGCGGCGCTCGTTGGGGAGGCTTGGGCTGCGCAGGAGCCCACGGAGAAGGCGGGGAGGCTCAGGCATGGCGCGCTGCAGGTCCCCAGCCCTGCCCCGCGGGAAGGCAGCTAAGGCCCTGTGAGAAATTGAGCACAGCAGCTGCTGGCCCAGGTGCTAAGACCATCACTGCCGGGCCCGCGGGCTGCGGGCCGGCCTGCGGCTCCAAGTGCGGGGCCCGCCCAGCCCACGCCTACCCCGAACTCCTGCTGGCCCACAAGCACCAGCGCGGTTCCCTCCCGCGCCTCTCCCTCCGGGCCTCTCCCTCCACACCTCCCCGCAAGCTGAGGTAGCCGGCTCCTGCCTTGGCCAGCCCAGAAAGGGGCTCCTACAGTGCAGCGGCGGGCTGAAGGGCTCATCAAGTGGCGCCAAAGTGGGAGCCCAGGCAGAGGAGGTGCCGAGAGCGAGCGAGGGCTGAGGACTGCCAGCACGCTGTCACCTCTCAACATGATGGCACCACTGCACTCCAGCCTGGGCAACAGAGTGAGACCCTGTCTCAAACAAAAGAATGTTCATAACTCTTGGAACCCGTAATCACATATCTGGGATTCTTTCTGAAGGAAATAATCTGAAATACAGCCAAAGCTTTATTCATAAATGCACAATATTATTTATAAAATGCAAAAATTGAAAACACGAAAACACCATGGGTGTGGTGGCTCACACCTATAATCCTAGCACTTAGGGAGGTGGGATGATTGCTCAAACCCAGGAGTTCAGGACCAGCCTGGGCAACATAGTGAGACCCCATCTCTACCAAAAAAAAAAAAAATTGGGCATAGTGGCGTACACCTGTAGTCCCAGCTACTTGAGAGGCTGAAGTGGGAGGATCACTTAATCCCAAGAAATCAAGGCTGCAGTGAGCCATGATCAAGCCACTGCACTCCAGCCTGGGCAATAGAGCAAGACCCGTGTCTCCAAAAAGACCAAAAAGAAAACGAAACAAAACCTTTTTTTTTTTTTTGAGACGGAGTCTCACCGTTGCCTAGGCTGGAGTGCACTGGTGCGATCTCGGCTCACTGCAATCTCCACCTCCCGGGTTCAACCAATTCTCCAGCCTCAGCCTCCCGAGTAGCTGGGATTACAGTCGTGCGCCACCATGCCCGGGCTAATTTTTTTGTGTTTTTAGTAGAGATGGGGTTTCACCGTATTGGCCAGGCTGGTCTCGAACTCCTGACCTTGTGATCCGCCCACCTTGGCCTCCCAAAGTGCTGGGATTACAGGCATGAGCCACCGCACCCAGCCCAAAACCTTCTAAGTTGAGTTTTACCCGATATGGATTGCCAATTATACAAAAGCAGTAAAGCCACTCTTTCCTAAGAATAATTGTGATAAGCTGAGCTGACAGAATTTTATGGTCAGGGGTCAAGTTTACTATTGATTGTAGTACCTACACACATGCAGAAATGTTTTGTTTCTTACATCAGATACATGAACTTTTAAATGAAATGTTAGAGATTTAATTAACAATTTTCCTTCTTATTTTTATCCCAATGCCTCAGATTTCAAGGATTAAAACCATGCACACTTGCTAAAACTACTTTTTTTTAAGAAAAAATAATATTAATCAGTAGTTACAAGAAATTTTCTAGTCTCACATATAATATGCTTAAGAAATGCTCGGCTGGGCACAGTGGCTCTCATGCCTGTAATTCCAGCACTTTGAAAGGCTGAGGTGGGCGGATCACAAGGTCAGAAGTTCGAGACCAGCCTGGACAACATGGCAAAACCCTGTCTCTACAAAAATAAATAAATAAGTAAGTCAGGTGAGGCGGGGGCATGCACCTATAGTCCCAGCTACTTGGGAGGGTGATGTGGGAGGATTGCTTGAGACCAGGAGGTTGAAGCTGCAGGGAGCCATAATGGGGCTACTGCACTCAAGACTGGGTGACAGAGCAAGACCCTGTCTCAGAAAAAAAAAAAAAAAAGACTGGGCACGGTGGCTCACGCCTGTAATCCAGCACTTTGGGAGGCCAAGGCAGGTGGATCACCTGAGGTCAGGAGTTCTAGACCAGCCTGGCCAACGTGGTAAAACCCCATCTCTACTAAAAATATAAAAATTAGCTGGGCGTGGTGGCAGGCGCCTGTAATCCCAGCTACTCGGGGGGCCAAGGCAGGAGAATCGCTTGAACCCGGGAGGCAGAGGTTGCAGTGAGCTGAGATTGCACCATCGCGCTTCAGCCTGGGGGACAAGAGTCAGACTAAGTCTAAAAAAAAAAAAAATTAAAATTAAAATACCCCACTCAAACCAATCCGTTACTAACACTTCTATGCTACAGTCCTAATCTACTTCATCACAATATGTTGTCTAATTCTGAATTCTGGAATTCTGATGATAGTTAACAAAGCATTTGTCTCGCTAGCACATGTGAAAGTACTTCTTGAAAGCGGAAAAAGATCATTTTTACGAGAATGGTTTATACATAACAGGTTTTTTTTTAAATCTAGAACAAACATTGACTTGCAGACCCCTTGCTAGTTTGAATAAAACCTGGTTCCTGCCCTTTGGTTTAGTAATGGGAAAAGCAAACAATGCTGTGCAATAGGAGCTATAATAAAGATAGACACATAGTGTCAAGGGAGACCGAGAGGAGGGCAATTCACTCTGCTTAGAGAAGAGAACATCATGTGGAGGAAGGGACAGTAGAAGTTATCTAAGACAGGGGTCGCCAACCCCTGGACTATGAACCTGTCCATAGCCTCATCTCAGCAGGAGGTGAGAGGTGGGCAAGAGAGTGAGGCTTCATCTGTATTTACAGCCACTCCCCATCGCTTGCATTACTGCCGGAGCTCTTCCTCCTGTCAGATCAGTGTGGCATTAGATTCTCAGAGAAGCGCGAACCCTACTGTGAGCTGTGCATGTGAGGGATCAAGGTTGCATGCTCCTTATGAGAATCTAATGCCTGATGATCTGCCACTGTCTCCCATCACCCCGAGATGGGACCATCTAGTTGCAGGAAAACAAGCTCAGGGCTCCCACTGATTCTACATTATGGTGAGTTGAATAATTATTTAATTATGTGTTACAATGTAATAATAATAGAAATAAAGTGTGCAATATATGTGCTTGAATAATTTTAATCATCCCCAAACCATCTCCTGCTGCACACCCCCCGCCCCCCGCCCGCCAGTCTGTGGAAAAAATTGTCTTCCACGAAACCAGTCCCTGGTGCCAACAACTTTAGGGACTGCTGCTCTAAGAGGAGAAGCAGAGGAAAGACAACCAGCTTTGGAAACTGATTAGGAAGATGGGGTTGATGTTTAGATATGAAGATGTGTATAACCAGAGGCTTCAGAAAGGTAAGTTGAGATCCATTCAGGTACTGCAGAGTTTGTCCTTCACCCTTGAGGAAATAGGAATGCACCCATAAGAGGTATTAAAAAGAGGAATAATGTGATCTGATTTATATTTTAGTAAGGTAACTTGGCAGCCACATGGATTGCCTGGTTCAGTGGCAGTGAGAATAGATGGTGAGATCAAAACTGTCTACCTTAGATAGACTTTTGCTATAAAGGCCCAAGCAAGACAGGATAAGGGTCTGAACTTGGGAGTTTGTGAGGATGAAGAAGAGAAAATAGAATCTGTTCAAAGATTTGGAAATAGACTTTGAGGGGTAAGAGAAAATGAGATATGAAGATGACTTCAAGGTTTCCAGAAGTACCATTAAGATACATGAGGAATATAAAAGAAGTAGAACTAAGAGATCAAGATAATTAGGCAGGTTGGGAACATACTGAATTTGAAACATCTATGGACAATCTAGAAACAAATATGTATTCAGTAACTGGAAATATATGAACTATTAATATTAAAAACTATGGCAAATGATACATGCAATAAATACTTGTGAAATAACATAGCATGCTAAAACAGACCTTTCATTTCCAACTATTTCTTTGGAAAATACAGTTTTGTATAAGCCAAGAATTTTACAACAGTATTAGATATTAAATTAACTGAAAGCATCAAAATATACTAAAATGCTTTTCCATCAAAAATTTTATTCACTTTTTTTTCTCTTTTCTTTTATTTTGAGACAAGGCCTCACTCTGCAACCCAGGCTGGAGTGCAGTGGCACAATCATAGTTCACCTGCAGCCTCAACCTCCTGGGTTCAAGCGATCCTCCTACCTCTGCCTCCAAATGTGCTGGCATCACAGGCATGAGCCATCACATCCAGCACTATTTTTAAAAAGCTATAATTATGCAAAATTACAACTACTTTTTTAAACCTATACATACAGGCTAGGTGTGGTGCTCACATCTGTAATCCCAGCACTTTGGGAGGCTGAGGTGGGAGGATTGCTTGAGCCCAGGGTTACAGTAAGCTATGATTGTGCCACTATACTTCAGCCTGGGCAATAAAGGGATACCTTGTCACTTAAACAAACAAACCTCTACACAGAAAGAAATGCAAGAGAATTTTCAATTATAAACCAAGATATTTCATACTATCTGCATTATCTTGCACATTTAATTAAGTACATATTCACAATGTGTTCACCAATATAATGGCTCTCAGTTAAAAAACAGACAAAGTAAATAAAACTATCTTATCATTTACTTTGTGTGCCTAGTTAAGTCATACAAATTTAATTGCTGATAAAAGCTATAAAATTTCAGTGCAGTAGATAGAAGTTTGATGGCTAATGTACCTAAATGAAGAGTCAGGAAACCACAGGTCTATTCCTGCCTTTATTCTCTCCCTATCTAAGTTCAAATTACATAAGTACATAATTCATCATGTGTTCATAGATGTGAGTCTGTTGGTCTTCCACAAAGACAAGGTAAAGCTATTACCTAATCCTCTCTGCATATGTAATAAAGCCAATTTACTTTGTGATAAATGGCAATAACATTTCAGAGGTAAGTAATAAATGAGTGGAAAGAATCTAAACAAAGGAATCTGTAACCTTGGCTTCATTCCCAATTCCTACAAACAAGTTACTAACTGACCTTGAAAGATCCAGTGGACTGTTCTGTAACTTACTTGCAAACAATGTTAAAATAGGGAGAATGTTATGCCTTTTATGCCTTTCCTGAAAGTTGTTTTAAGACAATATAGATTTTCAGGACTGGAAAAAACAAAGATCTCAAAAGACCACTGAATCCCATCTCTAACATTATTACCAAAAGACCCTCTGTGGTTTTCTGCCACAAACTGAGTGAGAACTCTAGGGGGGAAAATGTTGTTTGTTTATTACAGACTCACGTTTTTTCATCTTTTTTTTTTTTCTTTTTTTGAGATGGAGCTTCGCTCTTGTTGCCCAGGCTGGAGTGCAATGGTGCCATCTCGGCTCACTGCAACCTCCGCCTCCCAGGTTCAAGAGATTCCCCTGCCTCAGCCTCCTGAGTAGCTGGAATTACAGGTGTCCACCACCTTGCCTGGCTAATTTTTTTGTATTTTTAGTAGAGATGGGGTTTCACCATGTTGGCCAGGCTGGTCTCAACCTCCTGACCTCAGGTGATCCACCTGCCTCAGCCTCCCAGAGTGCTGGGATTACAGGCATGAGCCACTGCACCCGGCCGTTTTTTCATCTATTAAATGAGAAAGTTGGACTTGACCATCTGTAAGCTTTCTTCAAGCTGTAAAATTCTTCAGCTCTGACTCTGATTCGCATCAAAAATATTTGATTCTCATACAAAACAATATGTAATTTACAGAATTCATTAAGTATTTTACAACATAGGCAGAAAGCATATGCACAGATAATCACTTATAATAGTATTTTGTAATTATAGATACAAACATCCACTAGTGGCCGGGTGTGGTGGCTCATGCCTGTAATCCCAGCACTTTGGGAGGCCAAGGCAGGTGGACCACTTGAGGTCAGGAGTTCGAGACCAGCCTGGACAACATGGTGAAACCCTGTCTCCACTAAAAATACAAAAATTAGCCAGGTGTGGTGACGCATGTCTATAGTCCCAGCTACTCAGGAGGCTGAGGCAGGAGAATCCCTTAAACTCAGGAGGCAGAGGTTGCAGTGAGCTGAGATCATGCCGCTGCACTCCAGCCTGGGTGACAGAGCAAGACCTTGTCTCAAAAAAAAAAAAAAAAATCCACTAGTTTATGACTCGATAGCTTTGTACATTCGTAGACTGCCCTTATCTCATTACAGAGATAGAGAGAAATCTAAATGTAAATATATAAATCAATAAATATTCATCCAGAATGTTGGCACTTAAGTATTCTAGGCAGCTGTTTTCTAGAAGTTCATAACACTTTAGTTTTATTTAACAGTGTTATTTACTATCAAGAAAAGTTGCCCAGCACTTTCTGAAGTGTCAAGCGTATGAGATTTATTTTTTTTTTTGAGATGGAGTTTCGCTCTTGTTGTACAGGCTGGAGTGCTATGGTGCAATCTCCGCTCACTGCAACCTTCACCTCCTGGGTTCAAGCAATTCTCCTCCCTCAGCCTCCCAAGTAGCTGGGATTACAGGTGCCCGCCACCGTGCCCGGCTAAATTTTTGTATTTTTAGTAAAGATGGGGTTTCACCATGTTGACCAGGCTGGTCTCAAACTCCTGACCTCAGGTGATCCACCTGCCTCGGCCTCCCAAAGTGCTGGGATTACAGGTATGAGGCACTGTACCCAGTCTCTGTGGTGGTTTCAAAATATGTTCACAAATTGTTTGATACTCCTCCTGTCAAATGATAGAGCCTGATTCCCCTCTCCTTGGTGTCGGCTAGATTTAGTGACTTGCTTCTAACAAATAGAATAAAATGGAATTGACAGTATGTGCTATAGCTGAATGTGTGCCCCCAAAATTCAAATATGAAAACTTAATCACCAGTGTGATAGCATTAAGAAGTGGGGGCTTTAGGAGGTGACGAAGTCTCTCAGGAATGGGATTAATGCCCTTATAAAACAGCCTTCACCCTGCATTTCCCCCTTTTCCCTCTTCCACCCGTCTAGCATGTAAGGACACATAGCAACAAGGTGCTATATCTGAAGCAGGGAGAGCCAGCCCTCACCAGACATGAAATCTGCCAGCACCTGGATCTTGGAATCCCCAGCCTCCAGAACTGTGAGAAGTAAATTTCTATTATTTATAAATCACCCAGTCTAAGATATGTGACTTGTGACTTCTGACACCAGATCATCAAAGGCACTGCTGTGTCCTCCTTGTTACCTCTTTCTGAGATCACTTGCTTTGGGGCAAGCCAGATGCTATTGTCGTGAGGACATTCAAGGAGCCTGTGGAGACGTCCATGTGGTAAGAAATGGAAACCTCCTGCCACCAGTAAGGATCTGAGGCCTTCTGCAAACAGCCTGTGAGTGAGCCATTGTGGAAGCGGCTAGATGTGGTCTCAGTCAAGCTTTCAAATGCCTGCAGCCCCTGCCAACATCCTGAATGCTCCCCGTAGGAAACTCTGCTCCTAAATTCCTGACCCACAGAAATTGTGAGATAATGAATGATTGCTGTTTTAAGTCACTAACGTTTGGGGGTATTTTTGAAATGTAGCAATAAATAAACAATACATTTACCTATAAGCAATTCCCACTCAAGATAGGCAACTCGATTTTTGAAAAATGATGGAATTATATAATACAAGCATACAATTTTAGAACTAGACAGAACTTCAAAATAAAGTTTTACTCATATTTTGCAGAAACAGAAAGTAAGACCTCCAGAATCTGTCTTGCTCGAATCTGGTCATCTATCATTGTTCTCTATCATCTCAGCTAGAGATACAGGACTCATCCTTAACACTCACTGCCTCTTTCACGAATCCTATACCCAACTTATTACTTGGTGCTATTATTAATTACTTAATGCTATTAATCCTTTTGCCTCTGCCTACCTCTTTTTTTTTTTAATCCACCAAGCCACACACTGTTATCTTTTCTGGACTCCAGCAATAACCTCCTAGCTGGTCTCATGTCGACTTGTGCCCCTACAAGTAGTTCTCAAGACTGCATACAGAGTTAATGTATTGAAATACAATTGCAGTGATCTTACCTCTTCTCCAGTCTCCCTCACTCTCCAGACCCATTTGTTGACTTCTGATCACTGGTCATTGGTTTGCCCTTGTCCTGAGCTCAAGTCATTCTGGCCTTCTATAATTCCTAGAATATGATGATTCTGCATCCAAGCCACTAGGACTTTGCATGTGCAGTTCCTGCAGCCCCATTCACCTAGTTGACACCTAATTATCCTGCAGATCTAAATCACAGTTCAAGTCTATACTAACTTCCCTGCTACAATCTCCAGGTTAGCTTTTCTTTGTAGCACTAAATCACAGTTACATTGTTAATGGTTGGATTTTCAAAAATTGATATCTGTCTTCTTTAATAGAATACAAGTCTTTAAATGCAAGGACAATGTACTTTTTATTTGTGTGCTTTAGCACTTAGCACAGTGCCCAGGGCATTATAAAATGTCTGATAACTATTTGTTAAGTGGCTGGATGAATGAATAAATGCATGAAATCATCCAAGAAGTTAATGAGGGACTAAAATCTAGGTTTTCTGACTCCACATTTAATGTTACTTACAACCCACCTGCTGTTCTCAATTTGATGTACTCAACTCTGAGTATCAACATAATGCATTTATCAAGTGCAAAGAAAATCACTGATATTCCTCAAATATCGTATTTGGCAATACTAGTGGAATACGATATCTAGATAAGGTTACTGTATTGAAATGACAAGGTTGTACTGTGGACCTGTTTACTTTGTGACTTTGCCACTTATTTCCTAAAATATCACCATTACTTAAAACAATTCAAGAGCAGCCTACTCTTCCAAAATAAATTGCTTTATACAAGTTGAGATTCAATAAGTTAGTAACTGAATGAGCTGAGTGAGGTGGTGTGCACTTGTAGTCCCAGTTACTCAGGAGGCTGAGGTGCAAAGATCACGTGAGCTTATGAGTTTGAGTCCAGCCTGAATATAGCAAGACCTGTCTAAAACAACAACAACAACAACAACAACCACCCAAAAAAACAAAAACAAACAAAAAAACCAGTAACAATATATGAATGCCTTTTAATATAATAAGTTAATATATAAATGTAATGATTACAGTTAAATTTGGAGGGACTGTCTGAGTCACAGTTGGCTGTTACTTGTAAGTATTCAGGAGCTATGGTGAAAAAGGGTGGCAAGCTCTAGGCTTTTTGTAAATCTACTTGGGTCCTTGACCTAGTCCAACTGTTAGTCTCTGGAATGCTTTTCAAGCCACTGGGCTATGCCTCTGTTCCCTGTCTCAAGAAGCTTTCTCTGGCCTGTGTAATGATCTGATTCCAAAAGAGTGAACAAGATGGCACTGAAGCATTGAGATAGTAGCCATCCAATGCTCTGCACCCCTTTGGCAGCTTACTGTCAGTTGTACTGTAGACCTGATGGCTTCCAGGACACACATGCAGGTGTTATAGTAAGTTATTCAGGGGAAACAGAAGAGTGACATTCTCAACTAGTGAAGGGCCTTTTGGTCCAAAGATATGGTATAAGCCAGGCACAGTGGCTCACACCTGTAATCCCAGCACTTTGAGAGGCCAAGGTGTGTGGATCACCTGAGGCCAGGAGTTCAAGACCAGCCTGGCTAATATGGTGAAACCCCATCTCTACTAAAATACAAAGTTAACTGGGCATGGCGCTGGGCGCCTGTAATCCCAGCTACTTGGGAGGCTGGGGCAGGAGAATGGCTTGAACCTGGGAGGCGGAGGTTGCAGTGAGCCGAGATCGTGCCATTGCACTCCAGCCTGGGTGACAAGAGCAAAACTCCATCTCAAAAACAAAACAAAACAACAAAAAAGATATGGTGTAAACTACTTTGGAACTCAAAAGGTGTTTTTCCCCCACTATGGAAATGAATTTGAAGGGTGGTTCAGTTCTGAGGCTGGCCTAGATATAGCTGACCAATATACTCTGCAACAAGGAAGGCCTGTCTGTTCAGATCCTTCTTGGCATTCCTGTGGAGCAACCCTTCTTCCTGGATACAGGACAGTCAAGGCAGGTCAGATAATGTCTTTATGGCCAGCTCTTATACAGAAAGTAATGGGGAGCTTAGAGGAATTTTTCCAGGTTTTATGACTGGCTTTGGTAGAGAGGGGTTCTAGTTTCTCTGACCAGACTCAGGAAAAGGGAATTTAATTTCTATGGCTTATCTCGCTGGAGGAAGAGCATGGGAGACAGGAAGGCAAGGGAAGGTCAGAGAGAGACTTTGCTTCTAAAGCTGCTTCTGAGGCCTTCCAAATTATGTTATTTCAAAGTGTTCAGCATGCCAAAGCACCATATTTTGGGGTATCATTTTCTGAACCCCAATAGCTGACAGAGGCTCAAGTGTGATTTATTTAAATTTCAAGGTAACTCAGACTACTCATCTTCACATTCATGTCTTCATTCTTCACACAAATAATCATCTAAGGTTATTCTGTAACATCCAAATCCAAGTTGTCTCTCCTTTGTTAGAGTTCTTTTATTCTCTAATTTTTTTCTGGATTTCAAGATAACAACCATTTGTTATCTTTGGTTGATAACAGAAGTTTGTTATGTAAACAAATGCTATCAACCATTTGTTCACCTAGCAAACTTTTGTTAAGACCTGCAAAGGAACAAGCACCATAAAAGCACCAGGGTTAAGATACTTGCACATATTATTTCAATATACTCTTCATCATTTTAGTACATTTATATAACATACTGCAATTGCTAACGCATATGCACATGCTTTACTTCTAAATCACATTTTAGATAATTTCTTTCTGTGCAAGTTCTTGTAGACCTAATCCAAAGTATACTTACTCACTCTTTGGCTTCAAATAATATAACTTGTCTGCTTTTTAACCATTTTTCTTTCCGAATATCCCACTGAAAGCTGATCTAACATTGGGCCTATGGACCTTGGCCCTGCCTGAATTCTCTTGAGGGCCAAGGGCCCTCCAGCATCACAGACTGTCTGAGACAAAATAATTCATTTGTGCTAGCCCAGGGGGAAATATGAATCACTTGGGTGAAGGTCAGAATCATCACACACACAAAAAAAGACCCAGATGACTCAGCATTTTGTATTATAGAATGCACAAAAATGAAAATCCACTTGATCTGTGTCTTGTTTTTTTTTCCAGGGCATAATACAACAATTAGAAACCAGAAAATCTACTTAGACTGTAGGCCCTAGAGTGATTCCTTATAGTTTTAATTATTCATAATCTATAAAATTATACCTGATATTTGTAGCTAAGTGTATTAGTTGGTTCTCACATTGCTATGAAGAAATACCCGAGACTGGGTAATTTATAAAGAAAAGAGGTTTAATTGACTCACAGCTCCGCATGGCTGGGGAGGCCTCAGGAAACTTACAATCATGGCAGAAGGGGAAGCACAAACATCTTTCTTCAGATGATGGCAGAAAGGAGAAGAGCCAAGCAAAAGGGGGGAAAGTCCCTTATAAAACCATCAGATCTTGTGAGAACTCACTCATTATCATGAGAACAGCAGTATGGGGGTAACCATCTTCATGATTCAGTTACTTCCCATGGGGTCTCTTCACAACATGTGGGGATTATGGAAACTGCAATTCAAGATGGCATTAGCAAACCAGATTGCTAAGTAATCACCGTTTTTCACCAGGTGACAATTTCTACCAAAAACCTATAATAAAACATTAAGCTAAAAAGAAAAGTGAACTCATCATTTCACAAGCTATGCCTTAAAAGTCTTACAAAATGTTTACTTGCTTGTGTATTAGAGTCAGAGACTATTTATGGCAGAGATTTTGTATATTAGCAAAAGAAAAATAAAATTATTAACATGCTTTTTAGAGTAAGAAATGTATGACTTGCAGTTTAATGCAATGTTAATAAATATGACACTGCTCATCTCATAAAAGTAATGCTCTGGTTTTTACTTTTCCATAAAGCTGAGTCATATATTTTAAATAGGATGTCAAAATAACAATTTCCTTCAAAGAATTTCCTTGTTTCTTTAAATGGAGAGGAAAAATGGTGTTAAAATGTAAGAGCCCCATGACATTCAATGCTTTGAAGAATATGGTAAGACAGGCTATCTTATATACTTTTATATACTTTCAATAGGAGTGTAAATTGGTGCAAAATTCCTAAAAATCAATTTGGCGTTATGTATCAGAAGTCTTAAATATATTTATATTCTTTGGTCATTTATCAGTTTCTAATAATCTGAACTAAAAAATAAGAACATGGCTTAACACAAACATACAAAGATATTCAACACAGCCTTATATATAATAGTGAAAACTTGAGAACGTACTAAGTGTTCCCCCAAAAAAGTTAAATAAATTATATTATACAATGTATAACATAATATAACAACGTATGTAATAAACAATGTAATGTTTCTTATTCAAAAGAAAAATTGCATTAAAAATTATGTCACTATATGTAAAAATGCTTATAATGTAATGTTAAATTAAAATCAAAATACAAGCCGGGTGCAGTGGCTGACACCTGTAATCTCAGCACTTTGGGAGGCCAAGGCGGCTGGACCACTTGAGGTCAGGAATTCGAGAATAGCCTGGCCAACATAGTGAAACCCTCTCTCTATTAAACATACAAAAATTAGCCAGGTGTGGTGGCATGTGCCTTAGTCCCAGCTACTCAAGAGGCTGAGGTGGGCCGGGTGCGGTGGCTCATCCCTGTAATACTAGCACTTTGGGAGACCAAGATGGTCCGGTCACCTGAGGTCGGGAGTTCCAGACCAGCCTGACCAACATGGAGAAGCCCCATTTCTACTAAAAATACAAAATTAGCTGGACGTGGTGGCACATGCCTGTAATCCCAGCTACTTGGGAGGCTGAGGCAGGAGAATCACTTGAACCCTGGAGGTGGAGGTTGCGGTGAGCCAAGATTGCGCCATTGCACTACAGCCTACAGTTGGAGAGCGAAACTCCAACTCAAAAAAAGGAGGCTGAGGTGGGAGAATCGCTTGAACCTGGGAGGCAGAGGTTGCAGTGAGCCAAGATCATACCACTGCACTCCAGCCTGGGTGACAGAGTGACACTCCGTCTCAGAAAATAAATATATAATAAAAAATAAAAATAAAATAAAGATTCAAAATATTACATGCAATATAATCCCAATTTCAACAAATTGCTGTGTTTAAGTGTCCATTAAAAAGTTGCTTTCTTATTAATTTAGAAGAGATATTTTTATTTTCTAGATAAAGTCTTTGTCTGATAAAAGTTTTGTCAAGATTTTCTCCTAGTTGTGGTTTGCTGTTTCATTTTCATAGTAATGTCTTTTAAAAAGCAAATATTTTTAATTTTGATGAAGTGAAATTTGGTTTTCTCTTTTATTTCATGATTTTTTGTGAACTCTTTAACAAACTAAACATCTATAGAATTTTCTTCTAAGACCAGGCAATGGTGCCTCATGCCTGTAATCTCAGCATTTTGGAAAGCCAAGGCAGGCAGATGGCTTGAGCCCAGGAGTTTGAGATCAGCCTGGGCAACATGGAGAAATCTCGTCTCTACAAAAAATACAAAAATTAGCTCAGAGTAGTGGCACTTGCCTGTAGTCCCAACTACTCAGGAGGCTGATGTGGGAGAATCACTTCAGTCCAGGAGGTGGCAGTTGCAGTGAGCCCAGATCTCACCACTGCACTCCAGTCTGCACAACAGAGTGAGACCTTGTATAAAAAAAAATAAATAAACCTTTTTGCTTCTATGTATTTCTTCTAGATCTAATAGTTTTGACTTCTACAGTGAGGTCTGTAATGCATTTCTTTCCTTTTTTTTTTTTTTAGACAGAGTCTCACTCTGTCACCCAGACTGGAGTGCAATGGTGCGATCTCGGCTCACTGCAACCTCTACCTCCCAGGTTCAAGTGGCTCTCCTGTCTCATCCTCCTGAGTAGCTGGGATTACAGCACATGCCACCACGCCTGGCTAATTTTTGTAATTTTAGGAGAGATGGGGTTTCAGCATGTTGGCCAAGCTGGTCTAGAATTTCTGACCTCGTGATCCACCCACCTCTGCCTCCCAAAGTGTTGGGATTACAGCCGTGAGCCACCGTGCCCGGCCAGTAATGAGTTTCACGTTAATATTTTGCATATCATGTGAATCAAGTGTTGAGAATCATGGGGGATGGATAATGACTAATTTTTCTGGCACCATTTATTGAAAAGATTTTTCCCCCTTTGAATTGACCTGGTACATTTGCGGAAAACCAGTTGAGTCTCTTTCTGGACTCTGTCTTCCATTCTGTTACTCGAAATGTCTCATTTATGCCAATTCCCCATACCTTTGATACCGTAGATTTATAATAATTTTGAATATAATAATTTTGAAACCAGGTAGTATATGTCTATCAACTGTTCTTTCAAATGTGTTTTGACTATTCCAGGTACTTTCCATTTTTATATGAATTTTGGAATCAGCTTTTTAATTACTACAGAAAAAAGAATGCTACAATTTCTATTGGAATTTTATTGAATGTAAAGGTCAATTTGGGAAGAACTGATGTTTTAACACTATTGAGTCTGCTAATTCATCAACATGCTGCATGTCTCCGTTACTATGTCTTCTTTAATTTTTCTCAGCAATGTTGTCTTTTTCAAAGTTTATCCTTAAATATTTTCGATTTTTATTTTATTGTAAATGGTATTGCTTTTAAAATTATCAAGTTTGGTTTGTTCATCACCAGTTTGTAGGAATATAATTTATTTTTGTATATTGACCTTGTATTCCACAACATTGCTAAACTCAATTATTAGTCGTAGTAGCTTTTTCAGCAATTCCATAGGATATTCTATAGGTGATCATATTGTCTGCAAATAAAGACAGTTTTACTTTTCCTTTCCAATATGTATGTCTTTTATTTCTTTTTCTCACTTTTCTGTACAACCTAAGATATCCAGTACAATCTCAAATAGAGGTTATAAGAGTGGATATCCTTTGGTCATTCCCAATGCCAAGGGAAAAGCATTAGGTCTTTACCATTAAATGTGAAGTTAGCTGTAGGTTTTTCACAGGTGCCTTAGTTCATTTTGTGCTACTATAACAAAATACCTGAGACTGGGTAATATGTAAAAAACAGAAATGTATTTTCTTTTTCTTTTTTGAGATGAAGTCTTGCTCTGTCACCCAGGCTGGAGTGCAGTGGTGTGATGTCGACTCACTGCAACCTCTACCTCCCAGGTTCAAGCAAGTGTCCTGCCTCAGCCTCCTGAGTAGCTGGGATTACAAGCATGGGCCACCATGCTAGGCTAGTTTTTGTATTTTTAGTAGGGACAGGTTTTGCCATATTGGCCAGGCTGGTCTTGAACTCCTGACTTCAGGTGATCCATCCGCCTCGGCCTCCCAGAGTGCTGGGATTACAGGCATGAGCCACTGTGCCAGACCAGAAATGTATTTTCTTATAGTCCTGGAGGCTGGGAAGTACAAGATCAAGGTTCTGGCACCTGGTGAGGGCTCCTGTCTTCTTCTAAGGTGGCACTGTGAACTTGGCATGCTCTGGTCAGGAGGAATGCTGTGTCCTCACATGACAGAAGATGGAAGGGCAAAAAGGGGTAAACTCAGATAAGCCCTTTTATAAGGACAACCAATCCCATCGATGAGGATGGAGTCCTCGTAACTCAATCACCTCCCAAAAGCCACTCCTTCAAATACTGGTGTGTTGGGATTGAGTTTTAACATGAATTTTGGTTGAGACAAAAACATTCAAACCCTAGTAGTGCCCTTTATCAGATTGAGGGCATTCCCTACTATTCATATTTTGCTGAGACTTTTTGTTAATAGATATTGGATTTTTGAACATTTTAATCATTATTTGAAATTTCAGCAATTACTTTAATATAATTTTTAAATTTGCACCAAATACAGACAAGATCAAGTCATGTTTTAATTTTTCTAGGAAATGTATTAATGGATATATAAAGTCTCCAGTTACTAAAAATTAAGAATGCCCCTATTAATATTTAAAACACAAATGTTTGACTTCTTTAGGACAGTTTACTAATAAAACCTTTAATGATTTGAGTTTTAGGACTATTTTCTCTTCACAACCAACAATTTAGATTTTAGTTATAATATGACAAGGCAGTTAAAATTGGAGATGTGCTAATGAAGCAGCAATTGCTGCCATGTGCTAATGAATACAGATATTTGGTTACAAAGATATATATGTATAAGCCTTGAGTTATACATTGTAGATGATGTTTGAGTATCAGGTTACCTTTGCTCCTCTCTCTTCTTTGAATGAATGGAGACCAGGCTGCCATATGGGAAATGTGTCTTTCCTTATTTAATATAGTGTAGCCTCACAAGCATGTATTTTAGGAGATTTGGACTAAGGTAAAGTCAGCTTTGATAGAGACTAACAAAGTCAAAAGAGAACCACCAAAAATAAAATTCCCCAAACACCCCCAAATCAAAAAGCTGATACCAAAGACCCATTGTTTATCGTAGGTGCATAATGTACCATTTTATGAAAATATACAAAGATATTATTATAACTTCTACACAGATTGTCAGGAAATCCTTTTTTAAAAAAGGAAAAGACCCACACGTAATTTACTATTACTTGGAAAAATCCATTGGTTTGTGTGATAAACACTAAAATAGACTGATTATTCATCTGGCTAGATGCCAAGCCGTTCTTCTGTGAACTCTAAGATAATGGCCCTTCATTGTTCTGTGTGTTATCGTTGCCAATTCCTGTCAGACTGGTCCTCAGCAGTTAGTGGGCTTCTGTCATTTATCAAAAGTCTGAAGCTTAAAAGTCTCTCTCTGCTTGTCTGAAACAACAACTCATTTGTTTATTAAACATGCATTTGATGAAATTTCCAAGGTTCACATGTGATAAAGTAAACTTCCACTATTTGTAAATTGAGGAAATGTGTAAACCCATATTGCCTTAGGAAAAATTATGCAATCAGCTACAGTTATCTTTGGGATGGCCATCTTCTCTAGTTTAACAATGAATCCTTCTAGATAAGAATTTTCTGTAATTTTAAGGGAGTCGTATTTGATAAAATATAAGCTAACTCCAGCAGACTGTGTTAGTAATAGTGTTATAAAATTATACAACCTTAAAGACCTGATTTTATCTAAGAATACATTCTCAAAAAATTCCTGTGCTGGCTTTGTTCCTCTGGAGATAAAGATTTAGGCTTTGTTCCCCTGGAGATTTCGCTGTGTCTTTCAGTCTTCTTCACGCTATTTAACTTCTCTTTTTTTTTTTTTTTTTTTTTTTTTGAGATGGAGTCTCACTCAGCTGCCTAGGCTGGAGTGCATTGGTGTGATCTTGGCTCACTGCAACCACTGTCTCCCGGGTTCAAGCAATTCTCCCATCTCAGCCTCCCGAATAGCTGGGATTACAGGCACCTGCCATCATGACCGGCTAATTTTTGTATTTTAGTAGAGACAGGGTTTCATCATGTTGGCCAGGCTGATCTTAAACTCCTGACCTCAGTTGGTCCGCCCACCTCAGCCTCCCAAAGTGCTAGGATTATAGGCATGAGCCACTGCACCCAGCCCCACTATTTAACTTCCATGCTACAGAAGCTAAAAAATTTGTTTGCCGAAAATCCTTCTTGCATGTTAATTACATAGTCGTTCAGTTCTATCTTTTGTAGCACTGGGAACTATTTTGTCATTTGGACTCTAAACCTTTTAAAGTGCATTTTTTACAACTCTCCAAATGTAGGTTAATGAAACAAAGATAATATCAACTCAGACATTATCTCACAAACTTATGAGTGTGCTCTCTTTTGGTAGGTGCATTGAGTGTCATTTAGACAAGACTGCAAAGGAGACTAGTGAAAATAGGGAGACAAAGACATAAATCATGCATTTACTTCCTAAATTCACTTTGGAAAGCTATGTTGGAAAGTAAGCATCAGAAACAGAAAAGAAAGAAGGGAAAGATAGGAAGGAGGATTGTAAAATACTTAATGGACACAGAAAATAATAAAAGTTTGTTAATTTTACACTTTATTTGTAAAGATTCTGTAGAAGAGATTAAGGAAAGACAATGTATAAATCCTAACTCAAAGGAGGAAAGTGTATTTAAAAAAATAGAAAGTTTTTTTTTGAGGGGGATAGATTTTTTAAAATCCCTCAATCTGGGCCACTTCAGAGTTCTGAAAGCAGCTGGGTGTCCCATAAGGGTATCCGGGCACTTTCTGTCAGCAAGATAGAGTGAGCTAGAGAACAAGGCTGATTGCTTGCACAGGCCTTTCCTGACTTCCTCAAAGCTCTTAGATGTACTAGGGGTTCCCTGCACAATCAGCCCATGAGTTCATTTCTCATCTCTGGTGTTGACCTCTGTTGCTGTACTCAAGGTTGTAGCCATTCTGTTCTGTGGAAAGGGTGAAGGAAGGAGGAAAGGACAAGGCAGGAAGCTAGGTAGGGATCAGGTAGAGGGTTTGATTTTAAGGTCATTTAATGGTCTGAGCAGTTATAGGGGCTGATTTTGAACTTAAGTCACTGCCCCTGGATGGGTACCTTGGTTAGGGCCTGCACTCCTGGTTTCCCCTTATATTAAAGGCAGCGGAGACTACTTATTTCAGGAGCAGTGCTAAGATAAGATGACAGGATTTCCCCTGTGAGAGAAGACAAATGCTTTTCTTTAGGATAACAAACATTCCACAATTCCATAGAGGCAATCCTTTATTTGTTTCTCTTGCCCGGACAATGGGAAATCACATTATGCCCTTTCACCTTATGCCCAAGGCCACTGTGCAAGCACAAACTTCCAGGAAAAGCATAAAGATAAGGTAAGAATCTCTAGGAAGGAAGGTATTAGTGTGCCCTACTGTTCAGAACTCTGCCCCATCCTACTTCCTCACTCTTCTCCCAGCCTCAGATTCTCTGGCTCTCACCTACCTTATCTGCTTCTGGAGCATTTCCATTATTTATCCCGATGTAGGTGTAGGAAATCAGTTTTCCTTTTGGTTCATCTGGGACTTGGTTGGAATTAAAAGAGAAAAACAAACCCCAAAATAAATAAACTCAAGGAAAAGAGAGAAAATATCAGAGCACAGAAATGGATAGGTTTACAAAACTCAGATTTTTTTTTTCTTTTATCCTAATCTCCCTGAGGTCTAGTGATAGCCTGGTTGGATTGGTAGTTTGTAAAGTGCACAGCTTCAATTATTTCTGGCCTCCACACTGTCTGGGCTGACAGGATGGAGGCTAGACTGAGCTCCTTGGATTTCTGGTCCAATGTTACTTTAAACAAATCATCCCTGGTGGAATCTCAGGAAAAATGCTGGGTCTTTTTGGAACTCGGTTCTGTGTCTATTTTCTGGGATTAGCCTTTAGATTATCTGTCATCCCCAGGTCGGGACTCAACTGATTTTCCTTCAAATAGACTCCTGACTCCCTGGGCCCAGCTTTCTTCTTCTTTCTAAGTTAAAAAAAAAGAAAAATTCCCTCTCTGCTCTGCAAGGAATCTGCCCTCAATCCCAAGGCCTTCATATTCAGCACTGGCAGTCCAGTTAGTCTTTGTGGCCTTGATCCCTGGAAATACAGCTCTTGCTTTAATCCTGTGTTTACTAACTTGGTTAATTAGTCTGATGGATACTCCTTTTTTTTTTTTTCCTTTTCTTTTCTTTTTTTGACGTAGGATCTCATTCTATCACCCAGGCTGCAGTGCAATGGTATTATCATGGCTTACTGCAGCCTCCGCCTCCTGAGCTGATCTTCCCACCTCAGCCTCCTGAGTAGCTGGGACTACAGGCTTGCACCACCATTCCCAGATAATCTTTTTGTGGAATTTTTTTTTTTTTTTTTTTTTTTTTGGAGATGGAGTCTCACTTTGTCAGGAGACTCCAGTCTTACTCTGTCAGGCTGGAGTGCAATGGTGCGATCTCTGCTCACTGCAACCTCCGCCCCCTGGGGTTCAAGCGATTCTCCTGCCTCAGCCTCCCGAGTAGCTGGGATTACAGGCGCCTGCCACCACACCTGGCTAACTCTTGTATTTTTAGTAGAGACAGGGTTTCGCCATGTTGGCCAGGCTGGTCTCGAATTCCTGACCCCAGGTGATCTGCCCGCCTCGGCCTCCCAAATTGCTGGGATTACAGGCATGAGCCACTGTGCCCGGCTGATTTTTTCGTGTTTTATACAGACAGGGTATCGCCATGTTGCCCAGGCCAGCCTCAAATTCCTGGCCTCAAGCAATCCTCCTGCCTTGGCCTCCCAAAGTGTTGGGATTACAGGCATGAGTCACCACGCCTGGCCCTAATGGATCCTCTTGAGTATCAGATTCTCTGAGACAACTCATCACTCAGAGATATCCCCCTTCATGGGAGTGGGCTCACTGGAGCTGACCACTTTCATTACACAATTTAAAAACACAAAAACAAACACACATATATACAGCCCTGCTTGCCACCAAGGAAACAGGAGGGATGTTTTTACCACAATTCTTAGATTTCCCCATCCCAAGCTTCTTTTCTACAAAGGTGTAAAACCCCTGACCAAATAATTATGGGGCCCTGGCTATAGTTTTCACATTAAACAGCTGAGCTCCGAGGGGCAGGATTACATAAAGGTCAAGTACATAGGCTCTGGGGGCAGATCATTGGATTTGAATCCTAGCTTTGCTGCTTATTAGCTGATTGACTATTGGCAAATTACTTATTGAGTCCTTGCCTTAGTTTTCCCATCTGGAATATGGAGGGAAATAATAGTGACTACTTTTACGGCCACTGTAGCAATTTAATTAATACGTGTAAAGAACATAAAACAGGGCCTGGTACATTGTAAGTACTCTGTAAATGTCAGCCACCATCATTACCACTGTACAGGTCTCTTGGACAGTTAGATTTTAAAAAGTAATGGTTGGTGTAGTGGTGTTAGCAGTAGGATTGAAACTAAAATTTAGAGATTAGTTACGGGTAACTCCAGTGTTCCCTACAATAATAGTTGAGTTAAAACAGTGAACAAGATGGACTATGAAACAGTTCATTGAAACGTTAAACAACATTGTTTCTGTTGCAGGGTTCAGGAACCATCTAAGGGGTCTGCAGCCTTTTGTATTTGTGCCAGTGTTCACCTTTTCAGGAAAGTATCCACCAAAGTCATTTCTTTTTATGACTAACTCTTCTTGTTTCTTGATTTTCTTGTCCAACTCTCCTAGCTCACTATGTATCTAGATTCTATCTAACATGGATTTTAGGGTGAAAACATTCAACCTTTTGCCATTAAGTCTCATGTTAGCTGTATGTATTTTATAAAATGCCATTCATCAATTTAAGTTCCCTTCTAGTCCTAGTTTGTTGGGAGTTTCTGTCATGAAAAGGTGTTGAATTTACTTGATTGTTTTTTCTATTGAAACAATCCCATAGACTTTTGAAACAAAATTTTTGTAGAGACAAGGTCTTGCTATGTTGCCCAGGCTGGTCTCAAACTCCTGGTCTCAAATGATACTCCCACCTTAGCCTCCCACTCTGCTGGGATTACAGGCATGAGCCACTGTGCCTGACCATCGTTTTAATTTCTGCTGGGTCTACAGTGTGTCTTCTTTTTCATTCCTGACTTAGGTAATTTGTGTCTTCTCTTTTATTCTTGGTCAGTCTAGCTGAAGATTTATCAATTTTGTTGATCTTTTCAAAGAAACTACTCTTCATTTTATTGATTTTTTTCTGTTGTTTACCTGTTTTCTATTTTGTATGTTTCTGCTCTGATCTATATTATTTCCTTCCTTCTATATACTATGGGTTTGCTTTTCTTTTTCTAGCTTCTTAAGTTGAAAACTTACACTGTTGATTTTGGATTTTTCTTCCTTTTTAATAGAAGCATACAAAGCTATAAATTTTCCTCTAAGCCTACCTTAGCTACGTCCCATAAATTTTGACATGTTGTGTATTCATTTTTACTCAGTTTAATATATTTTAAATTTTTCCTTGTGATTTATCCTTTGACAAGATTATTTAGAAGTGTGTTGCTAAATCCCCTAAACTTCTGTTATTGATTTATAATTTGATTTCCTTGTGGTTAGAGAACATAGGGTGTATGATTTCCATCATTTTAAATTTATCAGGACTTGCTGTATATACTAGTATATGATCTCTACTATAAAGAATGTTCCGTGTGTGCTTTAGCTAGCTCTGGTAGAAAGTGAGATTCAGCTGATATCCTCATCTCCCTTCACACACCAAAATAAATATTTGATACATAAAAAATGAAATTTTACAAAGTACAGAAAAAGATAAGAGAGATTTGAAGTAATTAAGATGGACTGAACACATACATTTTCTCTTTTCTTCTTAAATCCTATCTTAGAAACTAACCTAAGCACCTGCAAGGAGAAGGTAAAACAAGAAAATAAAATTATTTTTGCCTGTGAGTTCCAGAAAGATTTAGGCATGTGGTCCCCAGTAACTTTTGAAAATAGGGGCATAAGATTGGGCTGAAAATAGAAGGGTTGGTTGGAAGGAGCAGTTAGTCCAGTCAGACCTCCTCTTCTGTCCTATGACCTGTCCCTCACTTCTGCAGAAAACTGGAGCAAAGTTTACTCTCTGGAGAAGTTGAACCAGAGAGGCTTTGAACTCTGGAAGACTAGACACATTAGGGGATAGCCATCACCACACTGAAAAGTGGGAGTGTCAAATTAAACTCTTTTTTTTTTTTTGAGATTGAGTTTCACTCTTGTTGCCCATGCTGGAGTGCAATGGCACGATCTCGGCTCACCACAACCTCTGCCTCCCAGGTTCAAGCGATTCTCCTGCCTCAGTCTCCTGAGTAGCTAGGATTATAGGCATGTGCCACCACACCTGGCTAATTTTTCATATTTTTAGTAGAGATGGGGTTTCTCCATGCTGGTCAGGCTAGTCTCGAACTCCCAACCTCAGGTGTTCCACCTGCCTCGGCCTCCCACAGTGCTGGGATTATAGGCATGAGACACTGTGCCCGGCCTTAAAGTCTTAATGATAAATAGTGGGATCTCCCAGAGGTCTTACAGGCAGGCTTATATTATAGACCTCCAAAGTTTGGAGGATTTCTTGCTTGTGAAACTGACCGGCCCAAAACAAAGGCCCTTTATATACTGATACATAGAGGAGGTTGCCCAAAGAAACAGCTGCATCTCTGCTCAAGTAATTTGTTGTGAGGCCCCTTCATTCAAAACCCCCTCAGCACATAGGACTTTCCATCAGATATTTCTTTCCTTTAGGAATTATTCTTCAGTAAGTCTTAACAATTTATTGCAAAATATTATTTATTTTAGTGATGACTTAAAGCCTGGGCTCTGGGGCATTGCTCAGCCTTTCTCATCCATTGAAAGGGTTAGTGAAGGAACATCATTTATTAAGACTGGATCTATGGTCAGCCCAATGTTGGCAGATCCACACATCCACATTTGCACAGGCTGATACAAATTTTGTTAACTGAAAAGAGCCAATGCTTCAGAAGAATCTAATAGCTAATCTGACTTTGCATTATAGATCATGCTCTTCTTATCAACTCCAAGGTGCCTCACTTGTAATCTAAGAATTTTCAGGATATAATTTAGTTTTTAAAATAAGTAATCCATTCCTCATGCAGAAATATAATCAACTGGTGCAAAAAAGTATCCTCAAACTTGAGCAGCCTCATCTTCTTCTTGGAAGAAAGAAACAAGTTATCCTGCACTTCTATTATTCAGGGAAAAAACAGACAATAGACAATGAAGGTTGCGGAGATGACAGTGGAGGATGATGGTGGGCCAGCACTGGTGGAGGCTGTGGCTGCTGCTAAGGAGACGGAAGTGGAGAAGATGGCACTCGAGACAATGACTAAGGAGATGACGGCAGATATGATCACAATAGACCCAATGGCTGCTGAGGCAGAGGTAGCAGAGACAACCTGTATGATAGGTGGTCTAACGTGGTGTCTCCTCTGTGGTGAATCTGAAACAGGAAAAGTTCCCTCATTTCCCTCGAAGAGCGAGCTATGGGGTGTGGCTCACTTCTTCCTTGCCCTGCTCCTCAAACTTCTAGGGGGAGCATGCAGACGGGCAGGTTGTGGGGACTGCATCCCACGGCAGCAGCGTCTAGGGTTGAGTATTTACAGCTCCTGAAGCCCCAGTGGGCGTGTGTTACAGTGCGTTCTTCCAGTTTAGCTATCCGCAGGCGGCTTGTGTTACTCAGCTCAATTAGACCCCTGCCTTACTGCAAGGACAGAGGGCTTTCTGTATCCCAGGATTCTTGCCTTAGTGTACCGGAAAAATCGGATGACACGTGGGCTTGGAGGATGGGTGCAAAGTTTTGTATTGAGTGGTGGTAGCTCTCAGTGAGGTGGTTGGGGAGGCCAGAAGGGGGATAGAGTGGGAAGGTACTTTTCCCCTGGAGTCGGCCACCCAGAGTCTGGGCTCTCCTCCCACCACCCTGGCCAAACTCCGCATCGTTCTGCCACTCAATGGCCTGCCGTCGTCTGCCAGTACTTGGTGTGCTCTTCCGCAGGTGTGTTCCTCTTGACGTCCAGCCGCTTGTGTCTCTGCCCACCAGGGTCTCGGGGTTTTTATAGGCATAGGATGGGGATGCGGCCCAAATCCAACATTTGGGCACTGAAAACAGAAATGCCTATCCTCACCTAGGTCCGTGAGCATAGGCCAGGGGGTGGAGCTCTAGCCGAGGACCTGCCCTTCTCCACCCAAAACTTCCCTGACCCCCCTCCCGTTTCAAATCCAATGGCCACAGCAGGTGAGGTGGCTGCAGCCCAAGGACAACAGGCCTTATTATTGTTGGGGAGGCAGCAGCTGCTGGTGCGGAGGAGATGATAAAGTTGATGTGGCCATAATAACTGGAGGGGGGAGGTAAATGAGTTTTCTGCAATAATCGGTGAGATCGTCCTTCATACCCCAAAGGGACCATAGTGGCAAGTAGAAAGAAAAACCACTGCAATCTATAGAATTAGCCATTCATCATGATTCTGAATTGTGGACTGAGCTCTACACACACTTCGAGAGAAAGAGGCTCGTTAATCCAAGGTGTTTATAGGTGAGCAGCCCCTTCCATGGCCCAGGGAAGCTAGAAAATAGAAAGAAACCAGTAACTGGCTGCTAGAAACAAGAACCACAGATCTATATGTCATTGCAACATCAGAGCTCCAGCCTTTGGGTTCCCTTTCTTGGTTATTCAAGAAGGCAGTTCCATCTTGGATTCCCATGGGTGTAACTAGGATTGCTGTCCACTTGGGGGTGGGCATATAGAGATAAGGAGAGAGACTGTTGATCAGGAGTGAGGACTCTGTGACAGCTGATCAGCTCAGCTCATGGAGGCTGGTAACCTCCATGTTCTCTGATGCTTTGATACTGCTTTCTCTGTGTCACTGACCAGCTCCTCATTGAGAACAATAGCAAATAGAAAATGAAATCTCGTATTTGAGAACAATCACACATAATAAATGAAGATAGATACGAAATAAAAGTGTCTATTCAATCACACACAAACAAAGGTATTTTGCCTGGATATTCATGAAACTGAAAAGTAGGTTCTTTTATTTAGAATTTAGAACAGAATGACTTTGCTCTTACTACATAAATAAATGTTTAAACTACACCTAACTGGCCGGGTGCAGTGGCTCACGCCTGTAATCCCAGCACTTTGGGAGGTCAAGGCAGGTGAATCACTTGAGGTCAGGAGTTCGAGACCAGCCTGGCCAACATGGTGAAAACGCATCTCTACTAAAAATACATATAAAAATTAGCTGGGCTTGGTGGCGGGTGCCTGTAATCCCAGTTACTTGTGAGGCTGAGGCAGGAGAATCGCTTGAACCCAGGAGGCAGATGTTGCAGTGAGCTGAGATCATGCCACTGCACTCCAGCCTGAGTGACAGAGTGAGACTTTGTCTCAAAAAAGTACTAATAATAAAAGAAAATAAAAATAATAAAATAAAGTACACGTTAACAGAATCCAAAAAAATGATACTTTACCACACACCCAATAGGATGACTACTATAAAAAAAAAAGTGTTGACAAAGATGTGGAGGAATTGGAACTCTTTTTTTTTGTTTTTTTTTTCCGAGACGGAGTCTCACACTGTCACCCAGGTTAGAGTGCAATGGCGCGATCTCAGCTCACTGCAACCTCCACCTCCTGGGTTCAAGAGATTCTCCTGCCTCAGCCTCCCAAGTAGCTGAAATTACAGGCACACAACATCCAGCTAATTTTTTGTATTTTCAGTAGAGACGAGGTTTCATTATGTTTGCCAGGCTGGTCTCAAACTCCTGACCTTGTGATCCGCTCGCCTCGGCCTCCCAAAGTGAGCCACCACACCCAGCCCACGAATTAGAACTCTTGTGCACTGTTGGTGGGAATGTAAAGTAACAGCTGGTATGAGAAATAGTATGGTGATTTTTCAAAATTAAAAGTAGAATTACTACATAATCCAGCAATTTCATTCCTAGATAAATACTCAAAAGAATTGAAAACAGAGTTTTGAAGAGGTATTTGTACACCAAAATTCATAGCAGCATTATTCATACTAGCCCAAAAGTGGAAGAAACCCATGTCCACCAGTGAATGAATGGATAAACGAAATGTGATATATACATACAATGGAATATTATTCACCTTTAGAAAAGAAAATCCCATTATATGCTACAATATAGATGAAACTTGAGGGCATTATGATAAGTGAAATAAGCCAGAAACAAAATGACCAATATTGTATGATTCCACTTATATGAGATATTCAGAGTAGTCAAATTCATGGAGACAGAAAGGAGAGTGCTGGTTGCCAGGGGCTGGGGAGAGGGGAAATGAGAAGTTATCGTTTAATAGGCATACAGTTTCAGTTTGGCAAGATGAAAAAGTTCTGCAAATTGGTTTCACAGCAATGCGAATATACTTAACACTACGGGATGGTACACTTAAAATGGTTAAGATGAAAATATTTGTATTTTAAATATCTATATATATTTACCATGATTAAAAATAAAAATAAAAATAAAAATAAATGACTCTGGCAGGGCGCGGTGGCTCGCGCCTGTAATCCCAGCACTTCGGGAGGCAAAGGCGGGCGGATCGCGAGGTCAGGAGATAGAGACCATCCTGGCTAACAGGGTGAAACCCCGTCTCTACTAAAAATACAAAAAATTAGCCAGGCGTGGTGGCAGGCGCCTGTACTCCCAGCTACTCAGGAGGCTGAGGCAGGAGAATGGTGTGAACCTGGGAGGCGGAGCTTGCAGTGAGCTGAGATTGCACCACTGCACTCCAGCCTGGGCGACAGAGCGAGACTCCGCCTCAAAAAAAAAAAAAAAAAAAAAAAAGACCCGCATGAACAATTTATCAAACATGAGATAGCGTGTGTGTTTATGAGTGTATTTGTGGTCACACTGATGTTTCATACTGTGGCTATCAAGTTGATTATGTGAGTAATTTCTCACACCTGCACAGGAAGTTGACCCCTCTCCTCACTTCCCCTCCCCTCCCCTTCCCTTCCCTTCCTTGTGTTACAGTCGGGTCTTTGTTCTTAGAGCTCCCGAGATGGTGGCGGCCGGCTCCCAAGGTGGCAGCAAGACTTTTGTTCTCTGACCTGGGGTTCTTGGCCTCCTGGATTCCAAAGAATGGAACCTTGGGGCCATGCGGTGAGTGTTGTGGTTCTATTGGAAACCGTGGGTCACGGAAGAGAACTGTGGAACCCAGTGACTAGTGTTCAGCTGGATTAGGATGAACCTGGGCACTTAGCAGTGCAGGAGCAATAGTGAGCCTCTAGCCCGATCCAGCAATGGGTGCCTCGCTGGATCAGAAGTGCAGTGGACACCCTGCCTGATCCAGAGTGGTGGAAGTCAGTGGCAGGTCTGTGACAGCGGCATTCAGCAGTGGTGGACAGCTCGAGCCAGAACAAACACATACCAGAAGAGTGAGCAGTTGCAAGATTTAATAGAGTGAAAACAGAGCTCCCATACAATGGAAAGGGACCCAAAGGGGGTTGCCACTCCCTGCTCAAATGCCTGGGTTTAAATCCCGATCATTGTCCCTCCCTTTGTGCTCTCAGGCGATAATATGATTTGACTATTTCTTTACCTCCTGCTTTTAGCCTAATTTGTATTTTAGTGAGCCCTCTTTACTACCTGATTGGTTGGGTGTGAGCTGAGTTACAAGCCCTGTGTTTAAAGGTGGGTGCAGTCACCTTCCCCAGCTAGGCTTAGGAATCCTTAGCCTAGGAAATACAGCTAGTCTATTCTCTTTCTTCCTTCCTTCCTTCCTTCCTTCCCTTTCTTTCTTTTTTTTTTTGAGACAACGTCTTGCTCTGTCATACGGGCTGGAGTGCAGTGCTCTGATTGTGGCTAACTGCAGCCTCAATCTCCCAGGCTCAAGCGATCCTCCCACCTAAGCCTCCCTAGTAGCTGGGAAAACAGGCAAATACCACCATTCCCAGCTAATTTTTTTTGTAGAGACAAGGTTTTACCATGTGCCCAGGCTCAGGTCTTGAACTCTTGAGCTCAAGTGATCCACTTGCTTCTGCCTTCCAAAGTGCTGGGATTACAAGTGTGAGCCACAACACCCAGCCCAGGCTTTTCTATACATCCTCTGAAATCTAGGTGAAGGCTGCCAAGTGTTCTTCATTCGCATTCTGTGCATCTATAGGCTTGACATCACCTGGAAGCCACCAAGGCTTACAGCTTACATTCTCTAAAGTAGCAGCCTGAGCTGTACCTGGGCCCCTTTGAGCCAAGGCTGTAATTAGAGTGACTGGGTTGTGGGAAGGAGTGTCCTGAGGCTGCACAAGGCAGTGGGGCCCTGAGCCTGACCCACAAAATCATTCAGTCCTCCTAGGCCTCAGAGCTTATGATGGGAGGGGCTGCTGCAGAGATCTGTGAAATGCCTTTGAGGCATTTTCTCAATTGTCTTAGATATTAGCACCTGGCTCTCTTTTAATTATGCAAACATGTCTAGCAAGTGGTCACTCCACAGCCTGCTTAAATTTCTCTCCTGAAAAAGCTTTTTCTTTCTCTGCCACATGGCCAGGCTGCAAATTTTCTAAACTTTTATGCTCTGATCCCTGTTTAAATATAATTTCCAGCTTTAAGTCATTTATTTGTTCCCACATCTGAATATAGACTGTTAGAAGCAGCCATAACACCTCTTGAACACTTTGCTGCTTAGAAATTTCTTCTGTCGGTTGGAAGTGGTAGTTCATGCCTGTAATCCCAGCACTTTGGAAGGCCAAGGTGGGAGGGTCACCCGAGGTCAGGGGTTCAAGACCAGCCTGACCAACATGAAGAAACCTCATCTCTATTAAAAATACAAAAATTAGCCAAGTGTGATGGCACATGCCCTTAATGCCAGCTACTCAGGAGGCTGAGGCAGGAGAATCACTTGAACCCAGGAGGCAGATGTTGCAGTGAGCCGAGATCACGCCACTGCACTCCAGCCTGGGCAACAAGAGCGAGACTCTGTCTCAAAAAAAAAAAAATGAAATTTCTTGCCAGATACCCTAAATCATCACTATGAAGTTCAGACTTCCACAGATTCCCAGGGCATGAAAAGAGTACAGCCAAGCTCTTTGCTAAGGCATAATATGCCTGATCTTTGCTCTAGTTTCCAGTAAGTTCTTCGTTCGCTCTGAGACCTCCTCAGCCTGGACTTTATTGTCCATGTCACTATCAGCATTTTGGTCACAACCATTTAACCAGTCTCAAAGTTCTAAACTTTCCCTCATCTTCCTGTCTTCTTCTGAGCCCTCTGAACTCTCCTAATCTCTGCTTGTTACGCAGCTCCGAAGTTTCTTCCACATTTTTGGGTATCTTTATAGCAATACTCCACTCCTGGTACCAATTTTCTGTGTTAGGCCATCCTTGTACTCCTATAAAGAAATAACTGAGACTGAGTAATTTATAAGCAAAGAGATTTATTTGGCTCATGGTTCTGCAGGCTTTACCAGAAATAGAGCAGCATCTGCTTCTGGGGAGGCCTCAGGAAGCTTATAATCATGGCAGAAGGCAAAGGGGGAGCAGGAACATCACATGTTGAAAGCAGGAGCAAGACAGAGAGAGAGTTGTGGGGGAGGTGCAGAGGTGCCACACATTTCTAAATGACCAGATCTCATGAAAACGCATTATCACAAAGATAGGACTAAACCATGAGGAACCCACCCCTATGATCCAAATACCTTCCACGAGGCCTCACCTCCAGCTTTTTCATTACAATTCAAAATGAGATTTGGGCAGAGACAAATATCCAAACGATATCACCCTCTTAGTAGTTAAATACCTTATATTAACAATTTATTCTTTTAAATTTCCCTCGTTCAGATTACTGGTGTGATTACTGTCTCCTGACTGGACCCTGACTGCTATAGAATTGGTACCTGAAAGTGTCACAGAAGACGGATTCTAAAAGATGGGTTTTGGGATTGGGTGAAATGTTGAGGTTTTTGCTGATGGGAATTAGATGCTAGTAACCCATGCATGCAGCAACATTACAATTAAGCTATCACCTCTGATTAATTGCAATTAAATGCTAATTAGGTAACTGTTGTGGGAGCTTATACAGCTGCTGCACTTGACCATTATAGATTCTTCCAAGTGTGTTGGAGTGCTTAGAGAAAGAAAAAATGACAAGCTCAAGTCCTTTAACTCTTAGATAAAATGATGGTCTTAGAATCATACAACTAATATGGCAGCAGTAAAGTATCTCATTTCTTGTAGTGATAGGGCTAATGCTGAAAATCAAACATAAAACTTTTTTGCAGAATTACAGCATTAGTTGAATTCACAGCTCTACCAAGTATCTCATGTGAGAGTTAGGGCATTCATTGGGAAATAATGGCTCCTTGAAACTTGAGATGAGAACATCTGATTGGATTCAGATTAGCCTGAGAATCTCTGACTCCTGAGACACTCTAAGCCTCCCTTACCAGTAGAAGTACGTTTCCTTCTTGTGTTGAGATGTCTAGCTTTCCTGTGATAATCTCAGGGGAGCATGCATTGAAAAAGGATGTCCTTTGTTCCCAAGCACAAGGACCCTCTGTTTCCATCAGTCCCATAACTACAGCTGTGTGTCAATATGCTTATAGTGCCAGAAAAACTGGATGGTAGTAGGTTATACACCTAAAGAAATTACAAGGTTTTGTGAATATGTGTCAGCAGAAACTGAAGAATATGTATGAAAATAGATTCTAAAGGTATTAGATCAGCAGTCCCCAACCTTTATGGTACCAGGGACTGGTTTCGTGGAAGATAATTTTTCCATGGACAAATGGAGGGGTGGGGATGGTGGTTGGTTTTGGGATGAAACTATTCCACCTCAGATCATCAGGCATTAGATTCTCATAAGGATCATGCAACCTAGATCGCTTGCATGTATAGTTCACAATAGGGTTCACACTTCTGTAAAAATCTAATGCTGCTGCTGATCTGACAGGAGGTGGAGCTCAGGCAGTAATGCTTTCCTGCCTGTTGCTCACCTCCTGCTGTGCTGCCCAGTTCCCAACAGGCCACAGACCAGTACCAGTCCATGGCCTGGGGGGTTGGGAACCCTTGGATTAGACCAAAGAGGACAGAATATCAAAATGGGTTAAATGATATGATATGGTTGCACTTACTAGAGATTTCAGATTTAATGTATTAGCTCATGCAGCTGTAGGTGTCTCTAATAGCATGCTTGATGGATTTACTAAAACGTGGACTGACTGGACTGACTGGTGGTCTGTGTCAATGAGGTTGATGTCAGAGCTTCCTTAGCATGATGTAGAAAAGGGAACCCAGAGGCTTAGGAAGATAGGAAGTTTGGAAATGGGTTTATTTATTTATTTAATTTTTAAAAATTAAAAAAAAATTTTTTTTGAGACAGAGTTTTGCTCTTGTCGCCCAGGCAAGAGTGCAATGGTGTGATCTCGGCTCACTGCAACCTCTATCTCCAGTGTTCAAGTGATTCTCCTGCCTCAGCCTCCCAAGTAGCTGGGATTACAGGCACACACCACCATGCCTGGCTAATTTTTTTTGTATTTTAAGTAGAAATGGGGTTTTGCCACGTTGGCCAGGCTGGTCTTGAACTCTTGACCTCAGGTGATCTGCCCACTTCAGCCTCCCAAGTTGCTGGGATTACAGGTGTGAACCACCGTGTCCTGCAGAAATGGGTTTATTATATGCAACTGCATGCCTACCCTTCAATCACAGCCCTTTTAAGTCTTGACACACTTCCAGGGTTACCTGTACCCTAGTTTGAAGGCCACTGCTTGAGTTTGACAGCAACTCAAGAGGGATGATACAAGATCAAGAGGGATGATGCAAGATCTAGAGAGGTTTTCTTGTTTTTGCTTTAAACCAATAGACTTAAATATGTTAAAGATCTGGGTAGAAGAAGTCAATAGACAGGGAAAATGAAAATCTAGTCATGAGAATACACACACACACACACACATACACACACACACACACCCCACAGCAACTATCTAAAAATATGGTCCTGAGGATCCTGTGTGAATGTGGCAGGGTTATATCTCCAGGAATTCACTTGTTGGTTTATTTTCTTACCCCCTTCCCTTCCATTCTCTCACTAGGGAGGACACTTTATTTCTCCTCCCCAGAGCACTATGATGGCCATGAGTTACTTTGTGAGCAGAAACAAAAGCTCAAAGAAGAAAACTGCGGAAGCTTTAACTTCCAGGACCTATATAAGACTCTGGCTGGGCAAGAGTGGAGGAAGATATGTAGAAAATTAGGTTTGAAAAGATGAAGAAAGAAGGATGTTTTCAGTCCACGAAAGCAGACTAAAAACAGCTTCTTGCCCCTAACCACCCAGTGCTCCAATATCCCACCCAGTTCTCACCTCTGCCTGCTCTCTGTCTATGATTAACCTACCTTGTAGCATTCTCATGCTCTAGTAAGTCTCCTCCTTTAGACACCCTGTGGTAGGGGTGATGTATCCCCCTCCAAGTTGGGATGGAAAGACCCAGCTGGAAATTTCCCTATGTACTGGGCCAAAGTGGACATAGAACCTTGATGCTTGTGTAGGCCATACCATTTTTTTTCGATAATTGACACTGCTAGTCTTCTTTTTTTTTTTTTTTTTTTTTTGGGAGACAGTCTCACTATGTTGCCCAGGGTGGAGTGCAGTGGTGCCGTCTTGGCTCACTGCAACCTCTGCCTCCTGGGTTCAAGCGATTCTCCTGCCTCAGCCTTCTGAGTAGCTGGGATTACAGGCATGTACCACCATACCCAGCTAATTTCTGTATTTTTAGTAGAGGCAGGGTTTCACCATGTTGGTCAGGCTGGTCTCGAACTCCTGACCTTGTGATCCACCCACCTTGGCCTCCCAAAGTGCTGGGATTACAGGCGTGAGCCATCGCGCCCGGCTGACACTGCTAGTCTTTATGCACAGCAACAAATTATTTACCTCTTGAGTGCCTATCTATAGGGTTTTTTTTTTTTAATTATACTTTTAAGTTCTGGGGTACATGTGCATAACTTGAAGATTTGTTACATAGGTATACACATGCCATGGTGGTTTGCTGCACCCATCAACCCGTCATCTACATTAGGTATTTCTCCTAATGCTACCCCTCCCCTAACCCTCGACCCCCAACAGGCCATGGTGTGTGATGTTTCTCTCCCTGTGTCCATGTGTTCTCACTGTTCAACTCCCACTTATGAGTGAGAATATGCGGTGTTTTTGGTTTTCTGTTCTTGTGTTAGTTTGCTGAGCAGTGACTATCTATAGGTTTTGAGTTGTTTTTAGAAATAGTAATTGGGTAGACTGATGATTGGACTCAGGAGGTAAAATTTAAAACATGGACCTTATGAGAATTATATGTATGACTTTGGCCTCATTTATACACACACCCCACAAAATGGAAACAACACAAATCAAGAAACCCACTTACTTCTGGGCAGCTTATAGGGGCATTGATTTAGGACATGAGTTTTAAATATATTTTATATAAATACCTTTTTTGATACATATTACCTTTATAGTAAGACTGATGGGTTATAGAGAGACCTGCAAAAGCAACAGGGAAACAAACAAATGTATAAATGTAAAAGAATATGAGTTACATATTTTCAAACACTGTGCCATTACAAATAAGGTCTGTAAGGAGCTGTATACTTGCTACCTCAAATATATTCCAAAGAAATGATCCTGCCTTTGAGGAACACAGAGGCTGATCATGAGAGACCATTGGCGCTCCCTTCGAGGCATCATTGCCTTTTTGTCATATTGTGCTTCTTGGTGGCGGTTCGAAGAATAAATGCTGGCCAGGCATGGTGGCTCACACCTGTGATCCTAGCACTTTGGGCAGCCGAGGCGGGAGGATCACTTGAGCCTGAGAGTTCAAGACCAGTCTAAGCAAAACAGTGAAACTCTATCTCTACAAAAAATATTAAAAAAAAAAAATCAGCTGGGTGTGGTGCCATGCACCTGTAGTCAGCTACTTGGGAGGCTGAAATGGTAGGATTGCTTGAGCCCCAGGAGGTTAAGACTGCAGTGAGCCAAGGTAGGTCACACCATTGCACTCTAGCCTGGGCAACAAAGCAGACGCTGTCTCTAAAAAGAAAAAAGGGCTTGGCGTGGTGGCTCATGTCTATGATCTCAGCACTTTGAGAAGCCAAGGTGGGAGGATTCCTTGAGCCCAGAAGTTTGAGGTCAGCCTGGGCAACAGAGTGACACCCTGTCTCTACAAAAAATTAAAAATTAGCCATGCATGGTGGCGCATTCCTGGAGTCCCAGCTGCTTGGGAGGCTGAAGTAGGAAGATACTTGAGCCCAGGAGGTTGACACTGCATGATCACCCTACTGCACTCCGGCTGAGCAGCAGAGTAAGATCCTGTCTCAAAGGAAGCAAAATTAATAAAAAGAAAAAAGAAAATAAAAACAAATGCCATAAATTTGGAAAGAGTGTTGAAATATCTAAGTTGCTAAAGGTCTAAAAGTAGATTCTCAGACTTTCAGGACTCTTAAAATGCTCCTGATCTGTTTAACTAAATTTTAGTTAGTTTAATACTTAGGCCCTTTCTAAGGAATTTGGTACCAACATATAACTAGGCTATATGAAGGTCTAATTGAAGGTCTATGTGAAGATTGAAGGTCTAATCAATACAGACCACCAAATCCATGTTTTGAATCATTTTTATAGTTAGTGGCAGTACAAAAGGGTTGTAAAATTTGAACTTTATATAAATACTTGAATATAAATATTGTGAACATATATACAGGTGTAAAAATATAAAAACATTTTCCTAAAGAGGAAAAATGGTCAACTGTGCATTAAGCCATTTTAATATGTGTTTACATTGAAAAAGAGACATTTTGATATCAGTTTGTATCTTCTATGAAGCCTGTTCTAGAGTCTTTTGGATGATGTACTGGTTTTTGGATGATGTAATCGTTTTTCTTGTATAGCCTTAGGAAAATTTTTCATTAACTCTAGAAAGAAACAGACTGTTCCATACTTGGATCTATGTTAAAAAAATGAAGAGCTGTGGCATAAATGAAGGTAAATATAATTTCCTCATTTTTAACCGCCCTGAAAGATAACTGATTTCCTTTTTTTTATTTTTCAGACGGAGTCTCACTCAGTCATCCAGGCTGGAGTGCAGTGGCACAATCTCAGCTCGCTACAACCTCTGCCTCCCGGGTTCGAAGTGATTCTCCTGCCTCAGCCTCCTGAGTGGTTGGGATTACAGGCATGGCCTACCATGCTCTGCTTTTTTTTTGAGACAGAGTTTTGCTCTTGTTGCCCAAGGAGTGCAATGGCATGATCTCGGCTCACTGCAACCTCCGCCTCTCAGGTTCAAGCAATTCTCCTGCCTCAGGCTCCCGAGTAGCTGGAATTACAGGCACGTACCACCACGCCCGGCTAATTTTGTATTTTTAGTAGAGATGGGGTTTCTCCATGTTGGTCAGGCTGTTCTTGAACTCCTGAACTCAGGGGATTGGCCTGCCTCAGCCTCCCAACATGCTGGGATTACAGGTGTGAGCTACTGCGCCTGGCCTATTTTTTTTTTTTTTTGTCTTTAGTAGAGACGGGGTTTCACCATGTTGGCCAGGCTGGTCTCGAACTCCTGACCTCGTGATCCTCCCGCCTTGGCCTCCCAAAGTGCTGGGATCACAGGCATGAGCCACGGTGCCCGGCCTAAAGATAACTGATTTTCTTAAACAAAGTCAATCGTATAAATGCATTTGTTTTTATAGCATATATGAAAGTGTTCATGGAAAGGGATACCGATCCAGACCCCATTCTTTCTTGCATGGACCTCATGCAAGAAAGAATTCAGGGCCAGGCGCGGTGGCTCATGCCTGTAATCCCAGCACTTTGGGAGGCCGAAGCGGGCGGATCACAAGGTCAGGAGATGGAGACCATCCTGGCTAACAGGGTGAAACCCCGTCTCTACTGAAAATACAGAAAATTAGCCGGGCGTGGTGGCACGAGCCTGTAGTCCCAGCTACCTGGGGGGGCTGAGGCAGGAGAATGGCGTGAACCTGGCAGGCGGAGCTTTCAGTGAGCCGAGATCCCGCCACTGCACTCCAGCCTGGGCGACAGAGCCAGACTCCGTCTCAAAAAAAAAAAAAAAAAAAAAAAAAGAAAAAAGAAAAGAGAAAGAATTCAAGGTGACCCCATAGAGTAAAGTGAAAGCAAGTTTATTAAGAAAGTAAAGAAACAAAAGAATGGCTCTTCCATAGGCAGAGCAGCAGCATAGGCTGCTCAACTAATTACACTTAACAGTTGTTTCTTTATTATATGCTAAACAAGGAGTGAGTTATTCATGAGTTTTCCAGGAAAGAGGTGGGCAATCCCCGGAGCTGAGGGTTTCTCCCCTTTTTACACCACACAGGGTAACTTCCTGACGTTGCCATGGCATTTGTAAACTGTCATGGTGCTGCTGGGAGTGTCTCTTAGCATGCTAATGCCTTATAATTAGAGTATAATGAACAGTCAGAATGACCAGAGGTCACTTTCGGCACCATCTTGGTTTTAGTGGGATTTGGCCAGCTTCTTTATCACATGCTGTTTTATCAGCAAGGTCTTTGTGACCTATATCTTGTGCTGACCTCCTGTCTTATCCTGTGACGAAGAATGACTAACCTCTTGGGAATGCAGCCTAGTAGGTTTCAGCCTTATTTTACCCAGCCCCTGTTCACTATGGAGTCACTGTGATTCCAATGCCTCTGACAGAAGTAAAATATATGATAACATAACACAGAGGCTGAAAGGCCTATACTGTTACAAGGTTCTCATGCAACACATGAAGTGGTATAATATTATTTGAAGATAGACTGTGATGGATTAAAGATGTATATTTTAAACCCTAGGTTAAGCACTAAAAATGTATGTGAATGAAGTACAAATAGTGAGCCAATAATAAAGATGAAATGGACTCATTAAAAATACCCAAATAATCCAAAACAATATAGAAATAGAGGAAAGAGGAATCACAGAACCAAAAAGAAAAAAAAAACTACAAAAAATTAAGGCTGAGCACAGTGGCTCATGCCTGTAATCCCAACAATTTGGGAGGCTGAGGTGGGAGGATCACTGATGCCAGGGTTTGAGACCAACTTCAGCAACATAGGAAAATCCCATCTCTACCAAAAACAAAAACAAGTAAAAGAATCAAAGAACAGATGGAATAAATGGAAAATGACTACGAGATGGAAGATTTTAATTCAACCATATCAATAATTACAAAATAGTCTAAATGTACCAATTAAAAGACAGAAATTATCATTTGGGTAAAACTCAAGATTGAATTTTTTAAAAAAGCTCAAGAATATACTGTCTACAAGAAACCCATTTCAAATGTCAAGATATAACTAGGTTAAAAAAAACTAGCCTAATCCCCTGTTTATTAGCATCAACAAAACGTCTAATATTAGGCATTGCTGCCATCTCTTCTCCACCCACAATTAGACTGCACAAAAATATAAGAGCCTCCAAAGTAAACAGGAGACCTAGTCCTTGATCTCCATAGTAGCCAGAGTTTCACTTGCTCCTTCCATTACTATACGATGCCATTTTCACTTCCTCCTCATTTGTCTTTGAGCTTTGTTGCATTGGGTAGGAAGAGAAACGTTCTTTTTTTTTTTTTTTTGAGATGGAGTTTCCCTCTTGTTGCCCAGGCTGGAGTGCAATGGCACAATCTCGGCTCACTGCAGCCTCCACCTCCAGGGGTTCAAAGCAATTCTCCTGCCTCAGCCTCCCGAGTAGCTGGGATTACAGTCGCCCGCCACCATGCCCGGCTAAGTTTGTATTTTTAGTAGAGACGGGGTTTCTACATGTTGGTCAGGCTGGTCTTGAACTCCCAACCTCAGGTGATCCACCCACCTCGGCCTCCCAAAATGTTGGGATTACAGGCGTGAGCCACTGTGCCTGGCCTGAGAAACGTTCTTTACAATGGTCTCTTCTACTGACCACAGGCTCAGCTACAGGGAACCCTACCTTTATTACCAGGGCTACAGCGCTTGGTGACATAGATAACACCCATCTGAGGTCCTACCTTTTCACAGCTCCACTATTTGTAGAATATAATAGTTCTCCATCCTTCCCAGTCTCAAAACTCTTAGATAATTCAGCTCTATCCTGCTCTTAGCCTCAATGGAAAAACAAAAGTGTCTTAACTTTTCAGTGGTGATCAAGAAGCCCCAGCCTTCAGCTTAAAAAGCTCTGGCTTTTCCCTTTAAAGGGGACTGCTCTGTGGTGGTAAGGAAGTGCCTGTGCATCAGTTAGACTTGCATTCACAGGCAAATAACAGAAAAACCACCTGTAGTCCCTTGACCACATAGAGGTTTAATTTTCTTCACTGAAGTCTGTCTGTATCAGATAGCTGCTGACCTTGGTTCTACAATTTGGTGATGTCAGAGTCCATGTATCTGTGCTTGTCCTGACTTTTCTCTCATGGGTACAAGATGACACTGTAGATTCAGCCATCAATTCTGCATTCAAGAGAAAAGGAAGTGGGTGAAGGAGAACACAGACCTTATGTGTTCTTTCTTCAGCGAAGCAGAAGTTTTTCCGAACCTGATCTTCCTTGATCATGTTAAATGAAAAACCTCAGTTGCATTAAATTTAAAAGAGCTTAATTGGACAATGAACGATTTGCATATTGGGCAGCCTCCTGAGCCAGAGTAAGCTCAGATACTCCAGTGCAGCCATGTGGTGGAAGAAGATTTTTGGATAGAAAAAGGCAAGTGATATACAAAAAATGGAAGTGAGGTATAAAAATAGCTGGATTGGTTACAGTTTGGCATTTGCCTTATTAGAACACAGTTTGAATGCTCAGCAGTGTATGAGTGGTTGAAGAATGGCTGCTGGGATTGTCTGAGACTCAGCTCTTATTACAGACACATACTCCTAAATTAGGTTTTCAATCTTATCTACCTACTAAGTTAGGTTACTGTCCATTCACAAGGGCTCAAATATGGAAGCACAGAGTCATTCTCAGGCCATATTTAGTTTGCTTTAACAATCATCAGGCCTCATGATGTCCCATGGGCCAGAACTGGGTCCCAGGGCCATCTCTAGATGCAAGGAAAAACAGAAAAGCAAGTATTCTGCTTTTCAGGCTGTATAGTGGGAGGCATAAATGGATAAGAGGTTTGGGAATGGCTTTGAGTAGCTGTTCAACATTATGTTTCATAATCCCTTGTTCCTTCCTGATGAGTAGAAAACAAGGCAGAGTTAATTTCTCAAACACAATATGCTGGTACTTGGGTCAGAGCAGCGCATTACATACATATGACGTCCAGGCACTGCAAATAAGAACCACTGTACTCCAGCAGGTCACAAAAAAGAGAACAGAATGAGTTGTGCATCAGAAATGGGGAAAGTAGTCAGAGGACAAGAAGTATTAGAAGGAATGGGAGTGAAAAGGGGAAGAATCACAGAGACTTTGACCTAAAGAAGCATAAACAAAGTAACAGCCTGAGGGCTTGGGACCCCAAGGCCCAATTCAGGAGCACAAAGGGAAGAAACTTCAGAGGCTGTGCTGTAGCCCTGGGCACCATATTTGTCAGCACCACCAAGAGCATCCTCTGCAGGCTGCTCATACCTAGCTGGGCAGGATTTGAGGAATTATGAGGGCCAAGTTGGTGAATACTGCTTTCTGTGTTTTTGGTGTTACCTTATGCCTGGACTGGAGTGGAAACACACAAGTTACACAATTAAATCTGATATATCAATAAAGTTGCATTTGACATATATGTAGTTTCTTTATGATTTTGAAGAAAAACATACTTTACATAAATAAGAACTATCTAGTCATTGAAAGGTCACTGGAAATAAAAACACAGAGGACAGGGAAATTAAAATAAACTCTCCACTAAATCACTAAATTTCATATTACAATTCCATAAATTCCAATTCTTTTTTTTTTTTTTTTTTTTTTTTGGAGACAGAGTCTCCCTCTGTTGCCCAGACTGGAGTGCAGTGATACGATGATCTTGGCTCACTGCCACCTCCACCTCCTGAGTTCAAGTGATTCTCCTGCCTCAGCCTCCTGAGTAGTTGGGACTACAGGCGGTGCCACCACGCCTGGCTAATTTTTGTATTTTTAGTAGAGATGGGGTTTCACCATGTTGGCCGGGCTGATCTCGAACTCCTGACCTCAGGTGATCCACCCGCCTGGGCCTCCTGAAGTGCTGGGATTACAGGTGTGAGCCACTGTGCTTGGCCCAATTCTTTTTATGCTATCAATTAATTAAATGTGCTTCCATCACATAGGCTCAAATCATTAGGAATTATACTTGTGTGTGAGTACACAGGAATACATTCTCACATCCACACAACAAAATCTTTTTCTTTCCCCCTTTACTCTTACCAAATTATTTATGCATTCAATAAATGTTTATAGAGCACCTACCGTTTCCTCTTATACCTTTCCTACTTCCTATACTGTAGACCTTATGGGAGTCATGATCAGAATTATAGGTGTTGGTTAGGGTTGAGGAGGTATGAGAGAACACATATCCACTCTGGATAAATATGCAGACACTTCTCTGTCTCTCTTTTTTTTCCCTCCAATCTCAGCTCTTGGAAGCAGAGATCAGTAATAAATTAGGAAGATCAATTACATGTCTAGCTCTATCACTATCATGCTGGGTATATCACAAGACTTCTCTATCTCATTGCCTTTTAACTAAGACAAAACTGGTATTAGTCTTTTCTGTTTCCTTCTTTTTTCTTTTTCTTTTTTTTTTGAGATGGAGTCTTGCTCTGTTGCCCAGGCTGGAGTGCAGTGGTGCAATCTCGGCTCACTGCAAGCTCCGCTTCCTGGGTTCACACCATTCTTAGCCTCCCGAGTAGCTGGGACTACAGGTGCCCACCACCACGCCTGGCTAATTTTTTGTATTTTTAGTAGAGATGGGGTATCACTGTGTTAGCCAGGATGGTCTCGATCTCCTGACCTCGTGATGCACCCGCCTCGGCCTCCCAAAGTGCTGGGATTACAGGTGTGAGCCACCGCACCTGGCTCCTTTTCTTTTCATCTTTCTTGTCCAACTACCTAACAGATCTATTCCGCAGATAAATGAGATTTTGCTGGTGAAATTTCTCTGGGAAAAAGCAAAATCAAACTATGCACAAAAAAACATTTTTCTTCAATAAAACTTTCTTTTTTTGTTAAAAAAATTTTTTTTGTGGGCACCGGGTGCAGTGGCTCACTCCTGTAATTCTGGCACTTTGGGAGGCTGAGGCAAATGAATCATTTGAGCCCAGGTGTTCAAGACCAGTCTGGGCAACATAGACCATCTCTATAAAAAATAATAATAATAAATAAATGAATAAAAATAATTAATTTTGTTTTTGTAGTGTCTCCCTATGTTGCCCAGGCTGGTCTCAAACTCCTGGGTTCAAGCAATCCTCCAACATCATCCTCCCAAAGTGCTGGAATTACAGGTGTGAGCTTCTGCACCTGGCCTCGATAAAGCTTTTATGCCTACCTCTAATAGGTCCACTCAGAATGAGGGGTGTGCAACTGTCTTGAGAGTGTTACAGAACTCTGCTATCTACATTTGTGTAGCTGGAGTTTTCATTTCCAAAAAGTTTACCAGAAGGCATAACTTTCTTCACTCCCTTTAATGATACCAATCTAGGTTTGTTCCGTGTCTGATATGTTATTGCAGTTTTCCCTTATACCCTCATTACATTCATTTACGCAACTTGCAGTTGATGAGTACCTACTTACAATTGCCAGGCACTCCTCCTTGTTCTAGGCATGGGGGTACAAGAGTGAATGAGACAAAAGTTCCTGTCCTCTTGAATCTTACATCCTAATAAGAGAGACATATAGTAAAAACACACACACACGCGCGTGCGCACAATGTCAGAGGGCAATAAGAAAATAAAGCATGCCAAGAGGACAGAGAGAAAGAGGTAGAGGGAGTGCTGTTTTAGACTGCGTAATAAGAGCAGGCCTCCCTGAAAAGTTAATATTTGAATGGAGATGTGTGTAAACTGAAGAAGAGAGCCATGATGATATTGAGGTGAGCAATATTCTAGGCAGAGGGACACAAATGCCAAGTTCCCAACGTGGGAAAGTACAGAGAAAACTCAAGGAATAGTAAGATGAGTTAGGAAGGCAGGTGAACAGAGAGGCAGAAGACCAGGTCATGCAAAGCCTTATGTGCCATGGTAAGGATTTTACCCTAAGTGTGATGAGAAGCCATTGAAAAGATACAAACAAGGAAATGACATGATCTCATTGATGAAGCTCTCTCTGCTGTATGGAGAATAAAACAAAAGAGTGGAATCCAAAAGATCATTTGAGAATCTACGGGAAAGATCCAAATGGTAGAAAATGGTGCCTTGAACTGAGATAGTAGTGATGAAGGTAGTGGGAGAGAGATGGTAAAATTGTGATATAGGTTGAAAGTAAATCCAGTGGGATTTCCTGGTAAGTTGAACACGGACTAGGAAAGAAAGAAAAGTTATGAACAATTCCAGGATTTTTGGCCTGATCAGCTGAATTAGAAGAGGTTCCATTTGGTATGGTTTAGCTGTGTTCCCACCCAAATCTCATTTTGAATTCCCATGTGTTGTGGGAGGGACCCCCAAGAGGTAATTGAATCATGGGGGCAGGCCTTTCCCATGCTGCTCTCATAATAGTGAGTAAGTCTCATGAGATCTGATGGTTCTATAAGGGGGAGTTTCCCTGTACAAACTCTCTCTTTGCCTGCTGCCGTTCATGTAAGAGGCGACTTGCTCCTCCTTGTCTTCCGCCATGATTGTGAGGCCTCCCCAGCCATGTGGAACTGTAAGTCCATTAAACCCCTTTTCCTGTATAAATTACCCAATCTCGGGTATGTCTTTATCAGCAGCATGAAAACGAACTAATACACGTTTAATAAAATATAGAGCACTGGGAGAGCAGTAGATTTGTGACAAGTGGAGAAGGAAATTCAGAATTCAGTCTGGAACATGTTTAGTTTGAGATGCCTATTGGCTGACTGAGAGGAGATGTTGAGTAGGCAGATAGATAAAGATGTGTCAAATTTAGGCTAGGCTGAAAATATGAATTTAGGACTCTTAAGCATCTAAAACCACAGAATTGCAAGTCAGTTGAAGAAATGTTTGGAAAAGGAGAGTGTGACTCTACTGTGTTAACTACTTTTTTTTTTTTTTTTTTTTTTGAGACGGAGTCTCGCTCTGTCACCCAGGCTGGAGTGCAGTGGTGCGATCTCCGCTCACTGCATGCTCCGCCTCCTGGGTTCACGCCATTCTCCTGCCTCAGCCTCCTGAGTAGCTGGGACTACAGGCGCCTGCCACCACACCTGGCTAATTTTTTGTATTTTTAGTAGAGACGGGGTTTCACCGTGTTAGCCAGGATGGTCTCGATTTCCTGACCTGATGATCCACCCGCCTTGGCCTCTCAAAGTGCTGGAATTACAGGCGTGAGCCACTGCGCCTGGCCTGTATTAACTACTTTTAAGAAGCTAAGATTGACCAAAATCTGACCAGTGGATTCAGCCCTATGAAGGTCAGTAGTGACGTTGAGAAGAATAGATTCAGCCGAGGACTGGGGTCAAAACCCTCACAATTTTGATCAGATGTCCATTCTATGAAGATCTGTTTCTATCAGTCTCCCCAGCTTGTATTGTAAATTTTATGGAAGTAAGGATGTCTCTTTTAGTCATCATTTTATCTTGATTTTTTTGTCTCAGTGCCTGGCACATAGCAAACGCTCCATAATTATTTGTGGAATATTCCATTCTGTTCAGATAATTTCAAAGGAATTGATTGTGAGGATTTCTCTTGAGGTTGTAGAGTGAGGATTCAGTGGTGATTTTAAGGGGATGGGAAAGTGATTTATAACATCATCAAAGAACCACTCTTCTATTTTATCTTGAGAAATATTCACTTTTAACATTTCAAATTTTAAAATTTTGGTGTAAGTGTTTCAAGGCAATGTCAGCATGTACAAGAAACATCTGAAATGTCTGGGCGCCGTGGCTGTTGCCTGTAATCACAGCACATTGGGAGCCCGAGGCCAGTGGATCACCTGAGGTCGGGAGTTTGAGACCAGCCTGGCCAACATGGTGAAACCCCATCTCTACTAATAATAGAAAAATTAGCTGGCTGTGGTGGCACACACCTGTAATCCCAGCTACTTGGGAGGCTGAGGCAGGAGAATGGTTGAACCAGGGAGGCAGAGGTTTCAGTGAGCCAAGGTTGCACCATTGCACTCCAGCCTGGGCAACAGAGTGAGACTGTCTCCAAAAAAAAAAAAAAAAAAAGAAGTGAGGGACCGGTCATAGAACAGAAGAGGAGGTCTGAGTGGATAAACTGCTCCTTTCAACCAACCCTCCTATTTTCAGCCCAGTCTTATACCCCTGTCTTCAAAGGTGTTTTCTCAAAAAAAAATCTTATATTTGGTAACCTGAGATTTAGAAATACATGCATGTTATAACTATTACTTGGTGTGTAAAGAATTAACTTTGAGAGAAGCCATGAGAAGGAAATAGAATTTCCCCTTAGGTTGTTTTCTTGAGAGAGGAAACCAAAATGTGTCAGTGTTTCAAGAGCTGGTCCTGTACGTTTGAGTATGTTTCCTGTGCATGCTCACTGAATTAGGTAATAGTATTGATTTTAGGAAAGGTAAGAGCTAAGATTACTCATTTGTTCACATTAGGTCAGATTCTCCCTTTGCCTAACTTCCTGGAAGCGCATTCAATATCGTGAAAAACATGGCAATTTTTTCACAGATCATTAAGGAACATTTGGTAAATTACTGCTTTAGTGCATAAAATAGCCTGCACTATCCCAAAAGTTTTAATGTAGTTTTCCGGTGGTACGTAATTTGCTCTGAGTATGTGGATTGAAAATCTGGCTCAGTGAACAGAAAAGTAGACTGAGTAGCCACATGCCCAGTGGAATCATAATTAAAATTAGGCCAACCAGACACAGAGATGATTGGAATATACTCAGGAGGAAATAGGGACATTTGAAGAGGTCACAGGACTTCTGTCATGTTAAATACACTCCTGACAATGACAGAGGATAAAAATTGGCTTCCTGAGGAAAGGGAGAAACATAATTGAGAAACAAAAAAGAATAATGAACATTTCTCAGAATTCTGAGAAACAGGTTTTGGTGGCTTAGAGTTGGCTGCTATTTCTTCTTCTTCTTCTTCTTCTTCTTCTTCTTCTTCTTCTTCTTCTTCTTCTTCTTCTTCTTCTTCTCCTCCTCCTCCTCCTCTTCCTCCTCCTCCTCCTCCTTCTTCTTCTTTTCTTCTTTCTTCTTCTTCTTCCTCTTTCTTTTTTTTTTTTTAAACAGTCTTGCTCTGTCTCCCAGGCTGGAGTGCAGTGGCACAATCTCAGCTCACTGCAACCTCCACCTCCCAGGTTCAAGCTATTCTCCTGTCCCATCTTCCTGAAGAGCTGGGATTACATGCGCACCACCACACCTGCCTAATTTTTGTATTTTTAGTAAAGAGGGGTTTCCCCGTGTTGGCCATGGTCTCGAACTCCTGACCTCACATGATCCACCCATCTTGCCTTCTCAAAGTGCTGGGATTACAGGCGTGAGCCACCGCACCTGGCCTGAGTTGGCTTCTTTACTGCAACCTGTTTTATCAGCAAAACAGGTTTTGTGTCGACCTCCTATCTCATCCTGTGACTTCGAATGCTATTAATATGCAGTGTGTTTACCATGCAAATTATCATACCTAGGGAAAATGTTAGGAAATAGAAGAAGAACTTGGTCTGTGAGTGATTGAAGATTTTAACAAAAATGGAAACTGTGACATACAGCAATAGTACTGAACTCCTCCAAACCTTCATTATCCCTGAAGCTGCAAACCCTGGAAACTGCACTAAAGACTCTCGTGTGCTCGTGCACCTTCCTCCCACCCTTAGAACAGAAAAGGGAGAGGAGAGTCACACAGTCACAGCCAAAGGTAGAAAAGGGCCAATTGGCTGTTACTCTCATTTTGGCCTCACAGGCCTGGAAGCTGACTTGACCTTTCCCTCTTAAATGTTGGGTCTGAAAAATGGTTATATTTTACATGTTCTAGAAGACAGAATTAGCTCTCACTCTAAGTACTTGTGAATATAAGCTTTAGTTATTCAGGGTAAGGTAAACCTAGAGGATTATTTGTTCCATTTAAAGTCTATGCCTGAAAGTGTACTCATTCTCAATGTTATTGCCATCTCTGACACTGGCGATTCATTAGTTTAGTCTTCAGCATCCCTGAGTGCCTACTATGTGCTGGTTGGTCTCTGTGCCAAGGGTTGTAAAGGTAAATCTGGGTCAAGTGCAGTGGCTCATGTCTGTGATCTCAGCACTTTGGGAGGCCAAGGCAGGAGGATTGCTTGAGCCCGAAACTTCGAGACCAGCTTAGGCAACATAGTGAGACCCCATCTCTACCAAAAAAAAGAAAAAAAAAAAAGCCAGGAATGTTGTTTTGTGCCTGTAGTACTATTATAGGAAATGGGTCCAGATCCAGACCCCAAGAGAAGGTTCTTGAATCTTGCGCAAGAAAAAATTCAGGGCAAGTCCACAGTGCAAAGCAAAATCAAGTTTATTAAGAAAGTAAAGGAATAAAAGAATGGCTACTCTATAGATGGCAATATTCCCGAGAACTGCTGGTTGCCTGTTTTTATGGCTATTTCTTGATTATATGCTAAACAATGGGTGGATTATTCATGCCTCCCCTTTTTAGACCATATGGGGTAACATCCTGACATTGCCATGGCATTTGTAAACTGTCATGGTGCTGGTGGGAGTGTAGCAGTGAGGACAACCAGAGGTCACTCTCATCACCATCTTGGTTTTGGTGGGTTAGAGTTGGCTTCTTTTTTTGTTTGTTTGTTTGAGACAAAGTCTCGCTCTTTCACCCAGGCTGGAGTGCAATGGCACAATCTTGGCTCACTGCAACCTCTGCCTCCCGGGTTCAAGGAATTCTCCTGTCTCACCCTCCCAATGGCTGGGATTACAGGTGTGGGCCACCACGCCTGGCAATTTTTGTATTTTTAGTAGAAATGGGGTTTCACCACATCTGCCAGGCTGGTCTCAAACTCCTGACCTCAGGTGATCCACCTGCCTCAGCCTCTTAAAGTGCTGGGATTATAGGCATGAGCCACTGTGCCCTGCCTAAGAGTTGGCTTCTTTACTGCAACCTGTTTTATCAGAAAGATCTTTACGACCTGTATCTTGTGCCGACCTCTTGTCTCATTCTATGACTTAGAATGCCTTAACTGTCTGGGAATGCAGCCCAGTAGGTCTCAGCCTCATTTTACCTAGCTCCTATTCTAGATGGAGTTGCTATGGTTCAAATGCCTCTGACAGTACCAGCTGCCAAGCAGGCTGAGGCAGGAGAATCCCTTGTGCCCAGAAGTTTGAGGCTTCAGTGAGCAATGATCATGCTACAACACTCCAGCCTGGGTGACAGAGCAAGGCCTTGTTTCAAAAGTAAATAGGTAAATAAGTAAGAAGTCTGCTAAGCAGGGACAAACATGCAAACCTATAATGCCAATAAAGTATTATAGGTACTCTGACAGAAGTAAGGGGGAAGTGGTCAGTTCTGTTGGGCCTACACTGGTGAGGCTTCAGAGGGGACTGTCAGGGTGAATCTCAATTGGCAGTCAGTAAGCAGCCATGGAGGGAGAGGGTGGAGGAAGAGCTCATGGCGCAAGTGCACAGAGGTGGGAAACACCTGGTGAATTGAGGGACTACGAAAGAGAAAGAGTTGGAGAGTTCATTCCAAGGCCTAGGAGGCAGAGATGAAGGAGGCTGAAGAGAGAACAGGATAAAAAAACAGCAGATGTTATAGACTTCCTCTGCAGAGTTATCAGTGAACAAGAAGACATATATTCTCTGAAATGTGAACAGGCCTTGTGCTTAAAATGGGGCGATAGTGACAAGTCAAAATTAGTCAGTCTGCTTCCTGGGTTTCATAAGCCAAAATGCATTTGTGCTGTCTTTGAAATGACAAAAATGATTCTTTGCTCTCAACTTGGTGTTAAGCTAGTAGAGTTCTTTACTTCTTGGAGTGACCCAAACTTTCATTTCCAAGGAATCTGAGTCCTCAGCAGTCCTGCCTATGTCTTGTTACTAGCATCCTGGCTGGGGAGACTGAGGAAATGTATCTGGGGTCACCTCTCTTCTCCTATTATGCTGAAATAACTCTTTTTCTTTTATACTCAGAATTAATCACCCAGTCTATACCCAGACGTTCTTTTCTGTTTGCCAAAAAGTGGCAAAGTAAGAGTTTCACTTTCCTATTCAGTGAGCTCTTTAATATGTCCCTTGACTGAAACATTTTTTTTTTGTCCCTTTGGATTCTAAATCCTAAGGTCATTTCTCCTTCCAGGAAGGTGGATCATGAGATGTACTGCTTAGAGTTCTGCCCCTGGGAAGATTTTCCTTCTCAATTGTCTTTCAAGGCCGCCCCTAAGCGGGTGAAAGTTGCAACAATAGTCCTAATTGTGCTAGTGTCCTTAGACCAGGGAAGAGTCATCTGGAAACTAGTCTTGAACATTTTCTTCTTTAATCAGCAAGCCACAGGGAGTTTCCACAAGGCCGTATGTGTGGGCTGGGGTAGAATGGGTCTCCTCCAGCTCCAGGAGACAGTGCGCTCTGTCACGCCACAATCACTCACAGTGGGGAATTCCTCCCTCAAAGGTAGGGAATCTGATGCCTGAACAGCCAAGTGTCAGGCCTCAAGTCCTCCTTCACTTAAAAATTATATTTAAAAATTCATCTGAAAGTTTGTATTACTTTTTTGTTTCTTTGTTTTGAGACAGGGTCTGGCTCTGTCATGCAGGCTGGAGTTCAGAGGCACAATCTTGGCTCACGCAACCTCCGCCTCCTGGGTTCAAGCAATTCTCCTGTCTCAGCCTCCCGAGTAGCTGGGATTATAGGCACCAACCACCTCGCCTGGCTAATTTTTTGTATTTTTAGTAGAGACAGGGTTTCACCATGTTTGTCAGGCTGGTCTCGAACTCCTGGCCTCAAGTGACCTGCCCTCCTCAGCCTTCCAAAGTGCTAGGATTACAGGCATGAGCTACCACACCTGGCCTAACTTTGTAGTACTTTATAATTTCTTACAAATTTAAATCTTTATTCCATCTGGAAGTTCAAGGTAGGGACCAACTTTATTCATTTTCCAAATGACTAGCCTGTTGTCTGAATAATGTGTTTCTTTTCCCCACTTTATTATATAATCCAATCTCATTTGTATTTGGATCTGCTTCTGTTCTCACTATTTGGTTTTATTGATCATCTGTCCATTCCTGCAGCAGTATATCAGCAATAAATACTGCAGTTTAAATAACTGGCAAAGCTCTCCCTAATATTCTTCTGTGTTAGAATTTTCTTGGCTATTCGGGCATATTTTTATTTTCCAGACAAATTTTAATATTTTTTGCCAAGTTCCAAAAGAATTCCATTAGAATTTTGGAATTGTTATTGAGCTGTAAAAAATTTATAGATCAGTTTCAGAGAAAACTGACATATTTACAATGTGTGTCTTCCAAGCCAAGAATATGACATATCTTTTTATTTGTATGTGTTCTTTCTGGATGGACATTAATTCTGAGTGATATGAACTAGTTTCTTCTCCAGAGACATTTTCGTTACCACTCCTCCTATGGGAAGGAGGTTCTACAAAATGTAATCATTTCATTTTGGGCCACCAACATGTCTTGACTGTCAGTATAAACATATGAGTGTATTGCTGAAAACTGTGGTGTGATGATTAACTCTCCAAGATCCCTATACAGGGATTGTCAGTTGAAAAAACTACGTGGAAACCTTAAAACATCCAGAAACCACCAATATGTGTAATTTGCCTTTAAAGGATGTCATTTACTAAAAAACTGTCATTATTCCTAAGCAGGAATGGGGGCTGTAATGTTATGTTGGCCACATATTTGTGGCACATCTGAGAACTGTTTGTATAAATGCACTGGCTAGAAGCCCCATTCGCTGGTCCAAAACCCATTCTAACACTGACAACACAATAAAGAAGAATGGCACATGCCAAGTTATTTGACAAAACTTACCAAGGAGGTCACTGTGCTGGCTTTCCTTTTCTGTTGTGTACCCAGTGCCTAATACAAATCCTTGCATAGAGTTTGTGCTTAACTATTGAAGGAATGAATGGAGTCAGCAACAAGGATTAATATGCATGCTTTTTTTTTTTTTGAGATGTGAGTCTTGCTGTGTTGCCCAGGCTAGTCTCAAACTCCTGGGCTCAAGCAATCCTCCTGCCTCAGCCTCCCAAGTAGCTGGGACTACAGGTGCGTGCCACTGCACCTGGCTATATGCATGCTTTCTAGGGTAAAAAATTGAAGAGTGTAATTTGCTGCCATCCTAACTTATTACCGTCACCCTCTGGCATCATGGCAGTACTAAAAACTTCTAGATTGGCAGCTGGGACTGTTAAGCTCTCCTACCCTTGATTCACCAAATAACCATCTCCACGGTCAGCCTTTGTAGCTTGGTCAGTTCCTCCTAGCCCACCTTCCATTCCAGTAGTGGATGATCCCAAAGAGTAGGACTCCATTTTTCTTCCCACCAGCCACCTATTGCCAAAGATCCTTTGTGCCTTTACCCAGCCAAGTCACAAAACATTGAATAACCACACTGACATTTTGTTGTTGGCACTGGAATCAGAGACTACCATGTTATAATCTGAGATTTGGAATGATCACTCTAATGACAGATTTTGTCTGATCTCCTTCTCAGGGTGGTTGGGCTGGTGGGCTACAGTGAGTCTATCACGGCCAGACTGGGGCAGTGAAAATACTTGTTACCCACAGTTGCAGATATGAAGAATTTATGAACGAGAATGTTAGATCAGAGAGAATGCACAGAGTAAAAAAGAAGCATGTCCACCCAGGTAATCACAGAAAGAAGAGTCTCTAACCAGTATCAGGAGCTGGAATAGAAAGCCAAGGGATTGAAGACCAGAGAATATTGAATAGAGCCAAAATAGCTGCAGCCAAAAGCTGAGCTTTTATATATTATCATAGATCCATGACATGGGCAGCCTGAATTTATTTAAATGTCCTAGGATGTCCAGACATAATGGAGAATGAGGTAGGTATAAGTGTTAGGAGGCTATTGCACCTAAGTGAGAATTATTAAAAGAGTAGGGGGCTGGGCACAGTGACTGTAATTTCAAAATTTTGGGAGGCCAAGCAGAAGGATTGCTTAAGCTCAGGAGTTCAAGACCAGCCTGGGCAACAAAGTGAGACCACGTCTCTACAAAAAAATACAAAAAGTATGGCCAGGTGTGGCGGCATGTCCCTGTAATCCTAGCACTTTGGGAGGCCAAGGCGGGCAGATTGCCTGAGGTCAGGAGTTTGAGACCAGCCTGGGCAACATGGTGAAATCCCGTCTCTACTAAAATACAAAAAAAATTAGCAGGTGTGGCGGTGTGCATCCGTAGTCCCAGCTACTCTGGAGGCTGAGCAGGAGAATAGCTTGAACTGGGGAGGTGGAGGTTGCAATGAGCCGAGATTGCACCATTGCACTCCAGCCTGGGTGAGAGAATGGTACTCTGTCTCCAAAACAAAACAAAACAAAAAACAAAAAAACCCCACAAAAATTAGCCAAGCATGGTGGCATGTGCCTGTAGTTCCAGCCACATGGGAGGCTGAGGTGGGAGGTTCACCTGAGCTCAGGAGTTTGAGGCTGCAGTGAGCCAAATTCACACCATCACACTCCCGCCTGGACAGCATCACACTCCAGGCTTGTCTCTAAAATAAAAACATAAATAAATAAATAAAGAGTAAAAAGCGTAGCAGTTGCCGTGGGACCAGAGAGACCAGAAACATTCCAAAGCAATTTCAGAAATATAATTAATAGGAATGATGCCTGCATAGCCAAAAGTCATGAATTCTAGTTAGTTGAGGCAAAGAAGGTACAGATAAAAAAATTCAAATGTTAAGATCCAGTCTTTAAATATTGTGAAAATTTGGGATAGTACAATAATTACTTTCATGGATTATTTTAAACATTGTTTAAAATGCATTGTAGTTATTGTCCATGACAACTTTGTAAGATATCCTTTAGAATTACCTCCATTTTAACCAGGTGCGGTGGCTCACACCTGTAATCCCAGCACTTTGGGAGGCCGAGGCATGAAGATTGCTTGAGCTCAGGAGTTCGAGATTGGCCTGGGAAACTTTGCAAGACCTGTCTCTACTGAAAACGAAAAAACAAAAAAAACAGCCAGGCATGCTAGCACATGCCTGTAGTCCCAGCTACTTGGGAGGCTGAGGTGGGAGGATCGCTTGAGCCTGGGAGATTGAGGCCACATTGAACTGTCATCACCACCACTGCACTCCAACCTGGGTGACAGAGTGGGATCCTGTCTCAAACAAGCAAACAAAAAATAAGAATTACCTCCATTTTAACAACCCTGAGAGTGATTTACCCAGGGTCACATAGCAGCTTGGAGGCATGGCTGTGTAAAAGAAGTTGGGGCTTTTAATCTCTGTATTAGTTAGGATTCTCGAGAGGAACAAAACTAATAAGATAGATAGATAAACAGATGATAGATGATTGATTGATAGATAGATAGATAGATAGATAGATAGATAGATAGATAGATGATAGGAGATGTATTATGGGAATAGGCTTACAGAATTATGGAGGCTGAGAAGCCTCACAATATGTCATCTGCAAGCTGGAGAACCAGGGAAGCTAGTGATTTAATTCAGTGAGTCTGAAGGCCTGAGAACCAGGAGCTCCTATGTCTTACAGCATCAGGAGATGGTTGGCTCAACTCAAGCAGACAGTGAATTCACCTTTCCTCTGCCTTTTTGTTCTATCTGTGCCCTCAACAGACTGGATGAAAATAGATCTTCTTTACTCAGTCTACTAATTCAAATGCTGATTTCCTCCAGAAATGCCCTCACAGACACACCCAGAAATAATGTTTTACCAGCTATCTGGGCATCCTTTAGCTCAGTCAAGTTGACACATAAAATTAATCATTACGGGCTGGGCACAGTGGCTCACCCCTGTAATCCTAGCACTTTGGGAGGCTGAGGTGGGGGAATTGCTTGGGCCCAGGAGTTTGAGACCAGCCTGGGCAACATGGCAAAACCCCATCTCTGCAAAAAATACAAAAATTAGCCAGGTGCAGTGGCTCATGCCTGTAGTCCCAGCTACTCTGGAGGCTGAAGTGATAGGATCCATTGAGCCAGGGACATCGAGGCTGCAGTGAGCCGTGATTACACCACTGCACTCCAAATTGGGTGACAGAATCAGACTGGGTGACCGAATCAGTCTTTCATGGTCCAAACCCAACTCATTCTCTCTCTCTCTTTCTCTGTTGCTCTCTCTTTCCCTGACACAGATATTCACTTAGCATTTAAACGTGACTTCTGAGACTAAAGTGAAAGAGATTTGTCAGTTATCAATATGTTCTGATATTTTTCTGATATAGATAGTTTGATAAATAGATAAATGTATAAATATTGTTCAAGTGCTTTTGGAGCTAGTGAGTTGGCTGCATTGTTATGTCTGTTTCGGGAACTCTAGAATGATATGTAAAACCCTCTTCCCTCCCTTCTTTACTTTCTTCCTTCCTTCCTTCCTTCCTTCCTTCCTTCCTTCCTTCCTTCCTTCCTTCCTTTTATCCACATTTTTTTCAGCAAACATTTAAGAGTGCTAACGATGTGTCAGCTTATGCTTGGCTCCAAGAGATTCAAAAATAAAAATGTCAAGGTCTCCTAATCTCTAGGATAGGGAGAGTCAAATTTGCATGAGGACTTTTGAGAAAAATCAAGGATGCCTGAGGGGATTTGAGTCCTACAGGCTCAGCACTTATGAAAAAGGATAAAGTCCTTCCCAGCCTGGCAGGAGAAGGAAAAGCCTGTGGTGGGGGAAGGGAGTGAAGGCGTGTGCCTCCTCATGGAACACAGGGTCGGAGTCGGCTAGGAGGGATAAGAGTACAATAGAGGGTTGTGTGACACAGACAGGCTGCCAGCCCTCAGCATGGACCCGGCACATGGAATCTGTGATCTTAAAAGAGTCAAGTGACTACCTTTGGCAACCAAAAGAGACACTGCCTTTTAGAAGGCATATCATCTGAAACTGGCTGAAAGAGCTGTCTTACTTAGGAAGAAAAATCTCTCCTTTGGAAAGAGCTGGAACTTTTAGTAAAACTGAACAGTGAGGTGGCGGAAGGTGAGTTAATGTAGTGCTGGGTAGGGAGGTCGTGTGGGCAGGTGTAAAGAGCAGAGCCAGAAGACGTGGGTTTCAATTTTGCCTCCACATACTAGCTGAGCAGTCTTGAGCAAATAATTGCTATAATTGTTTCTGGGCTGTAAAATACCAAGTGAGAACAATGACTGGTCTCATTTATAGAATTATATGAATTACTTTTTAATTCTCATAACCAACTTATGAAATAATTCTCATTACTATTCCCTTTATTTATTTATTTAGAGACAGAGTCTCACTCTGTCACCCAGGCTAGAGTGCACACCTCACTGCAACCTCAACCTCCTGGGCTCAAGAGATCCTCCTGCCTGAGCGTCTCCCCCTCCCTACTCCCCAGTAGCTGGGATGTTAGGTGTGTGCCACCCACTCTTGGCTAATTTTAAATTTTTTTTAGAGTTGGGGGTCTCACTATGTTGCCCAGGCTGGTCTCGAACTCCTGGGCTCAAATGGTCCTCTGGCCTCAGCCTGCCAAAGTCCTGGGATTATAGGCATGAGCCACCACGCCCAGCCTACTATTCCCTTTATATATTGAGGACACTGAGGCTTCAGGAGGTTGAATATATTTTCAAAATTTACATAGCTAGTAAATGGCAGAGCTAGAATTGAACCCATGTTTGTTTGATTTTAAACACTGTGTTCTTTGCCATTTACATTCTTCTGCCCCGCTTCTAAGGATCTGTATTAGGGACTAAATTAAACCAAGTTATACTAAAATGTTGGTAATTAATTTGACTATTAAATGCCTAATTGTTCTAGTACTTAATCTTAGTTTCAGCCAGGCACAGTGGCTCACGCCTGTAATCCCAGCACTTTGGGAGGCCGAGGTGGGTAGATCACTTGAGGTCAGGAGTTCGAGACCAGCCTGGCTAACATGATGAAAACCCTGTCTCTACTAAAAATACAAAAGTTAGCCAGGCGTGGTGGTGGGTGCCTGTAGTCCCAGCTACTCGGGAGGCTGAGGCAGGAGAATCGCTTGAACCCAGGAGGCGGAGGTTGCAGTGAGCCGAGATCACACCACTGCACTCCAGCCTGGGCAACAGAGCGAGACTCCATCCCCCACAAAAAAAAAAAAAATCTTAGTTTCATTTAAAGAATAGATATGAGTGTGTATATTATTTTTTCAAGTGTTATTACTTTTTAATTTAAAAAGTTTTTCCTTTATTTTTACATTTTTGTTGTGTAATTCCTTTTTGAGGAAAGAAAAATCTTTTGAAAGTTATAAAAATGGTTAGAATGATTAGTGTAATCTTGTCAGGGCAGTATACACCTCAATTAACTAAGCTTATCCACAAATGGCCATTATTTTCTTGCTTCAGCAGTGACGTAGGAAAGGTCTGTATGCCTGGGAATGTGGAGATCTAGGTTTTAATCTAAGATCTGAGTTCATTGTCCTGTATTTATCTAAGGCCAGTCACCCTCTTTCGGCTGCTATTGCTTCATGTTTAAAACAAGGGGATTAGATGAAATGATTGGCAAAGTCCCTTGCAGCATTAATAGCCTATGAGTCTATAAAATTTTAGAAACAGACATAATTCAGAAGGATATAATTTTAAATCAATTTGTGTCACAACAGTAATAATAAACATAGTGGCTCTAAGCAAGTAACAGACTGAGAGAAAGAAACTATGAATTAGATAAGTTTGACTAGATAAGGTCTAAGTTCTTTCCAACTTTGAAATCCATGATCACATATTACAACACTGTAATTTTATAGTAGTTTGTAGGGTTTCAAAGAACTTTCATTCGATTTATCCTCTCTGATCCTCACAGGGACAATATGAAGCGGTGAGAAGAGTTGTTTTATCCACACTCTACAAATGAAGGAACTAAAGATTAAGTGGGTGGCATTGGGTCACTTGGCTAGTTGGGGACACAGCTGGGACAGCAAGGCTTTCTGACTCACACCCTGCCCTCTATGCCATAGCATTCCTGGGCTCAATAAACAGTAACTGTGAAAGAAGGTCGCCTCACACAAAACTACATTTTATTCTAGTTTGACAGATGAGTAATCCTCAGTGATAAATTCCTTTTCTGAAAAGTCTCAAAGTCCCTTGGGCAGTTTTGAGTCATTTGTAATGTCAAAAAGTTTAGGACAGACAGTATTTGCAACTTTCCTCAAATCCAAAAATCAGAAAAGCTGGGGAGAGGTTTTTACTTTTTCTTTCTTTCTCTTTTTTCTTTTTTTTTTGTAGACTAAGTCACAAGAAGGAAGGGTTTTACTTTTTCTTTTCAACTTAAAAAAGAGAGTAATTAATATCCTAAATTCTCTTTGTCCTAAGACACCTTTCCTAAGAACCATGAGCTTTTAGCTAAGTATGGAGGACGTTTAGTAGCCATGACTAAGCAACTCATCTTTCAGTTACAGAATAGCCTATGTTGGCCGGGCGCAGTGGCTCACCCTCCGTAATCTCAGCACTTTGGGAGGCCGAGGTGGGTGAATCACCTGAGGTCAGGAGTTCGAGACTAGCCTGGCCAACATGGTGAAACCCCGTCTCTACTAAAAATACAAAAATTAGCTGGGCATGGTGGTGGGCTCCTGTAGTCCCAGCTACATGGGAGGCTGAGTCAGGAGAATCACTTGAACCCAAGAGTTGGAGGTCGCAGTGAGCCGAGATGGTGCCATTGCACTCCAGCCTGGGTGATGAGCAAAACTCCCTCTCAATAAATAAATAAATAAATATTATTGTTATATTTGTGGAAAAGATAATTTGGCATCTTTTCACTCAATGAAAATATTTATTTAAATACTGTATACAAATCTATATATACTTACATATAATATAAATTTATACGTAAATATATATTATTGTTGTTATTTTATGTTATTTTATAGAAGTTATACATGCACATAATAAGAAAAAATCTTATCAGTAGAAAAAGAAGGGTGTAAAATGAATATGACCTCCATCCATTCCAGCCTAGGCCCATGCTCTAGAAACAAGCACTGTCATCGGCTATTGTTAGATGGTGTGGCGGTTGCCATTATAATTTAAAATTCCATGCTTACAGCTCTGTTTTTCCCTTTGTCAACTTTAGAAAGTACCTACTGACTTCAAAAAAGATGGGAAATTTCTTGTGTTTACACTTCCTCCCAATCTTTCTGTTCTTCTCCATCTCCAATTTGTGTTAGTTGTATTATAAAATTTTTAATTTTTTTTCTTTTTTTTTTTTTTGAGACAGAGTCTCTCTCTGTCACCCAGGCTGGAGTGCAATGGCATGATTTCAGCTCACTGCAAACTCCTCCTCTCTCCCCTGGGTTCAAGTAATTCTCCTGCCTCAGCCTCCTGAGTAGCTGGGATTACAGGAGCGTGCCACTATGCCCGGCTAATTTTTGTATTTTTAGTAGAGACGGAGTTTCACCATGTTGGTCAGGCTGGTCTCGAACCCCTGACCTCGTGATCCGCCCACCTGGGCCTCCCAAAGTGCTGGGATTACAGGCGTGAGCCACCACGCCCAGCCCTAATTTTTCTAAAAATTATATTTAAAATTATTATTTATAACTTTAAATAATGTACCTAAACTTCCATTTCTAAATTTATTTATTTAGACAGAGTCTTTTGATTCCCATTTATATAAGAGAGTCCACCTCTCAATTGTGTGTGTGTGTGTGTGTGTATATTCATGGTTTACTATGTTTACATTCTGCTCTGTAATTATAATTAAGTCTTCTGAGGATTAAAAATGAGAATCCTGAGTGGAAGTGATCCTTCACTCAGCACAGCGGTAGGCACATAGGTTTTCTATAATTGACTCGTATGGATAAACCCCATGTGGAAGAAAAAATAATCTTTTTTTTTTTTTTTGAGACCGAGACTCTCTCTGTAGCCCAGGCTGGAGTGCAGTGGCACGATCTCGGCTCACTGCAAGCTCCGTCTCCCGGGTTCATGCCATTCTCCTGCCTCAGCCTCCCGGGTAGCTGAGACTACAGGCGCCCACCACCATGCCCAGCTAATTTTTTTTGTATTTTTAGTAGAGACGGGGTTTTACTGTGTTAGCCAGGATGGTCTCGATCTCCTGACCTCGTGATCCACCCGCCTTGGCCTCCCAAAGTGCTGTAACTGCAGGCGTGAGCCATCATGCCCAGCCAAAAGTAATCTTATTTAATGGAAATTTTCCAGCTCAGATGAGATTCTTCTAAGCTTCAAGGTCTAATGGATCCTTGCTTCAAGGTCTAATGGATCCTTCCTTCAAGGTCTAATGGGTCCTTCCTTCCTTCTCTCCCTCTCTTCCTCCCTTTGAAGCTTCCTTTCTTTCTTTCCTCCTATTTTCCTTCTCTCCTCCTTCCCTCCCTCCTTTCCTCCCTCCTATTTTCCTTCCCTCCTCCCTCCTACTTTCCTTCCCTCCCTCCCTCCCTCCTACTTTCCTTCTTTGTCTTCTTTTCTGGTTTTCTCCATTTCCTGCGGGTTACATTCAAATGGTATGTTTCTTGTTTTCTTTCTTGGATGGCTTTTAATTTGCTAGTTTTGAACTGGACTCAAGCAATCCTCATGCCTCAACCTCCCAAGTTGCTGGGACTGCAGGTGCACCACCATGCCTGGCTTGTATTTTGTTGGAATACTTTGAATTTTTGTTTTGATTTGTATAAGAAGTAATATTCCGGAATTCCTGTCAGTTTAAATATGTCTTTATTTAGCCCTTACATTTGATTGATAGTTGGACCAGGCTTAGATTTCCAAGATTTATTTTTTTCCCTTCAAAACTTTGAAGGCTGTCTGCCAACAGAATGTAAGATTCATGAAGGCAAGATTTTTGTCTGTTTGATTCACTGATCACTGATGTCTCCCAAAGATATAGAACAATGTGTAGCACACGATACACTCAATATATATTAGTTTTATTAATTAATTATCTTCCAGTGATTAGTATTGCTGAAAAGAAATTGGATGACAATCCAGTTTCTAATTGGCATGTGTAGGCTGCTCTGTGACTGAAGAATTTTCAAATCAGCTTTATACCCTTCAGGAAAAATCCCTTGTGATTGGATGTTTAGTATCTGCCAGAAAACTGGTACTCAAGATGTTGAAGCTACAGTTATTTTATGATAGCACACTTCCCTTGATCTGCTTATTTTTATTCCATCACCATTTACCCCTTTTTTAAAATTTTGTAGCCATTCTTATGATGCTCTTGATTTGTTGGTTACAAAAATCAATTTTATTAAAATCCAAAGATTACAAGTCTTTAGGTATATTTTGTACCAAATTAAATTAGAAGACAAAAATTACGCTTTCATAGTTGCTACAAAGGTAAATAATGGAGAGATTTGGTACAAAGCAACAATATATATATATATAGAGCTAATAAAATTACCTGAGGAGTGTAATGTTTGTTTTTTTTTGTGTATATCTTTGAAATCTATTTTATATATAGACAAAAGAGACTGTGAAATATTTAAGCAATGCAGAATACGTGACCAGACCAGAGCATGTGTAGGAAGACTTTTTGGTGATCATTAACTCTACCCTGAAATGATGGACTACAAGTTATAATGTGTGTTACCTACACTTCAATCAGTAATATTAGCAAATCTCCAAATGTTAGTCACATTGGTTTGTCTCCCTTGTACATTCTTTATTCATGATATTACAGTGCTGTAACTGGGTGGTCCTTTTTAAACAAAACATTATTTGCAAAACAGAGGGTATTATTTGTTTTTAAAGGTTTTGTGAATAAAGACTTCAAAATATTTTCTTATAAAAAAAAGAAATTGGATGACAATCTTATTATTGTTTTCTTTCTTTTTTTTTTTTTTACCTTCTAGGGTTTTCTTCGTATTCTGAATTCTACAATTTTATCAGGATATCTTTTTTTTTTTTTTTTTTGAGACAGAGTCTCTCACTGTCGCCTAGGCTGGAATGTAGTGGCGTGATCTTGGCTCACTGCAACCTCTGCCTCCCGGGTCCAAGTGATTCTCCTGCCTCAGCCTCCTGAGTAGCTGGGATTAGAGGTGTGTGCCACCACACCCGGCTAATTTTTGTATTTTTAGTAGAGACAGGGTTTCACCATGTTGGCCAGGCTGGTCTCGAACACATGACCTTGTGATCTGCCCACCTTGGCCTCCCAAAGTGCTGGGATTACAGGTGTGAACGACTGCGCCCAGCCCTTTTTTTTTTTTAGACAGTCTCGCTCTGTTGCCCAGTTGGGGTGCAGTGGTGCAATGCCAGCTCACCGCAACCTCTACCTCCTGGGTTCAAGCAATTCTCCTGCCTCAGCCTCCTGAGTAGCTGGGATTACAGGATTACAGGATTACAGGTGCATGCTACTGAGTCTGGCCAATGTTTGTATTTTTAGTAGAGATGGGGTTTTGCCACGCTGGCCAGGCTAATCTCGAACTTTTGACCTCGGGTGATCTGCCCATCTTGGCTTCCCAAAGTGCCAGGATTACAGGTGTGAGCCACCACACCTGGCCTTACCAGGATATCTTTAGCTCTGTGTGTGTGTGTGTGTGTGTGTGTGTGTGTGTGTATGTGTGTGATGTGTATGCATATTTTTCCTCCCCTTGCTTAAAAATTGGTGAGATTTCAATCTAAAACCTTTTTTCTTTTCTTTTTTTGAGACCAAGTCTCGCTCTATCACCCAGGCTGGAGTGCAGTGGTGCGATCTCAGCTCACTGCAGCCTCCATCTCCTGGGTTCAAGCGATTCTTGTGCCTCATCCTCCTGAGTAGCTGGAACTATAGGCGTGTGCCACCACACCCAGTTAATTTTTGTGTTTTTAGTAGAGATGAGGTGTTGCCATGTTGGCCAGGCTGGTCTCGAACTCCTGGCCTCAAGTGATCTGCCCACCTCGGTGTCCCAAAGTTCTGGGATTACAGGCGAGAGACACCATGCCTGGTCCTAAAAACTCTTTAGCACAGGAAAATTTTATTTTCTGGATTATTTATTTTTCTCCACAGTCCTAAATACATTCTAAAACCACATTTTTATAGGTATTAGATTTCTCAGAGTTAACTTCTACATATTTTAATTTTCTCTCATATTTTCTGTCATTTTACTTTATCTTTCAGGTAATCAAATTGATCTTCGGTTGTGTCTGTATTATTGTTTAGTCATCCCTTTGAAACGTTTATTTTTAGTTCCTAATAACTCTTTTGTGTTCTCTGATTGCTACTTGTCATAGCAAACTGTAATTAAGATTGTAGTACGCTATAAATTCCTGATTATCCTAATTAGCATTGTTACTAGTATTGTTTTAAATACTAATTTTATTAATTTGTTAATTTAGGTGTTTGGAATATGATTGATTTCGTGTGTGTGTTAATTAGGTTTTTTTTTTTTTTAATTATTTTCCCCTGCTTGGATTATCTTTTTCCTTTGGGTCAGTTGTTTTGTTTTCTAAAGCTTTCACTTTTGTATTGTTTTTCCTGAGAAGTGTGGTGTTCTCTATTGTCTATTCATTTGAATGAATTCAGAACCAAACAAATGCCTTAATTTAGCACAACCAGCTTGTGTGGGTTTCCTCTTCAATTGTTTAGGTTTGTTTCTCCAGGAAGGTTTTCCCTGAATAGAATGACTGGCACGAGTTCTGTGTAAGTAGGCAGGACTTTTGGACAGGAAGGCTTCCCTGTAGGTTTCCTGTGGGCAGAGTAGGCAAGAAGGCTGGGGAACCTGAGCTTCCCCAGGAGGAGGTAGAGACGCATTTTGAGTTTGATTGTTTCCCCTCTGAGTTTATAAATGTAGAGATTCAAAGTTTCTTCAGTTATCTCCTTTTAAGCTACAAGACCCTCCGGAGGAACACTCTCTCTGCCCTTTCTTTCTAAAAAGCAGTGCCCTGGCTTGTAGCCCGAGGCCAAAAGTCTCAGCTGCCTAGCTTTGTTTACACAGGTCACAGGAAAGGGGCCCAGCTGTCCCAAGGCACTGAATCCAGTTCTTTAATGAGGCCACTGTTGATTGCCCGCACGGCCCATCATTGTATTGTTGACCAAGTGAGGAGTTTCTCTGGGCCCCCTTGGGAAGACACATACTTATTTCCTGTGCCCTGGCCTGCAGTTTCTCATCAGTTCATCCATCTGCTTTGTATCTTTTAGAAATTTCCCAAAACTCTTGTGTGCTGATGACACTCTTTCTTGTTTCCTATTGCTGTTATTCACTCATTTTCTTTAAAGAATATTTTCTGTCACTTTTATGGGAATGTGGAAGATAGAAGAGGTAAATACATGTGCTCATCCACCATTTTGTGTACAAGCGCACACACACAGTACACATACATGCACAAGCACACGCACACACACACGCAATACACATACACGTGAAAAGCAAATACAGTAATGCATCCAGTTAATCCTTTGGGGGAAAGGCAGATTCCTATTAATATAAATTATCAGAATACAATCACTAGATCTCTCAGTTGGTTCCAATGTTTTGCCCAGGTTATGCTTATTTTAAAAATTAATACTCAGCAATGTGTCAGAAATTACAGCTATGAAGTCTGAAAGTAAAAAAAATTACAGTGTCATTTTAGAATTATTTTACAAAATTATCTGTACCTGAAAAGGAAGACATGGTCACTGTTGCTAGTGTCTTCCCAGTCCCTTTACCTTGGGATTTTGACTTGAGTACCTCGGTTCCTCAGTGAATATGAGGGGCAGCTTGCCAAGGCATTGTTTTAGGCACAATTTTGTAAGAAGTGCTGCTGTTCAACTCTTATATCCTCTGGACACATAAATGCCATTTGGAGTCTCCTAATTCAAATTCCCATCCTTACAAATTCCTTAAAGAAGTGTTTAACTTAAGACAAAAACAACCACAGGCCAGGTGTGGTGGCTCACGCCTGAAATCCCAGCATTTTGGAAGGCCAAGCCATGAGGATTGCTTGAGTCCAGGAGTTTAAGACCAGCCTAGGCAACATAGTGAGATCCCATCTCTAAAAAAAAAAAAAAAAAAACCCAAAATTAGCCAGGTGTGGTAGTGCATGGCTGCTGCAGTCCCAGCTACTCAGGAGGCTGAGGTGGGAGGATTTTTGAGCCCAGGAGGTCAAGGCTGCAGTGAGCCAAGATGGCGACACTGCACACTGGCCTGGGCAACAGAGCGAGACCTTGTCTCAAAAAGGAAAAAAACAAAAACAAAAACAAAACAAACAAGAACAAAAAAACACAAACATTTTGATTGTAAGAAACAGAACCCAAAATGTGAAATGAGCAAGGTGCTCAAAGCTAGGAAATCTGAGGCCAGATCTGAGTTCTACTACTCACTAACCTGTGGTCTTGGGAAAAGGATTTACGTTTTCTAAACCTCCATTTTCTGAATTTTAAATTGAAGATAATAATAGTACCTACTTCATAGGATGGTTTTGAATATTAAGATAGTATACATAAGTCCCTTAGCACATTACCTGACACATAGTATGGGCCTCATTAGATATTAGCATTATCATTAATATCTGCAAATAATTCATATTTATATTACAGAGCAGTTATGGAATAAATATTCAATTCCTTCTTATTTTTATATTCATAAAATATAGAGAAATATTCCTTACTTCCTAGTTCCACCTGGATAGTATTATTTTGGCTTCTTTTTTTTTTTTTTTTTTTTTTTGAAATGGAATCTCCCTCTGTCGTCCAGGCTGGAGTGCAGTGGCACAATCTCGGCTCACTACAAGCTCTGCCTCCTGGGTTCACGCCGTTCTCCTGCCTCAGCCTCCCAAGTAGCTGGGACTACAGGCGCCCGCCACCACTCCTGGCTAATTTTTTTGTATTTTTAGTAGAGACGGGGTTTCACGGTGTTAACCAGGATGGTCTCAATCTCCTGCCCTCGTGATCCGCCGTCTCGGCCTCCCAGAGTGCTGGGATTACAGGCGTTCTGTTTTTTTACCCGGCCTGTTCTTTTTTTTTAGATAGTAAAATACACAAGACATAAAATTTACCATGTTAACTCTTTTTAAGTGTACAGTTCAGTGACATTAAAAATACTTTTGGGCCGGGCACAGGGTCTTGCTCTGCTGCCCAGGCTGGAGTGCAGTGGTGTGATCATGGCTCATTGCAGTCCTGACTTCCCAGGCTCAAGTGATCCTCCCACCTCAGCCTCCCAAATACCTGGGACTACAGACACATGCCACCACGCCTGGCTAATTTTTTGTAGAGATGGAGTTTCGCCATGTTGCCTGGGTTGGTCTCAAACTCCTGGTCTCAAGTGATCCACCTATCTTGCCCTCTCAAAGTGCTGGGATTAAAGGTGTGTCATTCTTTTTTAAGACTGAAGAATATTCCACTGCATGTGTACACCATGTTTTGTTTATCCACTTATCTGTCCATAGGCACTTGGGGTGCTTCAGCTCTTGGCCGTTATGAATAAGGCTGTTATGATACAGGTGTATAAATATTTGGTCAAGTCCCTGCTTCTTTTTTTCTTTTTTTTTTGAGACGGAGTCTCGCTCTGTTGCCCAGGCTGGAGTTCAGTGGCACGATCTCAGCTCACTGCAACCTCCGCCTCCCCAGCTCACACCATTTTCCTGCCTCAGCCTCCCGAGTAGCTGGGACTACAGGCTCCCACCACCAGGCCCGGCTAATTTTTTGTATTTTTTAGTAGAGACAGGGTTTCACCGAGTTGGCCAGGATGATCTCAATCTTCTGACCTCATGATCCACCCGCTTTGGCCTCCCAAAGTGCTGGGATTACAGGCGTGAGCCACCGTGCCCGGCCCCTGTTTCCATTTTTTGGGGTGTACACCCAGAGGGGGAATTGTTGCATCACAGGGCACTGGCATTTAAATTCTCACTCTTCTCATTTGGTGTCTCACACCAGTTTGCATTCCTGTTTGAGCGAATTTGTAAATCACATACCATATTTGTTTTCTTCTCTGTTTCACAGATAAATATGCTGAGGCATGTTTTCAAGGAGGGGAGAGAGATTCCTTTTCCTCAGCCGGGCACAGAGCCAACCTGAAGTGTAGCACTGTGGTGACCTGGCGGGATCTGCTCTCCAGTCACTCCCGAGGGCCCTTCTGGGGACAAGGAGACTTTTCTGTGCGGCCTGTTGATTTGAGTAGGTATAGCCTTTCTGCTAGCCACCAGACACAGCTCTATAAGAATTTACTCTCAACTATCCCATGAATAAGAAAACACTTAGGGAGGCTTTTACCTATCCATGAATAGTTACTTCTGTTCAACAGTCCTACAAATGTTTTCGAATGCCTGAAGTGTGCCAGACATGTACTAGGCAACAGGGTTAGAAAAGTGTGGGAAGCTTGGTCCCTGGCCTGGAGAACTTTAGTTCAGTGGGGAGCTTACAGATATTCCCCCCATACCTTTCAGAGCATGGATGTTTACAAAGTTGTCAAAGAGTATTTTGGTGTGCTTTGGCAATGGTGGATCTAGTGTTGTGGGCCTTCTAAAAATATGAAATGATGAATTCACAATTAGTTATAAGGTTTTGAAAGGGATTAATACAAATGGGTGGGGTGGGGTGGATGGGAGGAAGGTCCTGAAATAGTTTTATTAACTTGGTAGTAAATAATTTCTGGATTTGAGGAGTATTAAAAGGATCCTTCACTCCCAAACCTCTCCCTCGATAGTCATATAATGAGATGCCTAAAGTTTCTGTCATTATTTTCATTCCACAGTTAAGAAATCAAAGGGGTTGGTGATATTAGAAATACTTGAGAGCCAGATAAGACTGAAGCCCATACCACCTTCAATTATCCAGGGCTTAAGAAGCCTTTAATGGGTCAGGATTGCAGAATAAACAAGCTGTTAAAAGATACCATGTTCTGGCAGCTGCCTGTAATCCCAGCTACTTGGGAAGCTGAGGCAGGAGAATCACTTGAACCCAGGAGGTGGAGGTTGCAGTGAGCCGAGATCACGCCACCGCACTCCAGCCCGGGCAATAGCGCAAGACTCTGTCTCAACAAACAAACAAACAAAAACAAACAAACAAACAAAACCATGTTCATGGTAGAAAATTTGGAAAAGCAAAAAGAGCAAAACAAACTCACCTATTAATTGTTCTACTTCCCAGAGACAAACATTGCCAACATGTTGGTGAATATCCTTCCAGTCTGTTTTATATCCCTTGAATTGTAACTTGTTTTCTCTCATTTTCAATAACAATAGTCAGGAACATTTCTGGGCCATGCATTTTATAAATGTAGGTTCTAATATTTAAACATTTTTTTTCCTATGAAAAGGAAAAATAAGACAACCAAATATTATTGTTGAACTGATTCTAAAGGCTAGTCAGGTGGCTATTATAAAAAATAAATATGTAATTACTGCCACCTAAAGGAAAATTGTTAAACATACTGAAAAGATATTTTAAGATTATGTTTGATATATGAAGCTATTAAGGGGGCTAATTTTGTGTTTTTAAAAATTTTTCGTCTTTTAACAGGTTGCTTTTATCCTTCGTTTGAAAAATTATTCATTTGAATCAATAATTACTATATTATTCATGAATAATATTAATAGTGAATATTCATGTATTTATTATATAAGTAATATATTCACTAGCATAAAATTTTTAAGTGACAAAATTATATACAGTGAAGAGTAGGTCCCTGTATTACTTCATTTGTGTTGCTATACAAGAATACCTAAGGCTGGGTAATTTATAAAGAACAGAGGTTTATTTGGTTCATGGTTCTCAGGCTGTACATGAAGCATAGTGCTGGCATCTGCTTCTCGTGAGGCCTCAGGAAGCTTCCACTCATGAAAGAAGGCAAAGAGGGAGCTGGTATGTTACATGGCAAGAGAGAGAGCAGGAGAGAGAGATAGAGAGAGGAGGTGCCAATCTCCTTTAAACAACCAGCTCTCATGTGAATGAACAGAGCGTGAACGGAGCAAGAACTTCCTCATTACCATGAGGATGGCAAGGGGGATCTGCCCCCATGACCCAAACACCTCCCACCAGGTCCCACCTCCAACAGTGGGGAGTTCTCTCTCTCTCTCTCTGTCTCTGTCTCTCTCTCTCTCTCTTTCTTTCTTTCAACAGAGTCTCACTCTGTTGCCCAGGCTGAGTGCAGTGGCGTGATCTGGGCTCACTGCAACCTCAGCTTCCTGGGTTCAAGTGATTCTCCTGCCTCAGTCTCCCTAGTAGCTGGGATTACAGGCACCCGTAGTTCGCCTAGCTGATTTTTGTATTTTTAGTAGAAACAGAGTTTTACCATGTTGGTCAGGCTGGTCTCAAACTCCTGACCTTGTGATCCGCCCGCCTCGGCCTCCCAAAGTGCTGGGATTACAAACGTGAGCCACCGTGCCCGGCCCTGGGGAGCATATTCAACATGAGGTTTGGAGAGGGCAAACATCCAAACTACATCAATTCCCTATCTATCTCTGCCCTCTTAACCATAATTCCCCTCCACAAAGTCGATTGCTACAGGCAGTTTCTTGTGTATTTTTTCAGATAGTCTGTATATACATAAGACTCAATGTTTGTGAATGTGTATGTGTATATTGATACATGCATTAAAATACTCACAGGTGGTAGTATATGGACCCATTAGTCTCCACTTTGTTTCTGTTTGTGTATTTTGTCTTGTTTTATTTTCAGTATCCAGAGATCACGTCAGCATATATTGGGGATGGCTTTAAAACAAATGCGGGCTGGGCGCGGTGGCTTATGTCTGTAATCCCAGCACTTTGGGAGGCCAAGGCAGGTGGATCACTTGAGGTCAGGAGTTTGAGACCACCCTGACCTACATGGTGAAACCCCTTCTCTACTAAAAATACAAAAACTAGCTGGGCATGGTGGCTTGCGCCTGTAGTCCCAGCTACTTGGGAGGCTAAGGCAGGAGAATGGCTTGAACCCAGGAGGCAGAGGTTGCAGTGAGCCGAGATTGTGCCATTGCACTCCAGCCTGGGCAACAGAGCAATGCCTTGTCTCAAAAAAAAAAAAAAAAAATTAAAATAGGCTGGGTACGGTGGCTCACACCTGTAATTCCAGCACTTTCGGAGGCTGAGGCGGGTGGATGAATTGAGGTCAGGAGTTCGAGACCAGCCTGACCAACATGGTGAAACCCTGTCTCTACTAAAAATACAAATATTACCCAGGTGTGGTGGCACGTGCCTATAATCCCAGCTACTCGGGAGGCTGAGGCAGGAGATTTGCTTGAATTCTGGAGGCGGAGGTTGCAGTGAGCTGAGATCACATCTCTGCACTGGGCGACAGAGTGAGACTCCATCTCAAAAACACCCCACAAAAACTGTATTTCATTCAAACATAATCTGTTTTAGAGTCTCCAATTCATAGATATTTAAGTCATCTCTGTTTTTGCTATTTCTTATTCAATGATGGAAATCTTTGTACATAAATTGTTGTACATAAATCTTTGTACATAAATCTTTGCATATGTGTCAAAAATATGTATAGAGTATGATCCTAGGAAGGAAATTGTTGAAGCCTTTGATTTCTTATCCAACTCTAACCCTTCCTATTTCCCTCTCTTCATTTTTCCAATACAGTTATATAAATTGCTTACTTGTCCAGGCGCAGTGGCTCATGCCTGTAATCCCAGCACTTTGGGAGGCCGAGGTGGGCGGATCACGAGGTCAGGAGATCAAGACCATCCTGGCTAACGTGGTGAAACCCTGTCTCTACTAAAAATACAAAAATTAGCTGGGCATGGTGGCATGCACCTGTAGTCCCAGCCACCCAGGGGACTGAGGCAGGAGAATTGCTTGAACCCAGGAGGCGGAGGTTGCAGTGAGCCGAGATTGTGCCACTGCACTCCAGCCTGGGCAACAGAGTGAGACTCCATCTCAAAAAAAAAAAAAAAAACAACTTAGTTAAGCCAAAAGTCAGTGTTTACATTTTTGTCACTATTAAATATTATTCACCACTGAACCAAATAGGATCTTGTCATCATATCTTCTTTCTTGTATAACCTTCTGCTTTTTCTGACATTAGTAATTGCTAATCCCCTTCATCACTGGCCAAATTGCTTAGTTTTCTACATACAATTACTATTTTTTTCTGTTCAAAGGATACTGGAGATTTGGCAAACTTTTGGTAATCCTTTTCCTCCAAATTCCCAAACACATTAAATAATTATTAAAGGTTGGGCATGGTGGCTTATGCCTGTAATCCCAGCACATTGGGAGGCCAAGGCAAGAGGACTGCATGAAGCCAGGAGTTCTAGAGCAGCGTGGGCAACATAAGGAGACCCCTCTACAAAAAATAAAAGCAAAAATAAGTTGGGTGTGGTGGTATGTGCCTCTAGTCCTAGTTACCTGGGAGGCTGAGGTGGGGGGATCACTTGAGCCCATGAGTTCCAGCCCATAGCAGTGGGCTATGATTGTGCCACTGCACCTCAGCATGGGTTGACAGAGACCTTGTCTCTAAAAATATATTATTATTATAATAATAATTAACAGTTATGTTTTTCTCCCTAGATAGCTCCCTTTTGTTCTTTCACAGCCTTCTGCCTTTGGGATGGCTGCTTGCTAGGTGTAATAGATGTTTTATTAGCAAGATATTTTCTCTCAGAATTTTGAGGGCATTGCCCTGTTGTCTTCTGGCATTTTGTATTGCTATTGAAAAGGCTGATGCCAGTCAGATTGCTGATCCATAAGGCAATATGTGACCTGGTTTTTCATTCTGGAAGTTTTTAGTATCTTTTCTTTATTTCCAGTATTCTAAAATTTTAAAATTAATTGCCTTAGAGAGTGTGGCAGAGACGGGTATTAGACCATCAAAAAAATGTCCTTCTTCCTTGGTGCAGAGTGGTTTAGAGGAAGCCTGTGCCTGGCACTGCTCAGCATTTCCCAGCCCCATTGCATTCAGGAAGAACCTTGTGACTGGTTCTTTCTAACAGAAGGAGTGTGAGCTGAACTGATGTGTGTCAGCTGAGGTGGTGGTGGTGGGGTCAAGGGCAGGGACTGGAGTGGAGGGCATGACAAGAAGGGATGCAGCTAGTTCAGGAAGACCAGTGTCAGAGGAGTCAGGGCCCAGGGATCCAAGGTCCATGTTAATGTTTCCACTCTATCCCCAGTGCCAGCCCTGCACCCCACTCCTGCCCCTGCTTGGTGCTCAATGACCCTGTGTCTGGCTTCTCTGGGGAGAACTGACTCTGTCTTATTCACTTCCCTTTCTCCAGGCTCTCAGGTAATTTTCTCTACTCTGATAAGTAAGTTGCTTCTCATTCTTTCCTTTTCCATCTTCCAAACACTTATTGAAATCCTTTTCTGTTATTCTCTTTATCTTTATGAATTTTATCGTTTTACTTCCCTTAACCGTCATTGTGATGGCTTGGGGAGTGTATTAGGTTCCAAGGGCTGCTGTGACACATTACCACAAAATTAGGGGCTTAACACAACAGAAATTTATTCTTTCACAGTTCTGGGGTCCAGAAATCTAAACTCAGTTTCATTAGGCCTAAATCAAGGTGTTGGCAGGGCCTCTTTCGGCTTCTGGTGGCTGCTGGCATTCCTTGGCTTGTGACTCCATCACTCCAGTTTCTGCATGATCACAATTTCCTCCTCCTCTTCTGTTGGTACCAAATCTCCTTCAGCCTCTCTCCTATAAGGACACTTGTGATTGTATTTAGGGCCCACCCAGATAATTCAGGATAACCATCCAAAGATCCTTGACTTAATTACATCTGCCACGTACTTGCCACATAAAGTAACATTCACAGATTCTGGAGATTAGGATGTAGACACATCTTTGGGAGCCATTATTTAGCCTACGACAGGGAGAGAAGATGAAAGCATATGGTCAGTCTACAATATTTAATGGGGGTTCTTTCCGTGTTTTCCTCTAGTGCCTTGCAATTTCCTTTTAGCATTTCAATCTTTGATCTAATTGGAATCTATTTCAGAATGGAGCTTCCTTGTTATCCCAAATGCCAATTTTTAATTTTATTATTTTATTTTATTTTTTTGAGATGGAATCTTGCTCTGTCACCCAGGCTGGGGTACGGTGGCACAATCTCAGCTCACTGCAACATCCACTTCCCGGGTTCAAGTGATTCTCCTGCCTTAGCCTCCTGAGTAGCGGAGATTACAGATGCCCACATCCAAGGTGGCTAATTTTTTTTTCTTTTTTGTATTTTCAGTAGAGATGGGGTTTTGCCATGTTGGCCAGGCTGGTCTTGAATTCCTGACCTCAAGTGATCCGCCCATCTCGGCCTCCCAAAGTGCTGGGAGTACAGACATGAGCCACCATGCCCGGTTGCCAATTTTAAAATATTTTGTCTTTTCTCCCTGGATATGAAATAAAAGTGATTAGGTCTTAAGATAAAAAAATTAAAACACATTTATTTTCCTGTAACATGCAAAAATGCAAAAAAAAAAAAAAAGAAAGTAAAATAAAATAGATATAATTTTGGAGAAATTGCCTTTGCTCACTGTGGATTCTGGAGGGTGTGAGTGATGGACAGGTCCATCTGTGCATGGAGAATGGAAAGCCCCTTCTCCAGGATCACCCTTTACCTTAGGAGAACACCTCAGCTCCAGGCACCAAGCAGGAGTATCATAGGCACTTAGCTTTACTCCTATAGACAAATAAGAGTGGGGAGACTATGTGGTAAGGAATGATACCCTTACACTCTTTCCAGCCCTTCCCAGTCTTACAAGGAGTGACACACTTGGTGGCCTTCAAGCCTGTCACTGCAATTCATGCAGTGGGTGGTAAGAGGACAAAGCACGCTAGGTCCCTGATCCGACCTCCCAGGGATGACAGGTCTGGCTACTCCTCAAACTGAACCTGAAAGAATGCAAATGGTTCAAGTTTTCACCCTGATTCTGGCACACCCCGAGGCAAAAATAGCCATTTGCCTTCATACGAGCTTCTGTGTAGGCTGTGAATAAGGAGGTTTCTATCTCAGCTTTCTTTTTGCTCATTTAAAGACAACTGAGAGTACGACAGGGTAATTGTTTTGTTTTAAAGCACTGTAATTTAGTTCCTTTCTGGACCTTCTATGTATGAGTCATTTTCTGTAGCAGTACTAAGAGATGCAAATAGAAAAACATTATTTCTGAAAGCTTGAGATTTCAAGCTGGGCCTTTTATTCACATTCTCTTGCTAGTTTTAGTTTTACTTGTGACATTCATGTTATTAGAAGAATGACACAATTTCAATCACATTTTTGTCCCATGTACTAATGTAGCAAACAATTTCACAACCTTCCCTTTCTTTTACATGTGAGTCATTATCATTTGGTTTTGTTCTCCTTTACTCCTGAACTCACTATCTCCTGATCACATGTATACACATTTCTCTGATATCCTAGATCTTTATGGGTGATCAAGATTTTTGTATATTCTGTTTTGTTGCTTTCATACCCGCTAGTATCCTTTTTAAGTTTGACTCTTTTATACTTTGGGAGATGCCAAACAAATACTTCAGGAGAAAGGAGGCAGTGTGTTGAAAGGAAGTTGACAAAGCAAGAAGAAAAGAAGAAGAAGATATAAGGAGGAAACGTAGTGGCTCTTAAACAAAGATCTTGCATCTTTTCCTTCTTTAATTTTTTTTTTTTTTTTTTTTTTTTTTGGTTTGAGACAGAGTGTCACTCTGTCATCCAGGCTGGAGTACGGTGGTGCAACCTTGGCTCACTGCAACCTCCACCTGCTGGGTTCAAGCGATTCTCCTGCTTCAGCCTCCTGAGTAGCTGGGACTACAGGCGCAGGTTACCACGCCTGGCTAATTTTTGTATTTTTAGTGGAGGTGGGTTTCACCATGTGGGCCAGGCTGGTCTCGAACTCCTGACCTCAAATGATCCACCCACCTCGGCCTCCCAAAGTGCTGGGATTACAAAACAGAATTGCTTGAACCCAGGAGGGAGAGGTTGCAGTGAGCTGAGATGGCGCCACTGCACTCTAGCCTGGGCAACAGAGCGAGACTCCATCTCAAAAACAAACAAACAAACAAACCAAACCCAACTTTGAACCCAGAATCAGAAAGCAGATTTAATTTGGAACTCTATAGAATGTCTGCACATGAACAGATGCCATAGCCGTAACAAAAATTAGGGCCACAGCCACTTTTCTTGCATCTCCTCCTTCCTCCTTTTTTCTTTGGCTTTCTTGTATAAACCTTAGCATAAGGCATGGTTGCTTGGTTTACAAAATATTTGTTTATGAAAGTTGCAAAGGTGAGAAGAGGGATTTCAGAATCAGAAAGACTGGGTTTCAAATTTTGGCTTTGCTCTGTGACCTTTGGCAAATTATATAACTTCATTAAGCTTCAGCTTTTCCCTAGTAAATATTTGACTGATGAGAGGTAAATGAGAAAATGTGTATAAAAATCTTAGTATAGTGCTTAGCATTTCAAGCAACCCAGAATATCAACTAATTTGTTAAATGAATATTTCTTGAATATTTACTGTATGCTGAACTGTCTGCCAGGTTGAGGCTGCTGTGGTGAATTGGACAGGAAAGATTCCTGGCCTTGTGGAGCTTGCATTCTGGTGGGAAAAACAGACAATAAACATGTAAACAAATCAATAAAATAACCAGATGGTGAGAAGCCCTGAAAGAAATAAAAAAAAAAGTGTGTTATTAAGAACAGCAGGGAGGATCTGTGTCCTATGCTGGGGAAGTCAGGGAAGATTTCACAGCAGCCTGAAGAATGAGAAAGAGCCAGCTGTACTATGAGCTGTTTAAGACAGAGGAAATTGGGTCACTGGCTTAGAGAGAGATTGGGTTCTACTCACTGTCAGAGGCCAGCAGTGCAAGGTTCCTCCTTATCTTCTTATGGCCTGTGTCCTTCTATAGCCCTGGCCACTGAGAATTGGCTCAGACTGTGACTGTGACTTGCTGTCCTCAACTTCCTTATCCAACTGAAATTGGATGGTCCATCATAGTCACCCTCTTGAATAGATCCCAAACTCCCTTGTCCTTTTAATTGTACTTTAAACTCACTTGGCCAAACTCCAACCCTGGTTAAATCCAGCTCTCTGCCCTACTCCATGTCTTTGCCCATTGAGTATGGTGGAAGAATAGCCCACAATCTCATTGGCTGGTTCTATGGTCTGAATGTTGGTATGCTTTCCAAAATCATAGGCTGAAACTTAATCCTCAATGTCATAGCATGGAGGTGGAGACTTTGGGGGAAGTGATTAAGTCATGAAGACTGCCTTCATAAATGGGATAATGTAAAGGAGATTAAAAGGAGGCTGTTTGCTCCCTTCTACCATGTGAGAATGCAGCAAGAGGTACCATCTCTGTGCAATGAGCCCTTACCAGACATTGAACCTGCTGGCACTTTATCTTGGACTTCCCAGCCTCCAGAACTGTGAGCAATACATTTCTGTTGTTTATAAATTACCCAGTGTAAGATACTTTGTTATAGCAGCACAAATGGACTAAGACTAAGGACCTCAGTTCCACTTTAAATTCGCCGAGGTCGTTATGCTACCAAGCAATCTTATGAGATTCCCCTGTTCCCTCTCTCTTCTACTCTCCCTACTCCAGGTTCATGAAGAGAGGGGTTGGAGTATCATGATCTCTACTCCCCCTCCACCAGGTAGATAAGAGAGGGGCAGCTCTGTGAACCCAAGCTTGCCTAGCCCCAGCTCCCCTTCCTGCCACTCTCTCTACTCAGATCCTGGTCATTCCATTCTTCAAAGCTCAGCTATTCTCTCTCTTGAAAAGTGCCCTTTTTCCATCAAACACATAAAACCTGTTCAAAGAACTAAGGCAGCAGGTGATTCTTGGCATCCAACAGGAGCTTACAACAAAGGGTGGGAGTATGTAAGACAGGATCCTTTTTTTATCAGTTGCCCCACTAACCTTGGGCAAATCACAAATTTCCATCTCTGAGATGTGCTCTGATGATGATGTGTGGGAGAGCATTTTAAAAAGTAGTAGAGCGCTAAGCACATCCACAAACTATAATCCAATTCAATAAATTATATCACATCTTGATAATCAAATGTTGCAGAAATTTTAATTACTCCATGTATTATTGTAATAATTACTCTATGTATTATTAATTACTCCATGTATAATTAATAAGTCATGGGTATTTAGGGAATTACAAGCCTTTTAAATGTATTTTTTCCTCTTTCCCTCAAATACATACACACCATAAAATCACAGCCTTATGGCTTTAATTTTAATATACTTGTTAACCTTTTATTTCTAATCCAATGAGTATCACAAATCCACCTCCAACCCACCTTAATTCCTAAAGTTTTGTATGTTTGCAAAAACAAACTCTTGGCATTCGGATTAAAATCAAATCTGTTGTTCTTTCCATGGCACATTGCTTTGTCCTGCTGGTTACTTTATTAGTTCATTTCAGGGTCCTTCCGCTGGGAGTTCTCACTCAGACTGGCTGGGGAGAACTCTGGCAGGCTGCCTAATGGACTCTTAGGGTGTGGAATCCACAGTGAATTCCCCGTTCAAATCTTCCTCTGAGAAATTTTGATACTTGCCAGACTGTTTCCTTTCTACTAGGGCTCCATCTACTGGACAAAAATGACCAGTAGTGCCTGCGCTTCTCCATTATGGCTTTGAAATTTTCAAATTAGGTGGAAATCTAATACACCTTCTCTTTGTTAAAAGAAACACTTTAGACAAATTAAATTTAACAGTGTTTGAGCAGAGAATGATACAATAGTTGGGCTGCCCCCAGAACCAGAACAGGTTCAGAGCAAACCCGGGGCTACTACGTGGTTGAATAACATTTATGGAGAAAGGAAAGTGACGGACTAAAGACAGAAGTGAGGTACAGAAACAGCTGGATTGGTGACAGCTGGGTGTTTGCCTTATACAAACAGTTGGCCACCTGTGATTGGCTGAAACTCAGCTGCTGTGATTGGCTGAGCCTCAGCTGCTTGTCACAAGAGCAGGTCATAGTCTGTTTGCACATTCAGTTAGGTTACAGTTCACTATGTATGGAGAAACCTTTAGGCTGAACTTAAAATATGTAAGGAAGTAGCTTTAGGCTAAACTTAATTTAACATTTAAATTTAATTTTACACATTAAAATTATTGTCCTAGGTTGTTCATGCTGTTGCAACAAAATACCGTAAACTGGGTAGCTAATACACAACAGAAACTTATTTCTCACAGTTTTGAAGTCTGAGAAGTCCAAGATCAAGGTGCCAGCAGATCTGGTGTCTGGTGAGAGCCAGCTTTCTCATAGAGCATGACTTCTTGCTGTGTCCTCACTTGGTGGAAGGGGCAGAGGCCCTTTTAAAAGGGCACTTAGTTGATTCATAGGACTCTGCCCTCATGCCCTAGGCCTCCAAAGGCCTGCTTTCTAAATACCATCCTCACCTTGGGGGTTAGAATTTCAACATACGAATTAGCGGGGGACACAAACATTCAGACCACAGCAATTATACTTAATTCTGCCTTTTCAAGGTCTCTGCTCTATTCCTGGACACAAAGAGTTTAAATGTTTTTTGGTCCTACCTCCTGGATACATTTTCTTTTCTTTTTTTGAGACAAGTTCTCACTCTGTTGGCCAGGCTGGTGTGCAATGGTGTGATCTTGACTTACTGTGACCTCTGCCTCCCAGGCTCAAGTGATCCTCCCACTTCAGCCTCCCAGTAGCTGCAACTACTGCCACCATGCCTGGATAATTTTTATATTTTTTTTTCTAGAGATAGGGCTTAGCAATGTTGCCCAGGCTGGTCTTAAACTCTTGGCCGCAAGCAATCTGCCCACTTGGACCAAAGTGCTGGGATAACAGGTGTGAGCCACCACGCCTGGCCCTGGACACATTTTGCTTTTTGGAGGAAAGTTCTAGTGTCCTTTAATAGTAATTAATTATTTGGACTAAAGACTTTTGGAAGCTACAGACTTTCATTCATGTTACAGGTCCTAAATTGCTGTTTTCAGTGTGCAAAGGTTGCCTTTCTGAAGAACCTTCCATTAATAATTTTTACTTCTGTTAGGATCACATGGACTGACTTGAGTCTTGGGTTTTTTTTTTTTTTTTTTTTTTTTGAGACAGTCTCGCTTTGTTGCCCAGGTTGGAGTGCAACGATGCGATCTCAGCTCACTACAACCTCTACCTCCTGGGTTCAAGCGATTCTCCTGCCTCAGCCTCCTGAGTAGCTGGGACTACAGGTGCGCACCACCACGCCCTGTAGTTTTTTTTTTTTTTTTTTTTTTGTATTTTTTAGTAGAGTCGGGGTTTCACCATGTTAACCAAGATGGTCTCGATCTCTTGACCTCGTGATCAGCCCGCCTTGGCCTCCAAAGTGCTGGGTGGTTCTAAGTGAACACATTTCTTATATAGTTTTCCAGGCCCTTTACCCTCCTTCTCTCAGGGAAATCTGGTCCAAGATATTATCTGCAAATTTCTTTTGTTTTTTTTTTTTTTGAGACAGAGTCTCACTCTGTCACCCAGGCTGGAGTGCAGTGGTGTGATCTCGGCTCACTGCAACCTCTTCCTCCCAGGTTCAAGAGATTCTCCTATCTCAGACTCCTGAGTAAGTGGGACTACAGGCAAGTATCACTGTGCCTGGCTAATTTTTGTATTTTTAGTAGAGACAGGGTTTCACCATGTTGGTCAGGCTGGTCTTGAATTCCTGACCTCAGGTGATCCACCCGCCTCAGCCTCCCAAAGTGCCGGGATTACAGATGTGAGCCACTGCGCCCGGCCTATCTATAACTTTCTAACAGTTGGAATTGCATTTTTGGCTGTTTCACTTTACTTCTACGCTCAGGTTTGATGAAAGAAATAATGTATACAGTGGTCCATTTCCAAGACAAAGTGCCTTGAATCGGCTTCAGTCAGCAAACTACAGAAGAAACAGGATATACCAGGCCCCTGCTTGGATACCCTGTCCCCTCCCACCACCTTAGTTGCCCTCACCTGAACCAAAGAAGTTTAAGATGAAAGTTTACCAGCCTGCAAAATAGCTCACTTTGTCTGTTCTTATCAGCCTGCCCAGCTATTTAGGTCATAAGTCAAATTCTTGAAGAGTCCTTAAGTTAAGTAGGATTGCAATGTATTGTGGCCTACAACAAAATGCAGCAGGACAACCCTGAAGAAGACACCCAAAGCCCCTACCCAACCACCATTCGGTGACGTCTGGGAAGATTGTGACCCCATAGTACTCAGCCTATGAGGAACTGGGGGAGGGACCTGTGCATGAGGGCATAAATTGCTTGTTGAAACCGTGCTGGGTGTGCCTGCCTATCAAACACTCAGTCTTGCTAGACTGTCCTTAGAAGTCTCACTTTCCCTGTTCTCCAGGTCTTTGAGTCCATTCTTTGATTTGAATGGGTGAGTTTGTTTCTCACATTTGAGGATGAGTTTCTTCAGTTCATTATTTTTTTCAGTGAATATTTATTGAATGCCTCCTATGAGCAAAACACTGGTTTAGGCATCAGGAGTGTATTAAAGTTGCTGCCCTCCTGAAGAGTATATTCTGGAAGGTAGGAGGAAGTGTTGAAATGAGGACAGACAATAAATAAGTAAACACATAGAATGCGAGATGGTCGATTGGTGCAAGACTCTATAGTATAGAGAATAGTAAAGCAGGGAAAAGGAGATGGAGAGTAGGGGGTGGGCAAAAAAATTATATGGTTTGCAAAAGCTTCACTAATAAAGTGACATTTGAAAGACACCCAAAGAAAATGAGAGAATGGGGCATGTGGCTGTCTGGGGGAAAAACACTGTAGGCAAAGGGAGGAGTAAATGAAAAAGCCCTGAGGTAAAGGCGTGTGTGGCTGGAAAGGAATTGAAGGATAGGAAATAAGATCAGATAGGCAGGAAGCAGCAGATCATGTGGGGCCTTGTAAGCCACTGTAAAGATTTTACCTCTGCACTGAATAAGATACGAAGCCATTTGAGTACTTTGAGCAGAGGAGTGACATTTATAGTAAGATTGTTCTGGCTATTATATTGAGAATGGACAACAAGAAGAGCAAATGCAGAGGCACAGAGAGAAAACCTATGGCTACTGGAACAATCCAGGCAAGAAAGTATGGGGGCTTGGACCAGAGTGGTAGAAGATGGAAGATAAGAAGCGATCTGACTTTAATAGATCCTCAGGATTAAACTGACAGAATTTGCTTATGGATTGATTGGATGTGAGATGAGAGATGAAGAGAGGCTGTAAGCATGACTGCAAGGTTTTTGGCTTAAGAAAACTACAGGGTAGAGTTATGATTAGTTGAGATGGAGAAGACAATGAGAGGAGAGAGTTTTTTTTTTTTTCAAGGGAAGTAATGCAGAAATCAATATATCCGTTTTGCATGTGTTAATCTGAGAGTCCTGTTAGACATCCAAGTAAAGATGTTGAGTAGGTAGTTGGAAAATCAGATTTGGAATTCAGGATAGAGGCCTGAGCTGGAGGTATAAACACATGCTTCAGCAACAGATGATATTTAGATATATTTTAAAGCCAGGAACCTACATTAGATTTCCAAACAGAAACAGGGGAAAATAAAAGTTTGAGGATTGATCCCTGAGGCACTGCAACAGTTAGAATTGGGAACATGAGGATAAACCAGCAAAAGAGACTGAGAAAAGACCCCAAGATAGGGGCAGAACCAAGAATGCTGTCCTCCAAGACAACGGAAGGAAGCATTTGCCACATGACAAATGATGCGGGTGGGATCAAGTAAGACAAGGACAGAAAATAGACCATGACATTTAGCTATGTGGAAATCATTGATGACATAGATTAGAGCAATTTCAGTGAAGTGATGAAGTGAAAGTTTAAATTTGATGGTTTAAGGAAAGGATGGGAGGATAGAAATGGAAGATAGTGTATACATTGGTCGTCTCTTAAAAATAATAATCCAAACTGGAAACAACTCAACTATCCCATCAACAGGTGAATACATAACCAAATTGTGTATAAAGAGTATAAAGAGATAATGAGAGGAGTGACAGAGAAGATGGACTATCTGTAACTCTTGTTTGTTTTTTTGTTTCGAGACAGGCTCTTGCTCTGTCACCCATGCTGGAGTGCAGTGGTGTGATCTTGACTCACTGCAACCTCCACTTCCTGGGCTGAAGGGATCCTCCCACTTCAGCCTCCAGAGTAGCTGGGTCTACAGTCATGAGCCACTTTGTATTTTTTTGTAGAAATGGGGTTTCACCATATTGCCCAGGCTGGTGTTGAACTCCTGAGCTGTGATCTGCCCACTTCAGCCTCCCAACCCAGCCAAGTATCTGTAACTCTTGAGGAATTTTTCTGTAAAGAGGGACAGAAAAATGAAACAGTAGCTGGAGAACAAGGTGACATCAAGAAAATCAACTTCATTGAGGCATAATTTACGTACAGTAAAATGTTCATATTTTAATTGCACCTTTCTATGAGTTTTGACAAAAGTACGCATACACCTTTAGTAGCCACTGCCACAGTCAATATATAGAATATTTCCATCATGTCTGTACTCTTGCACCCTTACCCACAGGCAATCACTGATCAGCTTTAGTTTTCTGCTAGTTCTAGGATTAATATGATTGAATCATACAGTATGTAATCTTTTTATTTTAATTAATTTTAAGTTTTTATTTTTAGTAGAGATGATGTCTTGCCACATTGCCCAGGCTGGTCTCAAACTCCAGGCCTAAAGGGATCTTCTGACTTTGGCCTCCCAAAGTGCTGAGATTATAGGTATGAACCATCACGCTCGGCCTATATGCAATCTTTTCTGTCTGGTTTCTTTTGCTTAGCATAATGTTTTTGAAATTTGTTCCTGTTGTTTTTATTAGCAGCTTATTCCTTTCTCTTGCTGACTTGTATTCTATTTTACAGACGTGCATAATTTGGTTATATATTCACCTGTTGATGAGACAGTTGGGTTGTTTCTAGTTTGGACTATTACTAGTAAAGCCATGACAACAATCGTGTGCAAATCTTTTTAAGGATAGCATTTCATTTCTCTTGACTGTGTCATTCTGGGTCACGTAATATATATTAACTGTATATTTAACTTTATAGGAGACTGCTGGAATACCTTCTCAAGTGAGTGTACCATTTCACATTCTTAACAGTTGCCTCACATCATTTCCAACACTTCATATTGTCAGTCTTTTACATTTTAGCCATTCAAATGAATGTATAGTAGTATATATTTTTGTGGTTTGAATTCCTTGATGAGTTAGTTATAATGGTGAGTATCTTTTCAAGTGCTTACTCGCAAATCCTATTAATTCTTTTGCAAGGTATTTGTTCAGAAGGTTTTTGCCCATTTTAAGTTGGGTTGTTTTTCTTGTTATCAAATTGTAAGAGTTCTTTATATTCTGGATACAAGTCCTTTGTTAGATATATGTGTGGTGAATATTTTCTCCCAGTCTATGGCTTGTCTTTTTTTATTTTCTTATCAATGTCTTTCAAAGAGCAGCAGTTTTAATTAGAAAAAAGTCCAACTTATCAATTTTTTTCTTTTTTTTTACTTTTTATTTATTTACTTTTTATTATACTTTAAGTTCTGTCACATATGGATTCATGTGCCATGTTGGTGTGCGGCACCCATTAACTGGTCATTTACATTAGGTATATCTCCTAATGCTATCCCTCCCCCCTCCCCAAACCCCACAACAGGCCCTGGTGAGTGATGTCCCCCTTCCTGTGTCCAAGTGTTCTCACTGTTCAATTCCCACCTATGAGTGAGAACATGCGATGTTTGGTTTTTTTGTCCTTGCAATAGTTTGCTGAGAATGATGGTTTCCAGCTTCCTCCGTGTCCCTACAAAGGACATGAACTCATCCTTTTTTAAGGCTGCATAGTATTCCATGGTGTATATGTGCCACATTTTCTTAATCCAGTCTATCACTGTTGGACATTTGGGTTGGTTCCAGGTCTTTACTATTGTGAATAGTGCTGCAATAAACATACGTGTGCATGTGTCTTTATAGCAGCATGATTTATAATCCTTTGGGTATATACCCAGTAATGGGATGGCTGGGTCAAATGGTATTTCTAGTTCTAGATCCCTGAGGAATCACCACACTGTCTTCCACAATGGTTGAACCAGTTTACAGTCCCACCAACAGTATAAAAGTGTTCCTATTTCTCCACATCCTCTCCAGCACCTGTTGTTTCCTGACTTTTTAATGATCGCCATTCTAACTGGTGTGAGATGGTATCTGATTGTGGTTTTGATTTGCATTTCTCTGATGGCCAGTGATGATGAGCATTTTTTCATGTGTCTGTTGGCTGCATAGATGTCTTCTTTTGAGAAGTGTTTGTTCATATCCTTCGCCCACTTGTTGATGGGGTTGTTTGTTTTTTTCTTGTAAATTTGTTTGAGTTCATTGTAGATTCTGGATATTAGCCCTTGGTCAGATGAGTAGGTTGCAAAAATGTTCTCCCATTCTGTAGGTTGCCTGTTCACTCTGATGGTAGTTTCTTTTGCTGTGCAGAAGCTCTTTTGTTTAATTAGATCCCATTTGTCAATTTTGGCTTTTGTTGCCATTGCTTTTGGTGTTTTAGACATGAAGTCCTTGCCTATGCCTATGTCCTGAATGGTATTGCCTAGGTTTTCTTCTAGGGTTTTTATAGTTTTAGGTCTAACATGTAAGTCTTTAATCCATCTTGAATTAATTTTTGTATAAGGTGTGAGGAAGGGATCCAGTTTCAGCTTTCTGCATGTGGCTAGCCAGTTTTCCCAGCACCATTTGTTAAATAGGGAATCCTTTCCCCATTTCTTGTTTTTGTCAGGTTTGTCAAAGATCAGATAGCTGTAGATGTGTGGTATTATTTCTGAGTGCTCTGTTCTATTCCATTGGTCTATATCTCTGTTTTCGTACCAGTACCTTGTTGTTTTGGCTACTGTTGCCTTGTAGTATAGTTCGAAGTCAGATAGCATGATGCCTCCAGCTTTGTTCTTTTGGCTTAGGATTGACTTGGCAATGCGGGCTCTTTTTTGGTTGCATATGAACTTTAAAGTAGTTTTTTCCAATTCTGTGAAGAAAGTCATTGGTAGCTTGATGGGGGTGGCATTGAATCTATAAATTACCTTGGGCAGTATGGCCATTTTCACGATATTGATTCTTCCTATCCATGAGCATGGAATGTTCTTCCATTTATTTGTATACTTTTTTATTTCATTGAGCAGTCGTTTGTAGTTCTCCTTGAAGAGGTCCTTCACATCCACTGTAAGCTGGATTCCTAGGTATTTTATTCTCTTTGAAGCAATTGTGAATGGGAGTTCACTCATGATTTGGCTCTCTGTTTGTCTGTTATTGGTGTATAAGAATGCTTGTGATTTTTGCACATTGATTTTGTATCTTGAGACTTTGCTGAAGTTGCTTATCAGCTTAAGGAGATTTTGGGCTGAGACGATGGGGTTTTCTAGATATACAATCATGTCATCTGCAAACAGGGACAATTTGACTTTCTCTTTTCCTAATTGAATAGCCTTTATTTCTTTCTCCTGCCTGATTGCCCTGGCCAGAACTTCCAACACTATGTTGAATAGGAGTGGTGAGAGACGGCACCCCTGTCTTGTGCCAGTTTTCAAAGGGAATGCTTCCAGTTTTTGCCCATTCAGTATGATATTGGCTGTGGGTTTGTCATAGATAGCTCTTATTATTTTGAGATACGTCCCATCAATACCTAATTTATTGAGAGTTTTTAGCATGAAGGACTGTTGAATTTTGTCAAAGGCCTGTTCTGCATCTATTGAGATAATCATGTGGTTTTTGTCATTGGTTCTGTTTATATGCTGGATTACCTTTATTGATTTGCATATGTTGAACCAGCCTTGCATCCCAGGGATGAAGCCCACTTGATCATGGTGGATAAGCTTTTTGATGTGCTGCTGGATTCGGTTTGCCAGTATTTTATTGAGGATTTTTACATCGATGTTCATCAGGGATATTGGTCTAAAATTCTCTTTTTTTGTTGTGTCTCTGCCAGGCTTTGGTATTAGGATGATGCTGGCCTCATAAAATGAGTTAGGGAGGATTCCCTCTTTTTCTATTGATTGGAATAGTTTCAGAAGGAATTGTACCAGCTCCTCCTTGTACCTCTGGTAGAATTCAGCTGTAAATCCATCTGGTCCTGGACTTTTTTTGGTTGGTAAGCTATTAATTATTGCCTCAGTTTCAGAGGCTGTTATTGGTCTATTCAGAGATTCAACTTCTTCCTGGTTTAGTCTTGGGAGAGTGTATGTGTCCAGGAATTTATCCATTTCTTCTAGATTTTCTAGTTTATTTGCATAGAGGTGTTTATAGCATTCTCTGATGGTAGTTTGTATTTCTGTGGGATCAGTGGTGATATCCCCCTTATCTTTTTTTATGGTGTCTGTTTGATTCTTCTCTCTTTTCTTCTTTGTTAGTCTTGCTAGCGGTCTCTCAATTTTGTTGATCTCTTCAGAAAACCAGCTCCTGGATTCATTGATTTTTTGAAGCGTTTTTTGTGTCTCTATTTCCTTCAGTTCTGCTCTGATCTTAGTTATTTCTTGCCTTCTGCTAGCTTTTGAAAATGTTTGCTCTTGCTTCTCTAGTTCTTTTAATTGTGATGTTAAGGTGTCAATTTTAGATCTTTTCTGCTTTCTCTTGTGGGCATTTAGTGCTATAAATTTCCCTCTACACACTGCTCTGAATGTGTCCCAGAGATTCTGTTATGTTGTGTCTTTGTTCTGGTTGGTTTCAAAGAACATCTTTTATTTCTGCCTTCATTTCTTTATGTACCCAATAGTCATTCAGGAGCAGGTTGTTCAGTTTCCATGTAGTTGAGCAGTTTTGAATGAGTTTCTTAATCCTAAGTTCTAGTTTGATTGCAATGTGGTCTGGGAGACAGTTTGTTATAATTTCTGTTCTTTCACATTTGCTGAGGAGTGCTTTACTTCCAACTGTGTGGTCAATTTTGGAATAAGTGTGGTGTGGTGCTGAGAAGAATGTATATTCTGTTGATTTGGGGTGGAGAGTTCGGTAGATGTCTATTAGGTCTGCTTGGTGCAGAGCTGAGTTCAATTCCTGGATATCCTTGTTAACTTTCTGTGTCGTTGATCTGTCTAATGTTGACAGTGGGGTGTTAAAGTCTCTCATTATTATTGTGTGGGAGTCTAAGTCTCTTTGTAGGTCTCTAAAGACTTGTTTTGTGAATCTGGGTGCTCCTGTATTGGGTGCATATATATTTAAGATAGTTAGCTCTTCTTGTTGAATTGATCCCTTTACCATTATGTAATGGCCTTCTTTGTCTCTTTTGATTTTTGTTGGTTTAAAGTCTGTTTTATCAGAGACTAGGATTGCATCCCCTGCCTTTTTTTGTTTTCCATTTGCTTGTTAGATCTTCTTCTATCCCTTTATTTTGAGCCTATGTGTGTCCTGAATACAGCACACTGGTGGGTCTTGATTCTTTATCCAATTTGCCAGTCTGTGTCTTTTAATTGGAGCATTTAGCCCATTTACATTTAAAGTTAATATTGTTATGTGTGAATTTGATCCTGTCATTATGATGTTAGCTGGTTATTTTGCTCGTTAGTTGATGCAGTTTCTTCCTAGCCTTGATGGTCTTTGCAATTTGGCATGTTTTTGCAGTAGCTGGTACCAGTTGTTCCTTTCCATGTTTAGTGCTTCCTTCAGGAGCTCTTTTAGGGCATGCCTGGTGGTGACAAAATCTGTCAACATTTGCTTGTCTGTAAAGGATTTTATTTCTCCTTCACTTATGAAGCTTAGTTTGGCTGGATATGAAATTCTGGGTTGAAAATTCTTTTCTTTAAGAATGTTGAATATTGGCCCCCACTCTCTTCTGGCTTGTAGAGTTTCTTCCAAGAGATCCACTTTAGTCTGATGGGCTTCCCTTTGTGGGTAACCCAACCTTTCTCTCTGGCTGCCCTTAACATTTTTTCCTTCATTTCAACTTTGGTGAATCTGACAATGATGTGTCTTGGAGTTGCTCTTCTCGAGGAGTATCTCTGTGGTGTTCTCTGTATTTCCTGAATTTGAATGTTGGCCTGCCTTGCTAGGTTGGGGAAGTTCTGGATAATATCCTGCAGAGTGTTTTCCAACTTGATTCCATTCTCCCCGTCACTTTCAGGTACACCAATCAGTGGTAGATTTGGTCATTTCACATAGTCCCATATTTCTTGGAGGCTTTGTTCATTTCTTATTACTCTTTTTTCTCAAAACTTCTCTTCTCACTTTATTTCATTCATTTGATCTTCTATCACTGATACCCTTCTTCCAATTGATTGAATCGGCCACTGAAGCTTGTGCATTCATCACATAGTTCTCATGCCATGGTTTTCAGCTCCATCAGGTCCTTTAGGGACTTCTCTGCATTGGTTATTCTAGTTAGCCATTCATCTAATCTTTTTTCAAGGTTTTTAACTTCTTTGTGTTGGGTTCAAACTTCCTCCTTTTGCTCAGAGAAGTTTGATCGTCTGAAGCCTTCTTCTCTCAACTCATCAAAGTCATTCTCCATCCAGCTTTGTTCCATTGCTGGTGAGGAGTTGCGTTCCTTTGAAGGAGGATAGGCGCTCTGATTTTTAGAATTTTCAGTTTTTCTGCTCTATTTTTTCCTCATCTTTGTGGTTTTATCTACCTTTGGTCTTTGATGATGGTGACGTACAGATGGGATTTTGGTGTGGATGTCCTTTCTGTTTGTTAGTTTTCCTTCTAACAGTGAGGACCCTCAGCTGCAGGTCTGTTGGAGTTTGCTGGAGGTCCACTCCAGACCCTGTTTGCCTGGGTATCAGCCACGGAGGCTGCAGAACAGAGAATATTGGTGAACGGCAAATGTTGCTGCCTGATTGTTCCTCTGGAAGTTTCGTCTCAGAGGGGTACCCAGCCATGTGAGGTGTCAGTCTGCCCCTACTGGGAGGTGCCTCCCAGTTAGGCTACTCAGGGGTCAGGGACCAACTTGAGGAGGCAGTCTGTCCATTCTCAGATCTCAGGCTCTGTGCTGGGAGAACCACTACTCTCTTCCAAGCTGTCCGACAGGGACTTTTAAGTCTGCAGAGGTTTCTACTGCCTTTTGTTCTGCTATGCCCTGCCCCCATAGGTGGAGTCTACAGAGGCAGGCAGGCCTCCTTGAGCTGCGGTGGGCTCCACCCAGTTCGAGCTTCCTGGCCGCTTTGTTTACCTACTCAAGCCTCAGCAATGGTGAGCTCCCCTCCCCCAGTCTCGCTGTGGTGTTGCAGTTTGATCTCAGACTGGTGTGCTGGCAATGAGCGAGGCTCTGTGGGCGTAGGACCCTCCGAGCCATGCGCAGGATATAATATCCTGGTGTGCTGTTTGCTAAGACCATTGGAAAAGTGCAGTATTAGGGTGGGAGTGACCCAATTTTCCAGGTGCCATTTGTCACCCCTTCCCTTGGCTATGAAAGAGAATTCCCTCACCCCTTGCACTTCCCAGGTGAGGCGATGCCTCGCCCTGCTTCGGCTCATGGTCAGTGCACTGCACCCACTGTCCTGCACCCACTGTCCAACAATCCCCAGTGAGATGAACCTGGTACCTCAGTTGGAAGTGCAGAAATCACCCGCCTTCTGCGTCGCTCATGCTGGGAGCTATAGACTGGAGCTGTTCCTATTCAGCCATCTTTGAACTGCCCCCCTATTTCAGGTACCAATTTTTTTCTTTTCTTTTATGTTTTTGAGACAGATTCTCACTCTGTCACCCAGGTTGAAGTGCAGTGACATGATCTCGGCTCACTGCAACCTCCGCCTCCAGGGTTCAAGCGATTCTCCTGCCTCAGCCTCTCGAGTACCTGGGATTACAGGTGTGTGCCACCATGCCCAGCTAATTTTTGTATTTTTAGTAGAGTTGGGATTTCGTCATATTAGCCAGGCTGGTCTCAAACTCCTGACCTCAAGTGATCTATCTGCCTGCCTCGGCCTCCCAAAGTTCTGGGATTACAGGCATGAACCACTAAGCCCAGCCAATTTTTTTTTTTGTTTGAGACAGAGTTTTGCTTTTGTCACCCAGGCTGGGGTGCAGTGTTATGAACTTGGCTCACTGCAACCTCCACCTCTTGGGTTCAAGTGATTCTCATGCCTCAGCCTCCTGAGTAGATGGGAACCTCCCGAGGTGCACATCACCACACTTGGCTAATTTTTGTATTTTAGTAGAGACCGGGTTTCATCATGTTGGTCAGGCTGGTCTTGAACTCCTGACCTCAGGTGATCCACCTGCCTCAGCCTCCCACAGTGCTGGAATTACAAGCGTGAGCCACACAGCACCTAGCCCCAGCCGATTTTTTTCTTTTCTTTTCTTTTTTCTTTTTTTTGAGGCAATTTTTTTCTTTTATGATTTATGTTTTTGTGTTCTTTCTAGAAAATCTTTGTCTACTTCACAGTCATGAAAATGTTTTTCTGTGCTTTGTTATAAACGGTTTATTGTTCAGCTTTTTTGTTCAGATATGTGATCCATTTGAGTCAATATTATGTATCATTTGAAGAAAGGATCAAGGTTAATTTTTTCCTTTGAAAATGGTATCCCTTTATTCCATCCCCACTTGCAGAAGACACTGTCCTTTCTTCATTAAATTACTTTGGATGCTGTGTTGAAGGTCAACTGACCATTGCAAAAGTGGGTTCTATTTCCTGGTTCAGCTTTCTCACTCCCTTTCAACCTCCCTTTCTTCCTTCCTTCACTTTTCTTAAATTTCTTTTTTGTTGTTAACCAAAGTTCATACCTTATTCAGATTTCCCTAGTTACATTTCCTTAGGGCCTAATGTCTTTTTGCTGTCCCAGGATTTCATCCTGGATACCACATTACATTTAGTCATCATGTCTCTTCAGGTTCCTTTTGGCTGTGACAGTTTCTCAGAAATTTCTTGGTTTTGATGACCTTGGCAATTTCGAAGAGTCCTGGTCAAGTATTTTGTAGAATGTTGCTCAACTGGGGTTTCTTTGATGTTTTTCTCATGGTTAGTCTTGGGTTACGGGTTTTGGGAGGAAGACCACAGGGGTGATGTGACAGTCTCATAACATCATATCAATGCTACACACCGTCAACATGACTTATTGTGTTGATGTTGACTTTGATCAGTTGGATGACGTAGTGTTTGTCAGGTCTTTCCAGTGTAAAGTAATCTTTTCTCCCCCTTTCCATTCTGTACTCTTATGCACAACTTTCACTTAGAATGGGGACTTAATCTTCACTTTTTGAGGGCAGAGTATCTACATAAAATGATTTGGAATTTTTCTGCAGGAAAGAGTTGTCTATTTCTCACTGTTTATTTATTCAGTCATTTATTTATATCAGTATTGGATACTTATTTTATACTTTGGGTTATAATCCATTTTAATTTTTGTTGCTGAAATTGTTTTCTTTGGCCACTGGGAGCTGTCCCAGTTGGTTCCTGTGTCCCTTTGACATGCCCCAATTGTTGCATATGTCTGTTTCTGAGCAGTTCTTTACATTCTGGTGCTACAAAATGCTCCAGGCTGATTTTGTATATTTTCTGCTCTAGTCGTAGAATTAACCATTTCTCCAAGGATCCCTCCTTTTTTTTTTAATTGGGAAATGCTATTAGAAACTAAGTTCTATACATTCTATTTCTATATTTGTGGGCCATATTACCAACATGAAGAATAAAAGAGAGGATATCACTATAGAATCCTACAAATGCTTAAAAGGTTTGATAAGTTTGACCAGTTCCCTGAAAAATACACACATACACACATCATTGACTTTATTACAAATAATTTTCCCATGAAGAAAACTCCGGGACCGTGTGATTTTGCTAGTTAAGTCTATTGAACATTTAAAGATCCGTAATACTAATATTATACTAACTCTTTGAGAAAGTAGAGGGGTGAACACTTCCCAAAACATTTTATGAGGTTAGTATAAGCCTGATACCAAACCTGAGAGAGAAATTAAAAGAGAAAACGATGTAAATAAAATCCCTTCTTACCACAGATACAGAAATCCCCTGTCAAATACTGGCAGATCAAATCCAGAAATACAGGCCAGGCGTGGTGGCTCACACCTGTAATCCCAGCACTTCGGGAGGTTGAGGTGGGATCCCTTGATGTCAGGAGTTCAAGACTGGCCTGGCCAACGTGGTGAAACCCTGTCTCTACTAAAAATACAAAAATTAGCTGGGGGTGGGGGTGCATGCCTGTAGTCCCAGCTACTTTAGAGGCTGAGATGGTGCCAGTGCACTCCAGCCTGGGCGACAGAGCAACACTACTCTCACAAAAGAAAAGAAAAGAAAAAAATGTAATATAAATTAAATATTAATGTTATATAAATTATTTATATGTAATTGTGTTTGCAAAATTTATAATGGTATATATTCATTTAATTTATATCAGAATGAAATTTTTTTATATGAGGAAAACCTTTTCTAACCAGCAATTAACTAGATGTCAAAGAATACAGTGTCAGAATGCACAAGATAATTAATATTTATGATAATCTGTTAGATTATGTGATGACAGCAAAAAATAAATCTGATTGCATACATGAGAGTTTTTTATTCTTTTACTTCACCCAAACACATCAGGCTATCATCTTTACTTTTCTGTAACAAAGCTCATGTTGACTGAGTTGCAAGTCAAAGTAGAAAACTACTAAAATGAGTTAGAAGAAAACAAGGTACATTAAACCTATAAATTATATAGACATGGAAAGAGCATGAGATTTTAAAGTGAAAAAAATTAGATTGAGTTCTTTAGTCACTATTGGCAAACTGTTTGTCCTTGGGCAAGGTACTTAACCATTCCCCTGAACCTCAGTTTTTCATCTGTGAGATAAAAACAATAACAATAATAGCCTTCAGAAAGCACATAATGCAGGTCTCAGGCTAAGTTTTTTATGTGCATTACCTCATTTAGCCTTCACATCAACCATGTGAGGTGGGTACTGTAATACCGTTATAACCCCAGTCTACAGATGAGGAAACTAAAGCTTGAGAGGTTAGGTAATTCTCCCCATGACATGCAGCAAGTACGTGATGAAGCAGGGATTCAAAGCATGACTCTAAAACCCAGGGCCTTAATTATTACACTATACTACTGCTATGGTTTCCATGTGGTTTGTCTCTGCCAAAACTAATGTTGAAATTTAATTGCAATGTAAGGATGTTGGGAGGTGGAACTTTTTTTTTTTTTTTTTTTTTTGACAGAGTCTCACTCTGTCGCCCAGGCTGGAGTACAGTGGTGTGATCTCAGCTCACTGCATCCTCCTCCTCCCAGTTTCAAGCGATTCTTGTGCCTCAGCCTCCTGGGTAGCTGGAATTACAGGTGTGTGCCACCCTACCTGGCTAGTTTGTGTATTTTTAGTAGAGATGGTGTTTCACCATGTTGGTCAGGCTGCTCTCGAACTTCCAACCTCAGGTGATCTGTCTGCCTTGGCCTCCCAAAGTGCCAGGATTATAGGCATGAGCCACTATGCCCAGCCTAAGAGGTGGAACTTTTAAGAGGTGGGACCTCATGGGAGGTATTTGTGTCATGGGAGCTCCATCTTTATAGGCAGCTCCATTCTTGCAGTAGTGAGTTCTTTCTCACTCTTGAAAGACTAGACTAGTTCTTTTTAAAAAATAATTAATTTTTAATGTTTGTGGGTACATAGTAGGTGTGTATATTTGCAGGGTACATGAGATGTTTTCATACAGGCATGCAATGTGAAATAATCACATGGTGAATGGGGTATCCATTTCCTCAAACAATTATTCTTTATGTTACAAACAATCCAATGACACTCTTTTAGTTATTTAAAAATGTAGAATTGAGTCATTATTGACTATAGTCACCCTGTTTTGTGATCAAATCCTAGCCCATATTCATTCTTTCTAACTTTTTTTTGTACCCTTTAACCATCCCCACCTCCCCTCTGCTCCCCAGTACCATTTTCAGCCTCTGGTAAGCATCTTTCTACTATCTCCATGGGTTTGATTGTTTTGATTTTTAGATCCCACAAATAAGTGAGAACATGTGATGTTTATCTTTCTGGGTTGGCTTATTTCACTTATAATGACCTCCTGTTCCATCCATGTTGTTGCAAATGGCAAAATCTCATTATTTTTTATGGCTGAATGGTATTCAATTGTGTATATGTACTTTTTTTAATCCATTCATCTGTTGATGGACACTTAGGTTGCTTCCAAATCTTAGCTATTATGGGCTGGGCACGGTGGCTCACGCCATCATCCCAGCACTTTGGGAGGCTGAGGTGGGCAGATCACTCGAGGTCAGGAGTTCGAGACTAGCCTGGACAACATGGTGAAGCCCCGTCTTTACTAAAAATACAAAAATTATCCTGGCATGGTGATGCACACCTGTAATTCCAGCTACTAGGGAGGCTGAGGCAGCAGAATCTCTTGAACCCGGGAGGTGGAGATTGCAGTGAGCTGAGATTGTGCCAATGCACTCCAACTTGGGTGACAGAGCGAGACTCTGTCTCAAAAAGGAAAAAAAAAAGAAGAAAACAAATCTTAGCTATTATGAACAGTGCTGCAACAAACATAGGAGTTCAAATATCTCTTTAATATACTGGTTTCCTTTTTTTGTGACTGTATACCCAACAATGCGACTGCTGGATCATATGGTAGCTCTATTTTTCGTTTTCTTGAGGAACTTCCAAACTATTCTCCATATAGGTTGTACTAATTTACATTCCCATCAACAGTGTATGAGGGTTCCCTTTTCTCCACATCCTTGCCAGCCTTTGTTGTTATCTGTTTTTTGGATATAAGCCATTTTAACTGGGGCGAGATGATAGATATCTGATTGTAGTTTTGATTTGCATTTATCTGATGATCAATGATGTTGAGCACCTTTTCATATGTCTGTTTATCATTTGTATGTCTTCTTTAGAGAGGTGTCTATTCAAGTCTTTTGCTCATTTTTTGATTGGATGATTAGATTTTTTTTCCTACAGAGTTGTTCGAGCTCCTTATATATTCTTGTTGTTAATTCTTTGTGAGATGAATATGTTGCAAATATTCTCTCCCATTCTGTGGGTTGCCTCTTTACTTTGTTGATTGTTTCCTTTTCTGTAAAGAAGTTTTTAACCTCGAAGTGATCCCAGTTGTCCATTTTTGCTTTGGTTGCCTGTGCTTGTGGGGGTATTGTTCAAAAAATTTTTGCCCAGACTAATGTCCTGGAGATTTTCCCTAATGTTTTCCTCTAGTAGTTTCATGGTTTGGGGTCTTGGACTTAAGTCTTTAATCAATTTTGAGTTGTTTTTTTTTTCTTTTTTTTTTTTGTTGAGACAGAGTCTCACTCCATCGCCCAGGCTGGAGTGCAGTGATGTGATCTCAATCTCCACCTCCCGGGTTCAAGCGATTCTCCTGCCTCAGCCTCCTGAGTAGCTGAGATTACAGGTGCCCAGCTAATTTTATAAAATATTTTTAGTAGAGATGGGGTTTCACCATGTTGGACAGGTTGGTCTCAAACTCCTGACCTCAGGTAATCTGCTCACCTCAGCCTCCCAAAGTGCTGGGATTACAGGCATGAGCCACTGCACTCAGCCTGATTTAATTTTTTATATGGTGAGAGATAGGGATCTAGTTTTATTCTTCTGCATATGGATATCCAGTATTCCCAGCACCATTTATTGAAGAGATTCTTTTTCCCAGTGTATGTTCTTAGACCTTTATCAAAAATGAGCTCACTGTAAGTGTGTGGATTTGTTTCTGGGTTTTCTATTGTTCCATTGGTCTATGTGTCTGTCTTTATGCCAGTGTCATGCTGTTTTGGTTACCATAGTTCTGTAGTATAATTTGAAGTCAGATAATGTGATTCATCCAGTTTTGTTATTTTTGCTTAGGATAGGTTTGGCTATTCTGGGTCTTTTGTGGTTCCATACAAATTTTAAAATAGTTTTTATCTATTTCTGTGAAGAATGTAAGTGGTATTTTGATAGGGATTGCACTGAATCTGTAGATTGCTTTGGGTGGTATGGACATTTTAACCATATTGATTCTTCCAATCCATGAACATGAACTACTTTTTCATTTTTTGTTGTCCTCTTCAATTTCTTTCATCAGTGTTTTATAGTTCTCATTACAGAGATTTTTCACTCCTTTCATTAAGTTAATTCCTAGGCATTTAATTTTATTTGTAGCTGTTATAAATGGGATTACTTTTTAATTTCTTTTTCAGATTGCTCACTGTTGGCATATAGAAATGCTACTGATTTTTCTATGTTGTTTTTGTATCCTGCAGCTTTACTGAATTTATCAGTTCTAATAGTTTTCTTGTAGAATCTTTAGGTTTTTCCAACTATAAGATCATATCATCTGCAAACAAGGATAATTTGACTTCTTCCATTCCAATTTGAATGCCCTTTATTTCTTTCTCTTGTCTGATTGCTTTAGCTAGGACTTCCAGTACTATGTTGAATAACAGTGGTGAAAGTGGCCATCCTTGTCATGTTCCAGATCTTAGGGGAAAGGCTTTCAGTTTTTCCTCATTTAGTATGATACTAGCTGTGTGTCTGTGGTATATGGCTTTTGTTATGTTGAGGTATGTTCCTTCTATACCCAGTTTTTTGAGGGTTTTTATGACAAAGGGATGTTGATTTTTTTTTTTTCCAAGATGGAGTCTCAGTCTGTCACCCAGGCTGGAGTGCAGTGTCGTGATCTCGGCTCACTGCAACCTCCACCTCCTAGGTTCAAGCAATTCTCCTGCCTCAGCCTCCTGAGTAGCTGGGATTACAGGTGCCTGCCACCACACCCAGCTAATTTTTGTATTTTTAGTAGAGACAGAGTTTCACCATGTTGACCAGGCTGGTCTCGAACTCCTGACCTCGTGATCTGCCCACCTTGGCCTCCCAAAGTACTGGGATTACAGGTATCAGCCACTGCACCTGGCTGGGATGTTGAATTTTATCAAATGGTTTTCTGCATCAATTGAAATGATCATGAGATTTTTTTTTTCATTCTGTTCATATGACACATCACACATGTTGGGAGCAGGCCCCCCAAGATCTGGCCATAAACTGGCCCCAAAAATGGCCATAAACAAAATCTCTGCAGCACTGTAACATGTTCATAATGGCCCTAACGCCCAAGCTGGGAGGTTCTGGGTTTACGGGAATGAGGGTAAGCAACACCTGGCCCACTCAGGGCGGAAAACCACTTAAAGGCATTCTTAAGTCACAAACAATAGCATGAGCAATCTGTGCCTTAAGGACATGCTCCTACTGCAGTTAACTAGCCCAACCTATTTCTTTAATTTGGCCCATCCCTTCGTTTTCCATAAGGGATACTTTTAGTTAATTTAGTATCTATAGAAACAATGCTAATGACTGGTTTGCTGTTAATAAATATGTGGGTAAATCTCTGTTTGGGGCTCTCAGCTCTGAAGGCTGTGAGACCCCTGATTTCCCACTTCACACCTCTATATTTCTGTGTGTGTGTCTTTAATTCCTCTAGTGCCTCTGGGTTAGGGTCTCCCTGACCGAGCTGGTCTCAGCAAGTGGCGTCCATTTGTGGGGGCTCAAATCCAGGTCGAAGGGTCACCGGAGCAATGGTTGGAAGGGAAAACTAGCTGGAGGACACCCGAGTACTCTTAAAGCAATCCCCATGGTAAGAAGGGGAGCTCGGAAGCATCAGGGTAACAATGGAACAGGTGTGGGGTCTGGTTCATTTCCCCTTGGAACTTTTCACACTGATAATGAGGAGGAACAAGAGTATAGTGAAGTAACAGAAGAGGTTACAGAGCATGTTTATTAACCATATAAAGCTAAAGTGGCAAAGGAAGGAGAGATTCATCCCTACCCTTCTGCACCCCCTCATTATTATTTTGAAGAAAAAGACCCTCCAGATCTTTCTTTTCCAGAGGACACCGGGCAAAAAGTAGTTGTCCCAGTGACTGTTCAAGCAGCACCTTGAGTGACCGCTCTTAGTTCTATTCAGGCAGGAATTCAGCAAGCTAGATGAGAGGGTGATTTAGAGGCTTGGCAGTTCCCTGTTAGACTACAACTCCCAGATCAACGGGGAAGTATTATAGCTACATTTGAGCATTTTCCTTTTAAATTACTCAAAGAATTTAAACAAGCTATAAATCAGTATGGACCAGGTTCTCCTTTTGTAATGGGACCGTTAAAGAATGTTGCTGTTTCCAGTTGGATGATTCCTACTGACTGGGATGCTGTTACTCAAGCTTGTCTAACTCCTGGTCAGTTCTTACAATTTAAAACTTGGTGGGCAGATGAAGCTTCCATTCAGGCTGCTTGCAATGCCCAGGCCCAACATCAAATTAATGTAACTGTAGACCAACTTTTGGGGGTTGGCGGCTGGGCTGGTTTAGATGCGCAACTGGTCATGCAGGATGATGCCATAGAACAGCTTAGAGGAGTGTGCATTAGAGCTTGGGAAAAAATCACTATAGGTGGAGAACATTACCCTTCCTTTAGTGCTATAAAACGGACCAAGAGAACCATATGTTGATTTTATAGCTCAGTTACAGGAGTCTCTTAAAAAGATGATTGCAGATTCGGCTGCTCAGGTTATAGTGTTGCAGTTATTAGCTTTTGACAATGCTAATGCCGATTGCCAGGCTGCTCTGCAACCTGTCAGAGGGAAAGCACATTTAGTTGATTACATCAAGGCCTGTGATGGTATCAGAGGTAATCTGCATAAAGCTACTTTGTTGGCACAGGAAATGGCAGGACTGAGAGTGGATAAAGGAAATACTCCATTTCCTGGAGCTTGTTTTAACTATGGGAAGCATGGTCATACTAAAAAAGAATGTAGAAAAAAATCAGTGAGTCAGGCAGCCAGATGGGGAAAAAGGAAAACTGCTGATCCTGAAATATGTCCAAAATGTAAAAAAGGGAAATATTGGGCTAATCAGTGTCACTCTAAGTTTGACAAAGATGGGACCCTGATTTCGGGAAATGCCATGAGGGGTCCGTCCTGGGCCCTGTTCTAAACCGGGGCATTTCCGGCTCAGGCCATTCCCTTACCCCTGTACAATGTCTGTCCCCTGCCACAGCCGGTAGTGCCACAGTAGATTTATGCTGCACAAAAGCTGTGAGCCTTCTACCTGGGGAACCCCTGCAAAAGGTCCCAACAGGAGTCTGTGGACACTTGCCAGCGGGGACAATAGGATTACTTTTAGGAAGGTCTAGTTTAGGTTTAAAAGGGGTACAAATACATACAGGAGTCATTGATTCAGATTACAATGGGGAAATTCAAATTATTATATCTACTTCTGTTCCCTGGAAAGCAGAGCCAGGAGAGTGCATAGCACAGCTCCTGATTGTGCCATATATGAGAATGGGAAAAAATGAAACTAAATGAACAGGAGGATTTGGAAGCACAAATAAACAAGGCAAAGCAGCTTATTGGGTAAATCAAATTACTGATAAATGTCCTACCTGTGAAATAACTATTCAAGGAAAGAAATTTAAAGGTTTGACAGATACAGGAGCAGACATGTCAATCATTTCTCTACAGCACTGGCCGTCCGCGTGGCCAATTCAACCTGCTCAATTTAACATATTTGGAGTTGATAAAGCTGCTGAAGTATATTAAAGTAGTTATATTTTGCATTGTGAAGGGCCCAATGGACAATCTGGGACTATTCAACCAATTATAACTTCTGTACCTATAAATTTTGGGGGAATAAATTTATTACAACAATGGGGAGCACAAGTTCTAATTCCAGAACAATTATATAGCCCTCAAAGTCAACATATGATGCATGAAATGGGGCATGTCCCTGGTATGGGACTAGAAAAAAATTTGCAAGTTTTGAAAAAACCACTTCAAATGGAAAGACCAAGTTCCTGCCAAAGATTAGGAAATAATTTTTGATGGCAGCCATTGTTAAGCCTCCAGAACCTATACTTTTAAAATGGTTAGCCAATAAGCCAATTTGGTTAGAACAATGGCCGCTAAGTAAAGAGAAACTGGAGGCTTTAGAGACATTTGTTAATGAACAATTAGAAAATGGGCACATAATTCCAACATTTTCTCCTTGGAATTCTCCAGTTTTCATAATTAAGAAAAAATCAGGTAAATGGAGAATGCTAACTGACTTAAGAGCCATCAATTCAGTTATACAACCTATGGGAGCATTACAGCCAGGATTGCCTTCTTCTGGTATAATTCCAAAAAATTGGTCTTTAATAGTCATAGATTTAAAAGACTGTTTCTTTACTATCCCTTTAGCTGAGCAAGACTGTGAATGGTTTACATTTACAATTCCTGCAGTAAACAACCTGCAGCCTGCTAAGCATTTTCATCGTTTCACAGATGTGTCTAGTAATGGTAAAGCTTCTTATTCTGGATCAAAAGGTAAAGTTTTCCAGACGCCCGATACTTCAGCTCAAAAAGCAGAGCTTGTGGTGGTAATTAAGATATTGACTGCTTTTGATATGCCTATTAATGTGATTTCTCATTCTTCATACGTGGTTTATTCCACACAGTTAATTGAAAATGCTTAGTTATGATTTCATACAGATGAACAACTAATGACTTTATTTACCCAATTGCAAACAGCGGTTAGAAGTAGAATGCACCCTTCCCCTTCAAGCTGTAGGGGGATAGATGTTCCGTCTGAACATCAGAAGGAACAAACTCCAGACACACCATCTTTAAGAACTGTAACACTCACCACGAGGGTCCAAGGCTTCATTCTTGAAGTCAGCAAGACCAAGAACCCACCAGAAGGAACCAATTCCAGACACATTTTGGCAACCATGAAGGGACTATCGCCAAGCAGTAAGCAGCATTGGGCCTCTTTCACTTGCTATTCTGTCCTATTTTTCCTTAGAATTTGGGGGCTAAATACCAGGCACCTGTCAGCCAGTTAAAAGCGACTAGCGTGGTTGCCGGACTAAAGACATGGGTGTCAGGCTTTCTGGGAAAGGGCTCTCTAACAATCCCCAATGCTTCAGAGTTGGGAGCATTGGTTTGCCTGGAACCAGCTTCTGCTTTTCCTGTACTTCTGGGTTGAGCCGAGGGTCAACAGAGAGGAAAGCCATTCAGCTCTGGGATCCTGACAGCAAGTTGGTTGACCCTGTGGCCATGAGCGGAACTCTCAAAGTCATGTCACCCAAGCGAGACTTGCCCATCTATCCTATCTATCCTGACCCTTGCCCCCTGGGTCCTAATGCCTGTCAGACAAACTTCCTCTCGCCTCTCTTCTCCAAGACTAGTCCCACTTCTAAAAACCATTCCCTGTCTCTGGTGCTTTTCTAGTTTCTCCTATAAGAATGATTTCTACTATAAACTCCAGGACTCTATTCCCTTCTTTTAACACCCAGGTTCACCAATCAGAAAGACATAATTTTTGAGTGGGGAGACCAACTATCCTTTTAAGATCCCTCCTCATACAAGCAGGCCTAACACAGGCTATTCCTGAAGCTAGGATATGAGGAGCCTCAGAAATTATATCCTTCCTATTCATATAAGTGAGGACAAAAGGTGTCACTCTCCCAATCCTGGAGATCCCTTCCCTCAATCAGGGAATGGCCCTCCATTTCATTTTTGGGGCATAACATCTTTATAGTACAGGGGCAAACTCCCAATACTAACAGGAGAAAGCTTAGGGCTCTAACAGGTTTTTGAGAATGTGTCAGTAAGGGCCACTAAATCCGATTTTTCTTGGTCCTCTTTGGGGTCTAGGAGGACAGGCAAGGGTCCAGCTTTTTGAGAATGCATCAGTAAGGGCCACTAACTCTGACCTTCCTCAGTCCTCCTTGTGGTGTAGGAGGAAAACTAGTGTTTCTGTTGCTGTGTTGGTGAGTGCAACTATTCCGATCAGCAGGGTCCAGGGACCATCACAGGTTCTTGGGCAGGGGGAGAAACAAACAAACCAAAACGGTGGGTGGTTTTGTCTTTCAGATGGGAAACACTCAGACATCAACAGGCTCACCCTTGAAATGCATCCTAAGCCATTGGGACCAATTTGATCTGCAAACCCTGAAAAAGAGGTGGCTCATTTTTTTTCCTGCACTACAGCCTGGCCCCAATATTCTCTCTCTGATGGGGAAAAATGGTCACCTGAGGGAAGTATAAATTACAATACTATCATGCAGCTTGACCTTTTCTGTAAGAGGGAAGGCAAATGGAGTGAAATACCTTATGTCCAAGCTTTCTTTTCATTGAAGGAGAATACACAACTAGGCAAAGCTTGCAATTTACATCCCACAGGAGGACCTCTCGGCTTACCCCATATCCTAGCCTCCCTATAGCTCCCTTTCCTATTAATGATAAGCCTCCTCTAATCTCCCCTGCTCAGAAGGAAATAAGCAAAGAAATCTCCAGAAGATCACAAAAACCCCCGGGCTATTGGTTATGTCCCCTTCAAGCTGTAGGGGGAGGGGAATTTGGCCCAACCCAGGTACACGTCCCCTTCTCCCTCTCTGATTTAAAGCAGATCAAGGCAGACCTGGGGAAGTTTTCAGATGATCATGATATGCACATAGATGTCCTACAGGGTCTAGGGCAAACCTTCGATCTCATTGGAGAGATGTCATGCTATTGTTAGATCAAACCCTGGCCTTTACTGAAAAGAATGTGGCTTTAGCTGCAGCCCAAGAGTTTGGAGATACCTGGTATCTTAGTCAAGTAAATGATAGACTGACAGCCAAAGAAAGGGACAAATTCCCTACTGGTCAGCAAGCCATCCCCAGTATGGATCCCCACTGGGACCTTGACTCAGATCATGGGGACTGGAGTCATAAACATCTGTTGACCTGTGTTCTAGAAGGACTAAGGATAATTAGGAAAAAGCCCATGAATTATTCAATGATGTCCACCATGACTCAGGGAAAGGAAGAAAATCCTTCTGCCTTCCTCGATTGGCTACGGGAGGCCTTAAGAAAATATACTTCCCTGTCACCTGACTCACTAGAGGGTCAATTGATTCTAAAAGATAAGCTTATTACCCAATCAGCTGCAGAAATCAGAAGAAAGCTCCAAAAGCGAGCCCTGGGCCCTGAACAAAATCTGGAGGCATTATTAAACCTGGCAACTTCAGTGTTCTATAATAGGGGCCAAGAAGAACAGGCCCAAAAGGAAAAGTGAGATCAGAGAAAGGCCACAGCCTTAGTCATGACCCTCAGACAAACAAACCTTGGTGGTTCAGAGAGGACAGAAAATGGAGCAGGCCAATCACCTGGTAGGGCTTGTTATCAGTGTGGTTTACAAGGACACTTTAAAAAAGATTGTCCAATGAGAAACAAGCCACCTCCGCATCCATGTCCACTCTGCCGAGGCAATCACTGGAAGGCACACTGCCCCAGAGTACGATGGTTCTCTGGGCCAGAAGCTCCCAACCAGATGATCCAACAACAGAACTTATGGTGCCCAGGGTAAGCACCAGCTCTTGTCATCACCCTCACTGAGCCCCGGCTATGTTTAACCATTGAGGACCAGGAAATTGACTTCCTCCTGGACACTGGTGTGGCCTTCTCAGTGTTAATCTCCTATCCTGGATGACTGTCCTCAAGGTCCATTACCATCTGAGGAATCCTGGGACAGCCTGTAACCAGGTATTTCTCCCACCTCCTCTGTTGTAATTGGGAGACTTTGCTCTTTTCACATGCCTTTCTTGTTATGCCTGAAAGTTCCACACCCTTATTAGGGAGGGATATGTTAGCCAAAGCTGGAGCTATTATCTACATGAATATGGGGAACAAGTTACCCATTCGTTGTCCCCTACTTGAGGAGGGTCTCAACCCTGAAGTCTGGGCATTGGAAGGACAATGTGGAAGGGCAAAAAAATGCCCACCCAGTCCAAATCAGGCTAAAAGATCCCACCACTTTTCCTTATCAAAGACAATATCCCTTAAGGCCTGAAGTTCATAAAGGATTACAGGATATTGTTAAACATTTAAAAGCTCAAGGCTTAGTAAGGAAATACAGCAGTCCCTGCAACACCCCAATTCTATGAGTACAAAAACCAAATGATCAGTGGAGACTAGTGCAAGATTTTAGACTCATCAGTGAGGCAGTAATTCCTCTATATCCAGTTGTACCCAACCCCTATACCCTGCTCTCTCAAATACCAGAGGAAGCAAAATGGTTCACTGCTCTGGACCTCAAGGATGCCTTCTTCTGTATTCCCCTGCACTCTGACTCCCAGTTTCTCTTTGCCTTTGAGGATCTCACAGACCACACATCCCAACTTACGTGGACCATCTTGCCCCAAGGGTTTAGGGATAGCCCTCATCTCTTTGGTCAGGCACTGGCTCAAGATCTAGGCCACTTCTCAAGTCCAGGCACTCTGGTCCTTCAGTATGTGGATGATTTACTTTTGGCTACCAGTTCAGAAGCCTCATGCCAGCAGGCTACTCTAGATTTCTTGAGCTTTCTAGCAAATCAAGGGTACGAGGCATCTAGGTCGAAGGCCCAGCTTTGCCTACAGCAGGTCAAATATCTAGGCCTAATCTTAGCCAGAGGAACCAGGGCCCTCAGCAAGGAATGAATACAGCCTATACTGGCTTATCCTTGCCCTAAGACATTAAAACAGTTGCGGGGGTTCCTTGGAATCACCGATTTTGCTGACTATGCATCCCTGGATACAGTGAGATATCCAGGCCCCTCTATACTCTAATCAAGGAGACCCAGAGGGCAAATACTCATCTAGTAGAATGGGAACCAGGGGCAGGAACAGCCTTCAAAACCTTAAAGCAGGCACTAGTACAAGCTCCAGCTTTAAGCCTTCCACAGGACAAAACTTCTCTTTATACGTAACAGAGGAGCTGGGATAGCTCTTGCAGTCTTTACTCAGACTCATGGGACATCCCCACAACCAGTGGCATACCTAAGTAAGGAAATTGATGTAGTAGCAAAAGGCTGGCCTCACTGTTTATGTGTAGTTGTGGCAGTGGCCATCTCAGTGTCAGAGGCTATAAAAATAATACAAGGAAAGGATCTCACTGTCTGGACCATTCATGATGTAAATGGCATACTAGGTGCCAAAGGAAGTTTATGGCTATCAGACAACTGCCTACTTAGATACCAAGTGCTACTCCTTGAGGGACCGGTGCTTCAAATACGTACGTGTGTGGCCCTCAACCCTGCCACTTTTCTCCCAGAGGATAGGGAACCAATTGAGCATGACCACCAACAAATTATAGTCCAGACTTATGCCACCCGAGATGATCTCTTAGAAGTCCCCTTAGTTAGTTCTGACCTTAACCTATATACCAATGGAAGTTCATTTGTGAAGAATGGGATATGAAGGGCAGGTTATGCCATAGTTAGTAACGGTACTTGAAAGTAAGCCTCTTCCCCCAGGGACCAGCTCCCAGTTAGCAGAACTAGTGGCACTTACCTGAGCCTTAGAACTGGGAAAAGGAAGAAGAATAAATGTGTGTACAGTTAGCAAGTATGCTTATCTAATCCTACATGCCCATGCTGCAATATGGAAAGAAAGGGAGTTCCTAACCTCTGGGGGAACCCTCATTAAATACCACAAGGAAATTATGGAGTTATTGAATGCAGTGCAAAAACCCAAGGAAGTGGCAGTCTTACACTGCCAAAGCCATCAGAAAAGTGAAGGACAAAAGGCAGAAGGAAACCGTCAGGCAGATGCTGAGGCCAAAATTGCTGCCAGGTGGAACCTCCCATTCCCGCAAAAAAATGGGTCTTTACCAACTTAACCTACCACCCTTGTTATGAAGGAAAAGACCCTTTCCAACTTCTAAATATGCAATCATTAGCCAACTTCCCCATCTCTGATAGGACCAAGAATATACTAACAGGACATGCAATCCAACTTTTGTGTTCTTACATTTCCAACGTCACCTATTACACAAGCAATGAAAAGCCCATACATGGCCCTGTAACTATGAATACCATCTTAACTTTCCAAGCCCCTTTATGCATCCAACGCAACCTGTTATCAGGTCTGCCCCTGGGGCACCTACTACCCCATCAGTGTAATTATACCCAACAACTTCAAGGCCCAACTGATCATAGTAACTTCCGAGTCACTCAAACAGCTCCATTCAGACAGTTTGTCCACTTCTCTGGGTCCCCAAAAATCATCACCTCCTCCCTGCTTAACAAACAGTCCAAGTTTTGTAATGACAAACATACTCCCTCCATGACCATTCATCCCTGGACCCCCTGCATCAGTGCCCCCACCACTAGTGAATGCCTTCTCATCCCTTCTTTCAATCACTCTCTCAAATGGTTCCTAGTAGATACAAAAAGGCTTTTTCTCCAATGGGAAAATAGAACACAGGGAGCCACTCAGTTTGCTCCCAACACCCCTTTCCATTCCTTCACTGGAGCTACCTTGGCAATTACTCTAGAAGTATGGGAAAATGAAAATAACAAACTCACACACCTTTTTAACATACACAACCAGTTCTGTCTACCCAGCCAATGTATATTCTTCTTATGTGGAACATCAACATATCTGCCTCTCCACTAACTGGACAGGCATCTGTACCTTAGTCTTTCTAAGTCCTAACATTAACATTGCCCCAGGAAATCAGACCCTATCAGTATCCCTCAAAGCTCAAGTCTGTCAGCACAGAGCCATACAACTAATACCCCTACTTATAGGGTTAGGAATGGCTACTGCTAAAGGAACCGGAATAGCCGGTTTATCTACTTCATTATCCTACTGCCACACACTCTCAAAGGATTTCTCTGACAGTTTGCAAGAGATAACGAAATCTATCCTTACTCCAGAATCCCAAATAGACTCTTTCGCAGCAGTGACTCTCCAAAACTGCTGAGGCTAGACCTCCTCACTGCTGAGAAAGGAGGACTCTGCACCTTCTTAGGGGAAGAGTGTTGTTTTTACACTAACCAGTCAGGGATAGTACGAGATGCTACCCGGCATTTACAGGAAAAGGCTTCCAAAATCAGACAACATCTTTCAAGCTCTTATACCAGCCTCTGGAGTTGGCAACATGGCTTCTCCCCTTTCTAGGTCCCATGGCAGCCATCTTGCTATTACTCACCTTCGGGCCCGGTATTTTTAACCTCCTTGTCAAATTTGTTTCCTCTAGGATCGAGGCTATCAAGCTACAGATGATCTTACAAATGGAACCCCAAATGAGCTCAACTAACAACTACCAAGGACCCCTGGACCAACCCGCTGGCCCTTTCAATGGCCTAAAGAGTTCCCCTCTGGAGGACACTACAACTGCAGGGTCCTTTCTTTGCCCCTATCCAGCAGGAAGTAGCTAGAGTGGTCATCACCCAATTCCCAACAGCAGTTGGGGTGTCTTGTTAAGTGGGGAGATTGAGAGGTGAAGCCAGCTGGGCTTCTGGGTTGGGTGGGGACTTGGAGAACTTTTCTGTCTAGCTAGAGGATTGTAAACACACCAATCAGTGCTATGTGTCTAGCTAGAGGTTTGTAAATGCACCAATCAGCACTCTGTAAAAACGGACCAATCAGCACTCTGTAAAATGGACCAATCAGTAGGATGCGGGCAGGGCCAAATAAGGGAATAAAAGCTGGCCACCTGAGTCAGCAGTGGCAACCCACTCGGGTCCCCTTCCATGCTGTGGAAGCTTTGTTCTTTCACTCTTCACAATAAATCTTGCTGCTGCTCACTCTTTGGGTCCACACCACCTTTATGAGCTGCAACACTCACTGCGAAGGTCTTCAGCTTCACTCCTGAAGTCAGCGAGACCACGAACCCATGGGGAGGAACAATCGACTTCAGACATGCCACCTTTAAGAGCTGTAACACTCACTGCGAAGGTCTGTGGCTTCACTCCTGAAGTCAGCAAGACCACGAACCCACTGGAAGGAAGAAATTTCGGACACATCTGAACATCTGAATGAACAAACTCTGGACACGCCATCTTTAAGAACTGTAACACTCACTGTGAGGGTTCATGGGTTCATTCTTGAAGTCAGCAAGACCAAGAACCCACCAGAAGGAACCAATTCCGGACACAGACTCACTGCAACCTCCACCTCCTGGATTCAAGTGATTCTCCTGCCTCAGCCTCCGGAGTAGCTGTGCCTACAGGCACAAGCCACCACACACGGCTAATTTTTTGTATTTTTAGTAGAGATGGGGTTTCACCATGTTGCTCAGGCTGGTCTCCAACTCCTGAGCTCAAGTGATCCACCTGTCTCGGCCTCCCAAAGTGTTGGGATACATGTGTGAGCCACTGTGCCCGGCCTCCTCTGGATTAGTTCTTACAGGAATAGATTAGTTCTTGCTCGAGCAAGTTGTTATAAAAGTGAGGTTGCCTCTAGTGTTTTGCATCCTCACATATGTCTGCTTACCTCTTGACCTCTCTCTGTGTTATGACCCAGCACAAAAGCCCTTACCAGAAGCCAAGCAGATGCTGATGCCACACCCCTTGGACTTCTCAGTCTACAGAGCCATGAAACGAATAAACCTCTCTTTATAAATTATCCAGCTTCAGGTATTCTGTTATAGCAACACAAAATGGACGAAGACAACTACCTTATCATAATAATACTATGATAGTCAAAATAGATAATGTCTGTTAAAATGCTTAAACAGTTTACACACGTTATTTTTACCTCATTAGAGTGATTTATTATTCATTAATATGTAGAGCAGCATTAAGGTATAACAACATAAACATTGAGATCATTAATCAAGGGTCCTGAGATTCTACTCTTGTTCTCCATAAATTAGCTGAGTAAATATGGTAAGTCATTTAACATTTGGGCTTCAGGTTTCTTAATCTATAAAAATGACAAAGTATCATTTAGAACCTTCTAGCTAGGAAATATATCATTTTGTGATCTCCTAAATCTAGTTTTTTTCTCACATACTGGCTCTAATTTTTTGAGATAGGATCTTGCTCTGTTGCCCAGACTGGAGTGCAGTGGCATGAACATGGCTCACTGCAGCCTTAACCTCCTGGGCTCCAGTGATCCTCCTGCTTCAGCCACTCGAGTAGCTGGGACTACAGGCTCATGTCACCACACCCAGCTATTTAAGAACTTTTTTTTGTAGAGGCAGGGTCTCCCTGTGTTGCCCAGCCTGATCTCAAACTCCTGGGATGAAGTGATCCTCCTGCTTGGGACTCTCAAAGTGCTGGGATTGCAGGTGTGAGCCACCATACCCAGACTTTAAGTTTTCTCTATTAAGAGACTGTTGCATTTTCCCCCTTTGCTCATGCCTTGCTGAATGAGTTGAGTGCACATACATGATTATTACAAAGTACAACATGCTTAGGAAAATCTGTGACAAATAGAGGAATCTTTTTTCTTTTGAAACTTTCACTTATTTTGTTTTGTTTAGTTTTGAGTAGGCAATGCATTTACATTGCCCAAATTTAAAACACTATCACAAGTCACACAATGAGGAGTCCAACTTCCTACCTTACCTGTCTACCCTTTTTCCTGCTCCCATTTTTTCCTATCTATCCTTCCAGTGTTTTTCTATGCCAAGTTCAAATGATATAAATATAAATTTTCTTATTTTCTCCCTTTTCCTGTTAGACATTTCACTTTTTTCACTTAATAGTATATTCTGGAAATTACCATACATCAGTACACAGTGAGCCACCTTCTCTCTAGTTTTTTTTCAGCTTCATATTATTCAATTGTGGGGCAGAACCATAGTTTATTGAATGAATCTCCTAAAGAAGGACACTTGTTTCTAACATTTTGCTATTGCAGAAAATGCTGCAAATAAATAACACTGTGCAGACTTCATTTTATATTATGTACAGGTGGATCTGTAGAATACATTCCCAGAAGTGGGAACCCTAGGTTAAAGAGTAAATTAATTTGCGCATTAAAAAAATGTCATATTGGCCTTAACAAAATTGAGACTATTTTGCACAACTAGCAATGTATCAGAGTGCCTGTTTTCCAACAGCCTCACCAACACAATGTGTTCAAATGTTGAATTTTTAAATAATCTGATAGGAAAAATGACATGCAGAGTGATTTTAATTTGCGTGAAGAAGCTTTTAAAGAAAGAGTTGAGAAGTTGAAATTTAAGGTGAGTTTTGATAGATTCTTCAAAGTGTCCCCCAAATAGGAAGCTTCACAGTTAATGTTTAAAACCTCTTGTAAATAACAATTGGCATTGAAAGAAAGCAAAATATTACTTTGTAATCCGAAGTATATTGTCAGCCAAGTTCAAGGAAGCTTGGTAATTGCTCAATCTTAAATTACTCAATCTTAAACCAGAGAGATGAAGTGGTGCATTCGTGACCACTGGCCTTGAACTGTTAACTCTCCCAGCGCTGTTAACAGGAGTTTCTTCATTGTTGGGCTCTTATCCATCCTTCATATTAGTAATTCCAAATTAATAACTGCATATTAATAAACTCCAAAGGTGACATTACACATATCTGATGTCTTGAACAAATATCCTAGAGCAAAGTGGCAGAAACAAGATGAGAAACAGAGCTGGAGGAAATTTTGTTTTATATTGAGTCAATTAAACTCCCTCTCTCCCTGTTTCTCTTTCTTTCTCTCTCTCTCTCTCTCCACATGCACACACCAGCAGAAGCATTTCTTTCAGATTCAAAGAAGTGGAAATGTGTGCATTCCATTCTATTTTCCTCTCAACTCTAAAGGTAAATAAATCAATTTTAAGGAGTTGAATGCTATATAAAATATGTACTATACCTGCTGTGTTTACTTGTTATAAAAACTACTATACCAAAGGCTATCTAATATCATTTCTTTTGGTGACACCCCAAACCTCATTTAATTTAAATATACACTGTACTTTAGTTTATTCATCAGTAAAATGGTAAGGATGCTGATCCCCACCTTATAGGGTTTTTGGTGAAGATTAAATAAGTCAAAACAGCCAGGTGCAGTGGCTCACGCCTGTAATGCCAGCACTTTGGGAGGCCAAGGTGGGCGGATTGCCTGAGGTCAGGAGTTTGAGACCAGCCTGACCAACATGGAGAAACCCCGTCTCTACTAAAAATACAAAATTAGCCGTGCGTGGTGGCACATGCCTGTAATCCCAGCTACTTGGGAGGCTGAGGCAGGAAAATCGCTTGAAGCCGGGAGGTGGCGGTTGTGGTGAGCCGAGATTGTGCCATTGCACTCCAGCCTGGGTAACAAGAGTGAAACTTTGTCTCAAAAAAAAAAAAAAAAGAAAAATTAAGTCAAAACATGTAAAGCATCTAGAAGAATGCATGGCATACAGTAAACACTCAACACATGGTAGCTATTATTATATTTATTCTTTTATTAGTGAAAATTTTCCTATGACTGCAGACTCTTTGGATATAGTACTTATGGCAGGCATCACACACATTATTTCTAATGTGTATGTTGAGGAAAGTCTTGAAACCTTAATTAATGCACAGTTGTCAGAAAAAGCTTGGAAAGTGGAAAAATGAACGAATATACAATTTTGTATATTTGTGTTACAATTCTGTCCTTAGAAAGGACTCTCTCATGGTTAGTGTCAATGCTGAACTTGTTTGATATATAAACCCAAGTACCGGAGGCAAAATAATGGTCCCATAGATGTCCATGCCCTAATCCTTGAAATTTGTGAATATGCTCCTTAACATGGCTAACATCCTAAACATTTCACAGATGTGATTCAGGGTAGAGACCTTGAGATAGGAGATTATCTTGGATTATCAGCCAGGGCCCAAATTAATCACAAGCCTTTAAAAGCAGAGAAGTTTTCTTGCTGAGGTCAGAGAGATATGATGACAGAAGAAGGGTCAGGGAGATGTGAGGGGAGGACTTGACTAGCTAGTTGGCTTTGAAGATAGAGGAAGTAATCCAAGAACACATATAGCCTCTTGAAGCCAGAAAAGACAAGGAAACAAATTCTGTCCTGGAGCCTCCAGAAAGGAGTACAGCCCACCTGATGCCTTGATTTTAGCCCAGTGAGGCCTGTTGCAGATTTCTGACCTACATAACTGTAAAATAATACATTTGTTACAGTAGCAATAGAGAATGAATACACCACAGTAGCAATCTTTTGCAAAGACATGAAACTTAAGTCCACGTATTACATGTTTTGTACTAAAAAAATTAAAATGAAACATGCCAGGAAGGAATAAATGGCACCACATACTACACATTCATCTGAACCACAGATGAATTAGGTGCACAATATTCTAATTTTTATTCTATAAACAATTTGAGATGACTTAGTCCAGGTCTGAGGCTAAAGAAAACTTTTGAGCTATGGGCAAGAAAATCAAATCACTGCTATCACTCAAGGGCAATGCCAAATCTGTTTCAACTGGGACTTTCACACATAGATGCACACATGCACTGGGTGGTTTTCTTATTCCTGGTGAAAATGGATCTTTGGAAACTCTTGGCAAGAAATAGTTTGGCTCAAATTTCCAAAATTAAAAATATAGCCTAGGCTGGGCGTGGTGGCTCACAATTGTAATCCCAGTACTTTGGGAGACCGAAGCGGGGTGGATCTCCTGAGGTCTGCAGTTTGAGACCAGCCTGACCAACATGGTGAAATCCCATCTCTACTAAAAATACAAAATTAGCTGGGAATGGTGGCATATGCCTGTAATCCCAACTACTAGGGAGGCTGAGGCAGAAGAATCACTTGAACCTGGGAGGTGGAGTTTGCAGTGAGCCAAGATCATGCCATTGCCCTCCAGCCTGGGCAATAAGACGGCCTATGGCCTATACTACATTTCTAAAATTGTAGAGTTAAAGAAGTTTCAGACCTTTTTTTTTTTTTTTTTTTTTTTGAGACGGAGTCTTGCTCTTGTCGCCCAGCTGGTGTGCAATGGCAGGATCTCGGCTCACTGCAACCTACGTCTCCCAGGTTCAAGCCATTCTCCTGCCTCAGCCTCCTGAGTAGCTGGGATTACAGGTGCCCACCACCACGCCCGGTTAATTTTTGTATTTTTGGTAGAGACGGGGTTTTGCCATGTTGGCCAGGCTGGTCTTGAACTCCTGACCTCGTGATCTGCCTGCCTCGGCCTCCCAAAGTGCTGGGATTACAGGTGAGAGCCACTGTGACGGCCATTTTTTTCTGACTTAAATAACATTGTGCAGTTCACTTTTATTAATTAATAATGAGAGTATCAATTAAGAGCTACTAATCCATGTTTCCATGCTGCGGTGCAAGATAGTACTGAAAACATAATATGCCAACCTTAAAATATCAAAACTCTCTACAGAGCTCAGGGGTAGTTAGCCCACATATAAATCCATTTCAAAAGTTTCTATCCATTTTCTGAAGTACTTAAACTTTAGAATGGAGGTGGGTAAATAGCCTTTATTCTAGCTTATTTCAACTACATTGTGGTCGCTATGATACCGATTTTTTGAGACTTACTGAAACTTTATTACCCAGTACATTGTCCATTTTTGTAAGTGTTCCCTCTGTGTTTACTGGGGAATTGGATTATTTGTTAAGTAAAGGTTAGTATATGTGTCAAGTTTTCTACATTCTTACTTAATGTTTGATCTATTACTGAGAGTGGTATGTCAAAAAAATCTCTGAATGTGATTGTATATTTGTCTATTTTTCCGTGTAATTCTGTCATGTATATGTGTACATACACACACACACATATAGATTAGATAATTGCAGACTTAGAGTTGCTATATATTCCAGGTTAGTTTAAATGTTTAACATTACATATGAATACATTTATCCTTTATAATGCATTTTCTCCTTGAAAGTCCATTTAATCAGACAGCAATATAGCAAACTAGCTTTATTTTCATTGTATTTACCTAGTATTTCTTTTTCTATTATTTGATATTCAACCTTTCTGTGTCTTTATATTTTTGATGTGTCTTTCCTAAATGTGGTAGAGTCAGATTTTTTTCATCCTAAATGAAAATCAACTTTTTCATTGGTGCTTTTAACCTACTGACTTTTGATATATTTGACCTTATTTTCAACAATTCATTTCATGCTTTTTAAAATATGTGCTTTTACTATGATGTTTTTCCCTCCTTCTCTTCTTTCTTTTGGAGTTCAAGTGATGTATTTGTCAGGATAGACGCTGAACTGCTGTAACAAGGAGACTTTAAAATAAGTATCTTAACTAGGAGAAATGTTTATCCTCTCCCATGCGACAATTCAGAATAGGCTGGGGCTTGGGCACTGTGCCTTCAACAGTGGTGGGCGGCTCTGCTTCATGAGGTCATGCAGGGACCCAGGTTCGTGGATTGGCTCTGCCATCTTGTTTAGCTTTCATTCTTGGATCTCATGTGATCACTCCAGTTGCCATTTTCTAGCCAATGGGAAAGAAAATTTAGAGGAAAACAAGTAGCTTTCTTGTAAAATGGTTATCTGGTTGCATTCATCACTTCTACTTGCATCCCATGAGCAAAAACTTTGTTATAGGAACATACCTATCTGTAGCAGAAGCTGGGAAAGATGGTCTCTGGCTAGTAAGCCATGTGCTCCACTAAAATTCATGGTATTCCATTATTAAAAGGAGGAAAGGGAGAAAGCATCTTGCCAATAACACTCATTAGCTCTTGTTACTCTGTTCCTGTTCCACATGAATGTTGGTCCAGTAATATAGTTCTATCTTGCTCTTTAAAAAACACCCTATGATGAAATCATAGTTGTTGTCATTGTTTTCCAATTGATCATTGCTTAGATTTACCCACATTGTTGCTAATTTTTTGTATATCATTTTTTCTTGCCTCTTTGTCCCATCCTTTGGGTTCAATTTCACTATTCTTGAAGAATGTTGCATTAGCTATGCATCTGTTACTGCCTAACAAATTACTCCAAAACTTGATGAATTGAAACAGCATTTATTATCTCAGTTTCTGGAGGTTAGAATCTGGCATAGCTTCTCTGGATCCACTGTTTCAGGGTTTTTCTCATAGGCCACAATCAAGATATCACCTGGGGATGTGGTCATCTCAAAGCTCAAGTAAGAAAGGATCAGTTTCCTAGCTCACTCCAGTGACTGTTGACAGGATTCGGTTCTTAGACCATTGAAGGGAGGCCTCAGTTCCATTCTGGCTGTTGAGGCCACCCTCAGTTATACCTTTGTTTAGTGAGGGTCTGATGGCAATAAGCTCCATCAATTTTTATTGTTTTAAAAATATAGCCATGTACTGCATGATGACGTTTTGGTCAACAATGGTCCCATAAGCCTACCATTTTTAGCTCCTCTAATGGAGGTGAAAAATTTCAATCACCTAATGATGTAGCTGTCATCACTGTAGTGCAACACATTACTCACATTTTTGGTGATGCTGTTGTAAATAAACCTACTTCACCGACTTTTTATCACTATTTTAGAGTAGTTATAAAAAAGTTGTTTACTGTAAAACAACCTCAGTCAGGTCCTTCAGAAGGGATTCCAGAAGAAGATATTGTTATCATAGGAGATGACAGCTCCATGCATGTTATTGCACTTGAAGACCTTCCAGTGGGACAAGATGTGGAGGTGGCAAACAGTGATATTGAGGATCTTCTCCCAGTACAGGCCTAGGCTCATGTGTGTGTGTCTTAGTTTTTTTTTTGTTTTGTTTTTGTTTTTTTTTTCTGAGGCAGATTCTTGCTCTGTCGCCCAGGCTAGAGTGAAGTGGTGCAATCTTGGCTCACTGCAAGCTCCACCTCCTGGGTTCACGCCATTCTCCTGCCTCAGCCTCCCAAGTAGCTGGGACTACAGGTGCTTGCCACCACGCCTGGCTAATTTTTTTTATTTTTATTTTAGTAAAGACGGGGTTTCACCGTGTTAGCCAGGAAGGCCTTGATCTCCTTACCTCGTGATGCGCCTGCCTCAGCCTCCCGAAGTGCTGGGATTATAGGCATGAGCCACGGCACCCAGACCTGTGTCTTAGTTTTTAACAAAACAGTTTAAAAAGTAAACCAAAAAAAGTTTTAAAAATAGAAAAAAAGCTTATAGAATAAGAATATAGAGAAATAAAATATTTTTATACTACTGTACAATATGTCTGTGTTTTAACCTGAGTGTTATTACAAACAAGTCAAAAAGCTAGAAAAATTAAAAAAAGTATAAAGTAAAAATGTCACAGTAAGCTAAGGTTAATTTGTTATTGAAGAAAGAAAAACATTTTTTATAAATTTGTGTAGCCGAAGTGTACAGTGTTTATAAAGTCTGCAGTAATGTACCATAATATGCCAGGCCTTCACATTCACTCGCCACTGACTCACCCAGAACAACTTCTAGCCATGCAGGCTCTATTCACATTAAGTGACCTGGAAGGTGTACCATATTTAACTTTTTATACTGTATTTTTACTGTACCTTTTCTATATTTAGATATGTTTAAATACACAAATGCTAACTATTGTGTTATAATTACCTACAGTATTCAGTATAGTAACATGCTGAACAGGTTTGTAGCCTAGAATCTATATGCTATTCCATATAGCCTCGTGTTCAATAAGCTATATGATCTAGGTTTGTGTAAATACACTGTATGTTTGCACAAGACCAAATAGACTAATGACACATTTCACAGAATGTATCCTCCTCATTAAGTGGCTCAAGACTGTATTTTAATTTCAGCTTTATTCTAGTTCTTTCTTTCTGGGACTCCAAATAGAAGTAGACCATTTGATTTTGTCCCACAAGTCAATGATGCTAGTTTTTTTCTTTTTTCAGTCTTTTTGCTCTTTGTCTATCATTTTGAAAGTTTCTACTGCTGTGTTTTCAAGTTTAGTGACCTTTTTTTCCTGTGGTGTTCTTGGCTTTCATACATTTTTGTACATCTAGAAATTTAAAAACAATTCCAAATAACTCACTATCAAAGAATAAACAGAGTGGAAGTTTGAAAATATTTAAACTGAAGTCATAAAGATACTGAAATGTAAAGGAAATACATTTCAAACTCATTTGATGTAGCCAAACACACTATTTCAAGGGAATTTAAATTCTTAGAAACATTTAAATATTTTTTTAAAAAAACAAAATTAAAAATTGATGAGCTAAGTACCCAGCTCAAGAAGTTAGAAAAAAAAGCTGGGTGTAGTGGCACATGCCTGTAGTCCCAGCACACTACAGCCTCAAACTCTTGGGCTTAAGTGATCCTCCCTGCTCAGTTTCCCAAGCAGCTGGGACTACAGGTGTGCACCACAACATTCTGCTATTTTAATTTTTTTGTTTTTTTCAGAGAGACAGGGTTTCACTATGTTGCCCAGGCTAGTCTCGAACTCCTAGCCTCATGTGATCCTCCTGTCTCAGCCTCCCAAAGCTCTGGGATTTCAGACCTGAGCCACCATACCCAGACTCAGTTATATCCTTAATTCAAGTTTAGGAAACTCACCAATATCATTAGCTATATTTATAAATAGCCTTGGGGTGGAATGTCAATTTCTTGGGACAAAATCAACTTAGATCTAATCATATACTTAAAAAAAATTTCAGATAATGATATATTCTGAGTTTACTCCTAAATTATATAGATCATGTAGAACCTTAAGCATCTACTATTGAATACAGGGTTGAAAAAATATATACATAAACAATAATAAAATCATAGTGAGGGGTGAAGCCAGGTGGACTTCTGGGTCAGGTGGGGACTTGGAGAACTTTTCTGTCTAGCTAGAGGATTGTAAATGCACCCATCAGCACTGTGTAAAAACGCACCAATCAGCACTCTGTGTCTAGCTAAAGGATTGTAAATGCACCAATCAGCACTCTGTAAAAGCCCACCAATCAGTGCTTTGTGTCCAGCTAAAGGTTTGTTTGTTTGTTTGTTTTTTGAGATGGAGTCTCACTCTGTTGCCCAGGCTAGAGTGCAGTGGTGCGATCTCGGCTCACTGCAAGCTCCACCTCCCGGGTTCACGGCATTCCCCTGCCTCAGCCTCCCGAGTAGGTGGGACTACAGGCGCTTGCCACCATGCCAGGCTAGTTTTTTTTGTATTTTTAGTGGAGACGGGGTGTCACCGTGTTAGCCTGGATGGTCTCGCTCTCCTGACCTCGTGATCCACCTGCCTTGGCCTCCCAAAGTGCTGGGATTACAGGCATGAGCCACTGTGCCCTGTAGTAGCTAAAGGTTTATAAACGCACCTATCAGTACTCTGTAAAAACGGGCCAATCAGCACTCTGTAAAATGGACAAATCAGTGCTCTGTAAAATGGACCAATCAGCAGATTGTCTGATGATGAGATTTGTCTCATCATTTTTCTTGATTGACATCTGGTAACCACGAAGGGACCCTGAGTGAAGGTAGCCCGGCCTGCAGCAGCTCTCCTGTCTGTGCTTGGTACCAGCTTGGGCATATTATAGCCCAAACCGATAGGATGATTTGCTGAAGTCCAGGACCTCTCTCCTCCAGGGATCCCTGATCTTCCAGTGTTTTTCAATTTGGGGTCTGATGTTTATTTGCTGTTTAAAAAAACTCCTTTTTTGTGAGGAGTTTCCATTCACTTCCATCAAGGAAGGCAAGCCTGTCTGCTTCTGCATTGGCGGAAAGCAGTCTTCAGCTTGGGCCCCATCATTAGGTAAGAAACTGGTTTGGAATTCTGTCTTGCAAATTGTTTTTAAACAAATAAAGTTAGCACTAACAACTAGCTGTTGTTAATTTTTGCTTACACTTGGAGCATTCAGAAATCATGTAATTTGCGTGATCATTGCTAGTTTTGCTTAACTGTTTTGTTGTTTGTTTCTGTCTTGTTGGTTTTTTTTTGTGTGTGTTTTGGTCCTTTCCCTTATCGGATTTGACCAACTCCATACCCTCTAGCTCATGAGTGTGGAATCTTCCACTCTAAAGAAATAAAAGCACCTTGCTTCCTTCAGCCCTTTGGGGCATTCTCCGGCAACTGAGAATCACGTGAGGGTGTCTGGGAGGAATGCTCCCTAAGATGTGCAGCAGCTCTAAGTAGGTTTCCCCCTCAGAAGAACATATTTAGGGTCTAATCTCAGCAAACAGGCACATATAAGGAGCTGACCTTTCCTGCACCTTGAGCCCCTGACATGCTGTGCCAGGTAGCTCTGACACAGGTGGACTGAACCGGTTCTGGGGGTAATGACCCTGAAAAACTAGGTCTGCAAGCAGCACACTTTGTGTCCAACACATGTCCTGACTTGGCCAAATCTGAAGGGGAAATCTAAATTATTGGGAATGAGTCCTCTAAGTTAGCTAAAACCCCAGCAGCTGTGGACCATAGTTCCACCTTTAGAAACTCTGGCCAGGTATATGCAAAATACTTGTGGTGAATTGTCATGTAAATATTTAACCAAGTGGACCACTGTAACTAAAGCAGATTCTAAGTTACAGTGGCCTAAATGGGGATCTTTTGAGATGCACAAATTCGTGTACCTGTGAACCAGGATGGAAAACGCAGGCACAAAAACTAAACAACCAGAATGGGAGAGGTACTTTCAGTGGTACCTGGAGAGTAAAAGGGGAGAAGATCTCCTCATCTCCCTACAGAAGGCCAACAATCAATTTAGAAAAGATAATCAAGAACTCTCTAATTTTTTCTCTCTCTTAAAGAAACCCTGGGAATCCCTTACTTCCCCCTTGGCACCTCTCCCACCTCCACCAACACCCCAACTCTACCCTGATCTCTCTGAATTTCCCCAACCAGATCTGTACCCTCCTTCTCCTGCATGTTCAAATCTACCATCTTCTCCTCCTTGTCTACCACTGGCTCAAACGAAGACAGTAGAGAGTCTAACTTCAAAGACCCTACCTCCTGCTGATTCTCTGGTAGCCCCAGTGGCAGCCTCTCATTGGAAGATGTGGAGGAGAGGGACCTTGCAGGGACATTTCTCATGATCACCCTATTTCGGGAACCCTGGTGATTGTCTACCAACCTAGTCAAAAACTGAATTATGAGGCATAAAGAATTTCCTGGCTGGGCATGGTGGCTCACACCTGTAATTCCAGCACTTTGGGAGGTCAAGGTGGGTGGATCACGAGGTCAGGAGATCAAGACCATCCTGGCTAACACGGCAAAACCCTGTCTCTACTAAAAATACAAAAAATTAGCCGTGTGTGGTGGCATGCACCTGTTATCCCAACTACTCAGGAGGCTGAGGCAGGAGAATCACTTGAACCCGGGAGGTGGAGGTTGCAGTGAACTGAGATTGTGCCACTGCACTCCAGCCTGGGTGACAGAGCGAGACTCTGTCTGAAAAAAAAAAAAAAAAAGAATTTCCTGACCCCCATAAAGATCCAAGTGGGGTTGCATGAGAATTTGAGCTAATTATTAGAACCTATGACCCAGGTCTTTCAGACCTTTATCAGCTAGTCCACATGTTGGTCTCAGAAGCTAAAGCTAAGGAATGGCTGGAAAAATCACAGTGGTCAGACCCTATAGCAGATTTGACCCCTTCAGGCCCAACAGAGCCACAACAACGAGCCCCCCAAAATCCAGAAGACAGGCACAAAGATGCACGGAAATGAGCCACTGCTCTGTTAAATATCATTCCTTCAGTGTTCCAAAGGGTTGTGGATTGGAATAAAATCCAACAATGCTGCCAGAACCCAGTTGAATCAGTTTTAGATTATTTTACACATTTTGATAAAATGTTGAGACAATATTGCAGGATGTCACCTGATTGTTTTGAAAACAATAGAAATGGTACATTATTAAGCAAATTTCTTTCTTTCTTTCTTTCTTTTTTTTTTTGAGATGGAGTCTCAGTCTGTTGCCCAAGCTGGAGTGCAGTGGTGCTATCTTGGCTCACTGCAACCTCCGGCTTCCGGGTTCAAGCAATTCTCCTGTCTCTGCCTCCCAAGTAGCTGGAATTACAGGCATGCACCATCATGCCTGGCTAATTTTTGTATATTTTTTAGGTAGAGACGGGGTTTCACGATGTTGGCCAGGCTGGTCTTGAACTCCTGACCTCAGGTGATCCACCGGCCTCGGCCTCCCAAAGTACTAGGATTACAGTCATGAACCACCACACCCAGCCAAGTGCAAATTTCTTAAATGAACTACATAATGATTTAGCCACCCTTGTAAAATGCCACATGACAAATTGGGCCACGGCCAGAACTAATGAACTAGTTAACTTAGCTGACCAATTATCCCGCACTATGCTAAAAAAGGAAAAACAAAAGATTGCCCGAGTTATGCATTCACAGCTAAAGCAATTAACTTCTCAAACCTCTCAGGCCTGGAAAGACTTTAAGATGCCTCAGTTTGAGGACTCTTCCCACCCAGTCTGTTACTACTGTTAAGAGACCAGGACACCTTAAAAGAGGCTACCTTACATGGAAAGGAAAGAAAAGGCAGGTAAGTGCAACTCAGGAAGACTAGGGGTGCTCCAAGGAAGTTCAGGGGTTTCACCTCTTCAAATAGTCTACCCTGACAAAGAAATTGGGAGAGATTAATATAATAATAAACCATGAGCTTACAACTGCCTTAATTGATACAGGAGCAACTATATCTCTTATAAATCCCACCTTATTTAGAAACCCCATTCCTTGGGGTAATGAAAGAATTAACATGGTGGGTGTGTCTAATAAAACTATCTCATGTTTTAAGTCCAAACCTATACCTTACCATTTTGTTAGGTTCAGCTCCCCCACCACAGGCTCTAAGTGTGACATGCTCAGTCTGTCTTGAGTGTTTCTAATATGCCCTGAGGCCCCTGTCAATCTTTTGGGCCAGGATCTCCTCAACATCCATAATGCCCATATGGCATTATGGCATTATCTTTTTCATCAAAAAGTGAACTCTTTTAAGAACTGGAGCCAGGACACCAAAAATACCAAATTCAAAAATGTCCTGACAATATACCACAATTTAGTACTAGTAATGTTAAAACGTCACCTTGTGACCAGGAAAGTGAAATGGAGACAGAGAAGGAAATATTAGGGGAGAAGAGAAGACATTGGAATAAAGAGCAGGAAACAGTAAAACTCCTTTTGGCTTCCACAATCTTCCTGTTAACCCCAGAAGCAGAACACTTACTCCAGGATGTCCCCTGCCACTTATGGTCTCAGTCACATACAGATATAGAGAAAATATTCTCAGCCACTCCTCTAAAGGTAGAGATAAACCCAAAGAAACCCCTACCCAACCTTAAACAATATCCTCTATGACAAAAAACCATAGATTAAATTGCCCCTATCATATAAGATTATCTGAAAAAGGGGGCTCATTATTCCCTCCACAAGCCCCTGCAACAGCTCTGTTTCCTGTAAACAAAACAAAACAAAAGACAAGTGGGAGAGGATGGAGATTTGTACAGGACTTGAGGGTAATAAAAAATATCATAATACCCAGAGACCCAGTAGTCTCCAACCCCCATACCTATCGGGGGAACCCACCCCCGATAATTCATGTAGGTTCTTTTATATTTTCCCTAAGTGTCAGCTGGTCTGAGAAGTAAAGGGAAAGAGTACAAAAGAGAGAAATTTTAAAGCTGGGTGTCCGGGGGAGACATCACATGTCAGCAGGTTCCATGATGTCCTCTGAGCCATAAAATCAGCAAGTTTTTATTTGTGATTTTCAAAAGGGGAGAGGGTGTAAGAATAGGGTGTGGGTCACAGAGCTCACATGCTTCACAAGGTAATAAAATATCACAAGGCAAACAGAGGCAGGGCGAGATCACAGGACCGGGGTGAAATTAAAATTGCTAATGAAGTTTTGGGCACACATTGTCGTTGATAACATCTTATCAGGAAACAGGGTTTGAGAGCAGACAACCAGTCTGATCAAAATTCATTAGGTGGGAATTTCCTTGTCCTAACAAGCCTGGGAGTGCTACGGGAGACTGGGGCTTATTTCATCCCTTATCTACAATCGTAAAAGACAGCTGTCCCCAAAGCGGCCATTTTAGAGGCCTTCCCTTAGGGATGCATTCTCTTTCTCAGGGATGTTCCTTGCTGAGGAAAAGAATTCAGTGATATTTCTCCTATTTGCTTTTGAAAGAAGAGAAATATGGCTCTGTTCTGCCCAGCCCACAGGCAGCCAGACTTTAAGGTTATCTCCCTTGTTCCCTGAACATTGCTGTTATCCTGTTCTTAAGGTGCCCAGATTTGATATTGTTCAAACACACATGCTCTACAAACAATTTGTGCAGTTAAGGCAATTATCACAGGGTCCTGAGGCGACATACATCCTCCTCAGTTTACAAAGATGACAGGATTAAGAGATTAAAGACAGGCATAGGAAATAATAAGAGTATTGATTGGGGAAGTGATAAATGCCCATGAAATCTTCACAATTTATGTTCAGAGACTGCAGTAAAGACAGGCATAAGAAATTATAAAAGTATTAATTTGGGGAGCTAATAAATGTCCATGAAATCTTCACAATTTATGTTCTTCTGCCATGGCTTCAGCTGGTCCCTCCATTCGGGGTCCCTGACTTCCCACGACACATACCCTTCTATCAGCTCTACCTACCACCAGTCAGTATTTCTCAGTTGTGGATCTCTGCAGTGCTTTCTTTAGTACTCCTGTACATCTGGACAGCCAGTATTTGTTTGCCTTTACTTGGAAAAAATGGCAATATATGTGGACTGTAATCCCCCAAGAGTATACAGAAAGTCCTGTTTACTGTTCCCAAATATTAAAAGTTGATTTAGAGGATTAATTTTTCCCCAGGGCTCAACACTCATCCAGTATGTGGATGACCTTCTCCTTTGCTCAGACATACTCTCTTCCTCTCTGGAAGATAGTCTATATTTAGTCAGCCACCAAGGGACACAAAGTGTCTAAAGACAAACTGCAGCTATGCTTACTGCAACTTAAGTATTTGGGGCATATTATCTCAGTCAAAGGACTGAATATTAACCCTGATAGAGTGAGAGGAATTTTAGCTTTCCCAATGCCCACCACCAGGAAACAACTTAGAGGACTTTTGGGCCTGGCAGGCTATTGTAGAAACTGGATACCAAATTTCTCCCTTATACCTCAACCTCTGTATGCGTACCTAAAAATTGAACAACCTGATCCCATCATGTGGACTCCAGAGGGAAAATCAGATGTACAACAGATAAAGGAAATTCTAATGCCCCAGTCTTAGGGCACCCAAACTACAAATTGCCTTTCTCCCTTTTCATACGTGAATTCAGAGGTACTGCATCTAGGGTACTGACCCAGAAACTTGATGATCAGCAGAGACCTAGAGGCTATCATAGCCAACAGCTGGACCCTGTGGCTCAAGGGCTGCCTCCTTGTGTGAGAGCAATAGCAACCATGGCCCTTCTGTAAAAGTCTGTTGAAGAAACAAATATGGGTTCCCCCTTTAACATTTTTGTGCTGCATTCTCTTGAAACCCTTCTAAACTCTCATCATACTCAACATCTCTCTGTCAACTGGTTAGCCTCTTATGAAATTATTCTTTTATCATCTCCCAATATTACCATTTCCCACTGTAATAATCTTAACCTGGCCACTCTTGCTGGGCCCTTCCAACAAAACCCGTCATGACTGTGTTCTGGTAACTGACCTATTTCTCACACCCAGGACAGCCCTACAAGAGATGCCACTGGATAATGCTGAGACAGAATGGTATACAGATGGGTCTTATTTAAGAGGAAAGAATGGAAATTTTAGACCAGGATATGCTGTGGTTTCCTTACTAGAGGTAATTGAAGCCAGTCCTCTTCCCCAAGCCAGATCAGCTCAAGTGGCCAAATTGATTGTCCTGATCTGAACTTGTCAATTAGCAAAAGACAAGGCTGCAAACATTTATACTGACAGTGCTAGGCTTCTGGGGTTGCATATGACTTTGTGAGGCTATGGAAAGAGAGAGGATATTTTAACTTCCTCAGGGCAACTCATAAAAAATGGACAACAAGTATCAGAGCTGTTAGAAGCTATTCTAAAACCAAAACGTTGGCAGCTATAAAAATCCCAGGTCACTGTCAGACACCACAGAAAGTCGGGGTAACCAACTGGCTGATATCACAGTTAAAAGGGTAGCATTTGATCCACCAGCCCCAATTTGGGAAATGGCCATAAAACCTGAAACACTTAAAAACATGTTGAAAGAAACCCAGAACATAGCTCCTACAAAAGAGAAATCTACTTGGAAACAGGCAGGGGGATTTTTGTCTCCCGAAACTGAAATATGGTGTGGACCTAATAATAAACCCATTATTCCAATAGGATGTCAGGTGTCCCTTATGGAATATGTTCACAACCTAACCCACTGGAATCCTGATAAAATTATATCCTGGTATAAACAATATTACTGGAAACCATCCTTCACAGTGGCACAAAAAGCTTACTCTTGATGTGCTATTTGTCCCAAATATAATCCAGGAAAACCCCTCCATGGGGCCCAGGGTCATTTTCCCCTTCCGGCCAGACCTTTTGAGGTGTGGCAGCATGATTTTATCCAGCTGCCATCATCTGAAGGTTATCAGTGTTTTAGTAATGGTCTGCATGTTTTCCTATTGGGTTGAAGCTTTTCCCTGCAGGCAAGCAACAGCCACGTCAGTTGGAAAAATCCTACTAAAAAAAATGACTCCACTATGGGGAGTCCCCTGTGAACTTCGCAGTGATAGGGGAACTCACTTTACTGGCCAGATTTTTCAAAATATTTGTACAGTTTGGCCATATTTCAACATTTTCAGGGTGCCTACCATCCCCAGTCCTCAGGCCTGGTGGAGAGGACCAATGGAATAATTAAAACACAATTGGCTAAGTTCACAGAGGCATTTCACCTCCCCTGGCCCAAAGCACTCGCCCTAGTGCTGATTATACTGCAATCCACCCTTCTTGGAAAACATCAACCGTCCCCTTATGAAATTATAACTGGAAGGCCCATATGTATGGGAATGAAAATAACTAATCCAACTTTTCTCAAGGGAGATATATCACAATATTGGGAGGGATTCATTTATCATCTTAAAAAAGCCAAGATTTGGTAAAGAATTCCTTTCACAGTGTGCTCCCTGAAGATAAGGTGCCTGGTCAAGATCTGCAGCCTGGAGATTTGGTCTATTGAAAAAGACATTTAATAAGGGATTCTCTTCAACCTCGATGGAAAGGCCCATACTAGGTACTATTAACTAATCTACGTGCCACAAAATTAGAGGGTATAGCCTCATGGATTCACATCTCTCATCTTAAAAAGACACAAACTCCTGAGTGGACTGTAACTCCTATCAAAGACCTTCACCTCCAGTTCACTAAACATTGACCTTCAACCCAGCATAGAAGCAGATGACAGCTGTGTGGACTGTTTAACCCCAAGACACAGGACAAGGCCTGTAAACAAAAGAATGCCTATGTTTATTGTATAATAACCATGACAATTATTGTCCCAGAGCTACTGGCAACTGCTGTCTTACAAAGAACAGGACACTTGCCTTGTCTGATTTAACATCCTTTTAGTAGCTAAATGAATTTTACAACCTTGCTATTATTGACCCTATATCCCTACACCTTCTTGCCATTTTCACCCACTGACTCCAGTGAAACAAACCTGTTTCTACAATAGGCTCAGGAGTATGCAGACAGATTACAAAAGGACACCTGCTGGATATACAGACTCATGCCTCTTTCCAGTGGCTCTGGCCTGCCATGGTAGGTATCCTCCTTCCAAGGTTAGGACCAAAAATTTATTATATCACAGAAATGGTCTGGTATTCTTAGTGCTGGCATAAGAGAACAAGGAAGATGGGAAAAGTTTTTCAATGGAAAGGACCAGCTCATTAGCTCTCACTTTAGCATCCCCCACAACTAAAAAAAAAAAGGTGGTAATTATGCCCCAAACAACAGCCCATTTCAAAATGGAATAATGCAAATTTGGGATGAATTTCTCTGGCTCACCCCTTCATTTGGCCAACTCAGCCAAAATGCTGGGAGCAAAGAAACCACACCAAGGATTTATGGCCAGAAAGTATGAGAAATATGGGGTGGATACTGGGAGAATGCTGTGACCACATTATCATATTACAAGACATTGACTGGCATGCCACCGATTGGTTGTAGCAACTAGGTATTTATTGGCTAGCTCCAAATGGGACATATTGGCTGTGTGGTACTAACTTACGGCTGTGGTCACCTCCAGGGTGATTAGGAAAATGTTCCCCAGGTTACGCTTGAGAACAGGGGTGAATAATTCAGACCCTGCCAAAACCAGCAAGCCTTTTTCATTTACGATCTCACTGGACACGTTCAGTATTCCAGGGGCATGATCACTTGAAGATTGAAGCTAAGTATTGAAGACATTATATGGCCTATAGAGGCCTTAATGAATTACACCAAAAAGGCCCTAAATGATAGCCAGATGAGTATCCCGTTGCTAAATAATGAGGTCATGCTTTTGAGGAAAGCTGTGTTGCAAAACCATATGGCCTCAGATATACTCACAGCAGCACAGCGGGGGGCCTGCACCATCATAAAAGCTGAATGCTGTGTGTATATTCCACATGAATCGAAGAACATAACCTGACTTATGACTGATATGAAACCCCGGAAAACCAACCTGTCAGATCCAAAACCCTCACTAATCAATTGGTTGAGTGATTGGTTTGCATCCTGGGGAAGTTGGTGGCAGAAGCTGTTGCTTATAATAGGAATAATAATAATAATAATAATTTCTGTTCTGTCCTGTTTCTGCTTACAGTGTTGTTAAGGTATGTGCTTGCAAATAAGTCCACACACAACTGAAAGGGCTAGGGTAATGATTGCCCAGGGAATTGCTCTAATTGAGGAGGCAGTAATATAACCTGACCCACCTTCCAGGTTTGCTTCCTATTTGTTGCTATACATCTGGCCTAGGTCCATATATATATACATATATATGTGTGTGTGTGTGTATTTTTTTTTCTTTTCCTTCTTTTTTCCCATTTTTTTTTATCTTCATGGGACATAATGTCTTAGGAATGAGCCTTCATAGCAACGTGGGACCTGAACTTCTAGGAGTTAACCAACCTAGTGAGGAGAAACCAGCTCAAAAGAAAAGGAAGAAAAAACAACCCTAGGCCAGAAAGCTGTATTCCTTCTAAAATGCTTTCTCCAAAAGATTTTAAAGAAAAAGAAGGGAAAATGTGAAAGGAAATTAAATCTTGAGACCCCAAACTCATTAAGCCAAAGGGAAAAGTTAAGCTAGGAACTGGGTCATGCAAATCTGCGTCCCCCTTTTGGTTTGTAAATAAGATGGCTACAAGATGAAAAGCTACATGTCTCCTCCATATTTTGCCCACAAAGAAATTCCTAGTGAGCTGCAAGATCTTTTAAGGTATTTCTGTTAAAATTTCACCATGGCAATGTAAATGGATAGATTATCTTTACAGATGCAGTCACCCTGCTGCCCACCAAACACAAATGAATATCTCATTGTTCCCCTGCCCCATTTTGCCTATGCTATCTTACGTAAAAATGTAGATTTCCTGCATTTTTCCTCTGCTCCATTTGTCTCTGTCATCTTATATATAAAAAAAAGCAGATGCACTGAGCTAGACAAGGGTATGAATGACTATTTTTCCTTATCCCGCCATACATGAAAATTATGTACTTCTCAATATCCCACCTTTTCCCCTTTAAATTTGGAGCCTTCAAAATCATCTTCAGAGAAAGGCATAGAACTGTCTCCTGGGCGTGCATCCTTAACTTTGGCAAATCAATCTCCTAAAATGATTGAGAATTGTCTCATCATTTTTCTCGATTGACACCTTTATAAAAGGGTTGGAGGAAATTGGCATGTTTGCCCTTCTTGCAGCATGTGAGGACACAGCAACAGGACACCATCTTGGAAGCAGAGACTGGGCCTCTCTATCAGACATTAAACCAGTTGGCACCTGGGCGACCCAGTATCCAGAACTGTGAGAAAATAAATTCCTGTTCTTTACACATTACCCAGTCTGTGTGTTATTCTGTTATAGCATCATAAACAGAATAAGACAAAAGTCTTCAAACAATGAATGGATTTTGAAAGGAGTAAAAGATGGGCTGGGCATGGTGGCTCATGCCTGTAGTCCCGGCACTTTGGAAGGCTGAGGTGGGCAGATTGCTTGAGCTCAGGAGTTCCAGACTAGCCTGGGCAACATGGCAAAACCCCATCTCTAAGGAAAAAAAGAAAAAAAAAGGGATGGAGGGGTGGGAGTTTTATAGACAAAGAAATACATAAGCAAACAGATAAGCAAAAGCACGTCCTCAGTAATTCCATGTTGCTTTATCTGTATTCATGATCATGTTTACAAATCCATTCTGGAATTCTGCTGACTACTGATATTTGCAATTTTTGGCATTACTTCTCATCCACCTTAGAAAACCTGGAGAACATTTTTTCTATCTTTAATCTTCATATACATGCTTAATGAATTCTGATGATTATTAATGGAAATTTCATAACATCAATTTATTCACCAATATTTATTAGACCCTTGATATGTTCAAGACCCTGTAGCTGGTGCTGTCGGAGTCACTAAGATGAACTATATAAATAACTACTCTATGTGTACGAATAACTACCCTACAAAGCAGAAAGCTATCAAGTGCCTTAAGGGAGTTGAAACTGTATTTGCTACAGGAGGGCTGAGAGAAGACAGAACATCTACGATTTTTTTTCTTTTCAATTCTCTTCCTACAACTAATTCATCCGACCTTGGAAGTTTGGTCTTACTAAAAACAAAAGTTAGCTGTTCTTTTACAACCTCCTCTTCAAGATTACTTGTCAGGGTTTGCTGTGCCCTTCGCAGCTTGAAAGACTTTCTCTTCATCCAACGATTTGAGGCAATTAGGAGCCACTGCCTTCTCTCTGCCATTGGGTTCCAGAAAGCACCATACATTGTCCGCAGATACTTTACTCATGCTTACACTTTCTTGTTCTGAATCTTCAAAAATTAGTGGCGTGTGGTGGCACACGCCTGTAGTCCTAGCTACTCGGGAGGCTGAGGCAGGAGAATCACTTGAACCTGGGAGGCGGAGGTTGCAGTGAGCCGAGATTTCGCCACTGCACTACAGCCTGGGCAGAATAGAGAGACCCCATGTCAAAAAAAGAAAAAAAAAGTATCTGATTGTGTTTAGCATATCTGCAATATCCCCTTGACTTTGGCCTTTAGCCTCTTTATGAGTACCCTGATGGAGGAAGGCCCAGGAAGCGGTAGCCTTCCTGGTTTGTGACGCACGGTGTGCATTGCGTATTAGATTAACATCAGAATGGCCCTGAAGGCTGGAACATCTTATCTGTGTTTGAGAGTTATGGAAACTCTGATCCTCCATGAGAATAATTTTTCCAAGGTCTCAGATCTCTAAAGCAGTAGATCTTGGATCTGAACATTGCTATTTCTGACCTTAAAGCCCATGCATTTCCCACAACATATGAACCATGATAAGGTGTATTTTAAAGTTCATCTTTTCTGTTTTTTGTGAAAGTCTTTTAGAGATCTCAGCTCATCACAAAGTTTCCGGTTCAGTCTCGTGGGTTTCATGTACTCAGCCAGCATTTACTTGCCAGTCAAGGTCTAGGATGGCTACCTGTCCTCTGCAGGAGCCCCAAGCCTATTCATTAATTTCATTTACAATTTTATAGTCATAATTATTTCTTTGTATAATAGCATTCTGAGATTTTCCAAAATTTCCCACTGTTTTTGTTTTACAGTGGGCAGAATTCACTTTGCTCTAACTTGACTCCAAGATGACACAATTTCCCAGTTTTTTTTTTAACGGCTAGGGGATGGGGGTATGCGGAACAGAACACAGTGGTCTAGCTAACCGATTTCCGCTAGACGTCCAGCTATCTTTCAAAATATTTTGTTTCTGCACGGCAACTTCAGCCGCTAAAAAAGCATCCAGCTTACAACGGAACCTGGAGGGTTGGTAAAGGCCCCCTGCGCTGGCCCCGCCCCATGGGACCGGGCGGCGTGGGCGTGAGAGGCGGGGCGGGGCCGCGCTCTGCTTGCCAATGTCTTTATAGGTCACCCGGAAGGCACGCGGAACCTCGGCGCGGTGCTTCCAGCAGGGTCTCTCCGCCACTCCAGCCCCGCGCCCCTCGCCGCGGCCCTCGGGCGTCTGCGCCGCAGCTGCCGCCCCCGCCTCTTTGGAGTCTCTCGCGGCCTCAAAGCGCGGCCTGCGTCGCTTCCGGCAGTTCCCGACCGCGGGCGATGGCTGCCGCTGGGGGCGCCCGGCTGCTGCGCGCCGCTTCTGCTGTCCTCGGCGGCCCGGCCGGCCGGTGGCTGCACCACGCTGGGTCCCGCGCTGGATCCAGCGGCCTGCTGAGGAACCGGGGGCCGGGCGGGAGCGCGGAGGCGAGCCGGTCGCTGAGCGTGTCGGCGCGGGCCCGGAGCAGGTAGGGCGCCGTGCGGGCGCGATCGCCGGCGCGGGCCGGGGTCCCCGGTGGGTGGCGCCTGGCTCTCTGGGCCGAGTCTCTGGTTCCAGTGCCTTCTGCGCGCCGGGCCCACACCCCGGAGGCCTGCCTCTCGCCCCCCTCTTCTGGGGTGCTCTCGCGGCTCCGTCTCGCTGCTCGGTGGCGTCGCTGCCTCCCTTCCGTCGCACCGCAGAGTTCCTTTCCGCATCACCCACTCCCGGCGGGAATCGGGGACCCTGGACGCCCAGCTCCCTTTCCCAGCGCTTCCCGTGCCCTGAGGAAAGCCGGGACTTTGCTGCTGCTTGTTCTCCGTGTGATTTGTCTGGGATCTGACCTTTGCTCTGCCCGAAACTGGCAGTGACCTTCGCGACAGGCTTCCCTCCTGCTGTCCTGGCCTGACACACCTGCCAGCTGTTTTTTTCAGGGCCTTGCCCTGCTTTGAGAGGACACCCAGGTCCCAGGTCTTTGTCAGGGGGTGTCCAGGTAGAATACACCCAGCCCATACCCTCTGCTGCCCTGTAGGCCCTTTGCTAGTTGCTCAAGTGTTGAAAGCCCCTGCGTTGAAGTAATCTGCCGGGACTTGAAACTTGGCTTTGGCACTGATTGTCTGACGTGCCTAACTTGGTCAGTCCTTAGGAACCCAGTTTCTCCATTTGCAAGTTGGATATAATAACAGTGTAGACCTCCTATGGTTAATTGAAGAATCAATGAGTTAATACAGCGATACAGGTAGTCTTGTGCCTAGCACGTAATGAGGGCTCAGTAGATGCCACTTGGTAGCAGCAGCAGCAGCAGCAGCAGCAGCAGCAGCAGCTTCTTAGGTTCACAATGTTAAGAGAGTTTTGTATTAAATATTGAAAGAAATGTGACAATTTATCCCAAATGTGTTGAAGTTTTAGGTTCTTGGGCATATTTGTTTTTCAAAGACACTCCTTAGATATACTAGAGATACAATTTACACATAATTTTTACCAACATGGTGGCGATTTATATAATGCAGATCTCTCGACAGCTCTTTGACCGCATGATGTAGGGTAGCAGGAATCGAGAACTAGAGGGAGAGTGTGTTGGATTTGTACGCTGCTTTGTCTAGTTTCTTTTTGAGGTCTCTGAGAGCAGGGTCTAAGACTTTCAGTCATCTTTTCCCCACTAATCCCGTTATCTAGTGGGTGCTCCATACATTTTTGTTGTGTGAACTTTGGGGGAAATCAGGGAGAAGGCAAGCCAGATTTATTTGTTCCTGTTTCCTCTGCACTTCCCCCCCTGTCTTTGACCAGTGTGGGTACCTTGCTTTCTGTTATACAATGGATGAGTTTTGGACAACTGAATCAATTGGGACAGATATTGAACATGCTTGTGTAACTGGTATAAGGGAACATGAATGTTTTTGTAGTAATTGGGAGTTATCTTTCTCAGATTTGTTTTTTGGATTTGGATATGTCAGGTTGTTTTAAAGGGGAGCACGTCTATTTCCTCATAATCCTGCTGCCCTCTTTATTGGCACAATTTCTATTCATGGTCTTATCATTCCTCTTACAGACTTTGGAGCTACAACTGGATTTTCCAGTTCTTACTGTGTTAATGAGACTTGTGCTGTAACTACCGTAACTACTAATCACATGTGGCTATTGAAGTTTAACATAATTAAAGGTAAATAAAATTAAAGATTCAATCTCGTAGTTACACTAGCCACATTTCGAGTTCTCAGTAGCCACATGTGGCTAGTGGCTACTGTATTGGACATTGCAAGTATGTGTAGAACATCTTTGTTATGGCACAAAGTTCTTATAGACAGACAGAGCAGTTCTAGAAACTGTAGTTCTGTCTTTGAAGTTTAACAACTCGATAAGCTATCAGTAATTGAGAGTCAGAAAAACTCCTTTTACTCTAAAATACCGTGACACAAGGGGGTTTGCAGTGATTCAGGTAGCAAAGATCTTTCACGTGTATTGTTTCGTATGACTCTTAAGACAATTCTATGAGGTAGGGAGGGTAGATAAATGGGAATAAAAATTTCATATTAAGTAGCTGGCAAAACTAGGACTAGAACTCAAGAAGTTTTTGCGGATTTTAAAAAAATTTTAAATTTCTATTTATTTTTAAAATTTCAGTAGTTTTGGGGGCACAGGTGGTGTTTGGTTAATGGGTTAGTTCTTTAGTGGTGATTTTGGAGGTGTTGGTGTACTCTTCACCTGAGTGCAGTGGTGCCATCATGGCTCACTGCAGCCTACACCTCCCAGGTTCAAGCGATTCTCGTGCCTCAGCCACCCGAATATCTGGGATTACAGGCGCGTGCCACCACACTCGGCTAAGTTTTGTAGTTTTAGTAGAGATGAGATTTCACTATGTTGACCAGCCTGGTCTGGAACCCCTGGCCTCAAGTAATCTGCCTGCTTCAGCCTCCCAAAGTATTGGGATTACAGGCGTGAGTGACCACTCCCAGCATAGGGTCTACATCTTCTGACTCTTAGGTTCCATACTCTTTCAACTTAAGAATTACATTTTTCTTTCGTTTCCGCCTCCTCTCCTCTTCTTTGGTAAACCTGTTAATACTCTTACTTGGCAGTTTTTTGTAGGGCTGTTTACCTTTAATACAGACCAACAGGTTGGGCTTCTTAGCAAAAGGGCTTGGTCTTTAAATAACAGTTATTAATCAGTGTGTGTTGAATTCTACTATGTGTTACGTATTTTGCATACATTGTCAGAACTATAAGATTAATGTTGTCCAATTTTATAGAAGAGGAGGCTGATGTAAGAGATTTCGAATTCCTTTGCTGTAAGCTTAGCTCTAGAGTGCTTCAGAAGAACAGCAACGCTGAAACCTCTGGCTTTCAGTAGTGTGTATAAATGATGGAATTCTTTCTAATGTGCTTCCTGTAGCTTTAGCTACCAGGCATTCGTTGATGTCAAATCTCTAGACTTCTCTGCTGGGCTCAGACCCATACCCATATTGCCATCTGGTGTTTGGACATTCTCATCTGGCTTTTTCATTATTAAATTCAGCAGGTCTAAGCTTCAACTTATTTCTGTCTTCCCCAAAGTTCCTTTGGTTCCTGTCTTAAACCTAGGTTAAATGGTACCACCTAATTGTGTGAGCTGGAAATCCCAATGTTTTTCTTTCCGCTTTTCAGTTTATCTTATGTAGATGGTCACTAAAACCTTTTGGTCTACCTCCTGGATGTCTGTTAAGTCACTGCATTCTCTGTCCCTGATTAGTTTATGCTGTTTTGATAACCTCCAAAGTGGCCTCCCTGCCTCTAGGGTATTTTCATTCTCAGCCATTGTACTTTGAAAAAAATGGCAGTTATTCATGTTGAAAATTATGAATAATATGTGGGAATACTAGTTTTAAAGCATGTTTTGGCTGTGAAAAGAAGTTGGAGAGCGCAGGCCCTTTTGAGGAACATTCTGGTACACACACACACACCCTTTTGATGAGTTTTAATGAATAGAATCCTGTTTTTTTTCCCAGTGTTATAATATTAGGGAGGGCATTATCCCAGTGGGGCTTCAGTTGCCTCATTTGTGAAATGGGATCACTGGACTTGATAACTTTCGAGATAGTTATGGCTCTGAAATTATTTAATTCTGAGTTTTACTTAAAGATTTGTTTGATGGGCTATTGCCATCTACTGGTAGTAATAAGAATAACAACTCATTATTTTAAGTTGAAGAGAATCTTTTCAAGTGTGAGGTAAAAATTAAAATGACCAATGGTGGAGGAATAAGGATCTAGTTTTTAGTATAATGGCTTCTCAAATTTTGGAGGGATGTTTGTGAGAAGTGAAGGAAATTTAAGTCAGCTAGCTGATAGTTAACATACTATCTTAAAAAAACATGTAAGGAGGTATTTATCTTACAGATTCAAACAAATAAACTTTTTCTAGTCCCTTTGATTTGTAAGTATACAATGTGGACTGAAATGAGATGTCAAATACGCAGAAAACTACTAAACAACATCTCTCAGCAGTAGTATTCTATGTAGCACTGGAAAAGCAATCGCCCTATTGATTTTTTTTTTTTTTTTTTTGGAGACAGAGTTTCACTCTGCCACCCGGGCTGGAGTGCAGTGGTTTGATCTCGGCTCACTGCAACCTCTGCCTTCCGGGTTCAAGCGATTCTCCTGCCTCAGCCTCCCGAGTAGCTGGGATTACAGGCATGTACCACCATGCCTAATTTTTGTATTTTTAGTAGAGACGGGGTTTCGCCATGTTGGCCAGGCTGGTCTTGAACTTCTGACCTCAGGTAATCCGCCCGCCTTGGCCTCCCAAAGTGTTGGAATTACAGGCGTGAGTCACCATGCTCGGCCATGATTTGCTTTTTAGAAGCTCACTACAACCCTGGTCTAGTCTTTTATGGACACATTCATGTTTTTCAGAGAGCTGTGTGATGACTTTTTTTGTTTTTTTTTTTTTTTTTTTTTTTGAGACAGGGCCTTGAGCTGTTGCCCAGGTTAGAGTGCAATGGTGTAATCACGGCTCACTGCAGCCCTGAACTTCTGGGATCGGGTGATCCACCTCAGCCCCATGAGTAGCTGGTACTATGGGCAAATACCACCATGCCTTTTATTTTTCATACACCTACAACCATCTCATTTTTATTTTTATTTTTTGTAGCAATAGGGTCTCTCTGTGTTGCTCAGGCTGGTCTCAAACTCCTGGGCTCAAGCAGTCCCCTGCCTCGGCCTCCCAAAGTGCTAGGAGTACAGGTATGAGCCACCACACTTGGCCTTTTCTTTTTTAAATGACAGGGTCTTGCTGTGTTGCCCAGGCTGGAGTGCAGTGGTGCAATCATATCCCATTGCAGCCTCTTCCTCCTCCTGGGCTCAAGGGATCCTCCCGTTTCAGCCTCCCAATTAGCTGGGACTACAGATCACATCACCACACCTGGCTAATTATTTTATTTTTTGTAAAGATGGGATCTTGCCATGTTGCCCAGGCTGGTCTCAAACTTCTGGCGTCAAACAATCTTCCCACTTCAGCTTCTCGAAGTACTGGGGTTACAGGTGCAAGCTACTGCACTGGCTTGTATGAGAGTAAAATAGAGTTCATGAGTGATAATAATTGCCAAATGTTTTATAACTGTGACTATTAGGGAGACATATACTGAGGCCACCAGGTGGCGTTGACCAGGTAGTCATTGCCATTTCCTGTAAGGTAGTAGAGCTTATTACCTGGTAGGTGGGTAGATATATATGCCTTTGATTTCCAAATAAGCTTTGGAAAGAAAAGAAAATACCTTCGGCTAGGCATGGTGGCTCAGGCCTGTAATCTCAGAGTTTTAGGAGGCCAAGTTGAGAAGATGGCTTGAGGCCAGGAATTTGAGACCAGCTTGAGCAACATGGTGGCACCCCGTCACTACAAAAAATAAAAATAAAAAAAATTAGCCAGGCGTGGTGCTGGGCACCTGTATTCCCATCTACTCTGGAGGCCTTATAGGCTTTTAAACCAATTATTTTAAATTATGTTTTGAAATTACTAAAAATACTAAAGGACTGTTTTTTTTTCCAGCTCAGAAGATAAAATAACAGTCCACTTTATAAACCGTGATGGTGAAACATTAACAACCAAAGGAAAAGTTGGTGATTCTCTGCTAGATGTTGTGGTTGAAAATAATCTAGATATTGATGGCTTTGGTGAGTATGAAACATTTCTTAAAATGCATAAGTGAAACTGTTAGGTTTCAAATTTTTATTTTGTGGTTTTTTTTTTTGAAGAAGTTTAACCTATAGCATGCTATGTAAAATATTAACATTCAGGATGTGTTAGTGTTATATTCTTGTTTATAAAGAATAATAGAGTGACACCATTGTTCTGTTCTTTGTACATTTAAATAAGTCATGGCCAGAAATCTGCTGTGGCCTCATTACCTTACTGTTTATATGTGTGATACAAAGCCGACGGTAGGGAGTAGAGTTAAAAGATACCAGGTTAGAGAGAATAAATGTCATAGCACAGAGGGGTACTTAAATATCTTGAATGTCAGCTCACCTTCCTAGGAAAGGTAACTTATCCTAGAAAGTGATTTATTTAGAAAGTTTTCATTTTTAGACTTCTGACCATATGCCTTAACTACACGTGCAAAGCCTGTGTTCCTGCAACTGCCCTTTTACACTTCCTCAGGCGTACCCTGTATATGACCTGTCAGTTTTGTTCAAGCAATGCATGTTTAGATTAGCAGTTCTCAGAGGGTTTCCTTGACCGTTAGCATTAGTGTCACCTGGGAAATGCAGATTCTCAGACACTCCTCCCCCACCCACCGCCCCCACCCCCGCCCCAGACTTACTGAGTCACAAAGTCTGGGGTAGGTCCAGCATTGCATGTTGTAACAGCTGTCTGTGTGATTTTGATGCATGTTCAAGTTTGAGAACCACTGGTCTGGAATAAGGTTCAAGGAGCGTATCTGACTCTGCTTCTTTCAAGGCACTGTTCACATTATCCTTTAAAGAACCATTTCTAGATCAGAATTAATTTATCTCTCTTCTGTTTTCCCATGATATATTAAATCTACCTCTCTTTGTTAATGCTTATAACAGTTTTCCTTTTTAGAGAGAATGGCTATCTTTCTTATTAGATTATTAGTTTTTGAAAGACTGTACTCCATGAGGTTACCTGAGTCACCTCATGGAGTAGGCTTTGTCCAGAGTTGGCACTCAATAATATTTGCTGAATATCTTTTTAAAAATTTTTTGAGACAGGATCTTGCTCTGTCACCCAGGCTGAAGTGCGGTCGTGCAATCACAGTTCACTGCAGCCTCGACCTCCTGGACTCAAGTGATCCTCCTGACTCCGCCTCCTGAGTAGCTGGGACTGCAGGTGCACCATCACACCTGGCTGAATTTTGTATTTTTTGTAGAGACAGTGTTTTGCCACATTGCCCAGCCTGGTCTTGAACTCCTGGGCTCAAGAGATCTTCCTGCCTTGGCCTCCCAAAGTGCTGGCATTACAGGCGTGAGCCACCATGCCCAGCCTTGAATACTGAATCTAAGTATTTTTTGCTAGTTTTAAAATAATTATAACAACTAGAATTTGAGTGTATACTATATTCTAGCATATGTTAAATGAAGTAGATTTTTTTTTTAACTCTCCATTTGATAGTTGAAGAAACTTGAGTCTCATGGAAATTAAGTTTCCCTGGTTATACATGCAGCAAGTGAGAGGGCTAAGACTCAAACCTGTCTTGAAGTCAAGATGGTATATCTCATTGTGGTTTTGATTTGTATTTCTCTGGTGATTAGTGATGTTGAACATTTTTCCGTATGTTTGTTGGCCGCTTTTATGTCTGTGTCTTCTTTTGAGAGGTGTCTGTTCATGTCTTTTTATTTTCCAACTTTTATTTAGATTCAGGGAGTACATGTGCAGGTTTGTTAAATGGATGTATCATGTGATGCTGAAGTCTGGAGTATGAGTGATCCTGTCACCTAGGCAGTAGGCTTAGAAACCAATAGGTAGTTTTCCTCCTTGCCCCTCTCCCTTCCCCCTCTGGTAGTGCCCAGTATCTACTGTTCCCAACTTTATGTCCATGGGACCCAGTATTTAGCTTGCACTTATAAGTGAGAACACTTTGCTTTTCTGGTTCTGTGTTAATTTACTCGGGATAATGGCCTTGAGCTGTATCCATGTTGCTGGAAAGGACATAGTTTTATTCTTTTTATGGCTGCATATTCCGTGGTATATGTGTATTACATTTTCTTTATCCAATCCACCATTGACAGGCACCCAGACTGATTCCATATGTTTGCTATTATGAATAGTGCTGAGGTAAACATACGAGAGCATGTGTCTTTTGGTAGAATTATTTGTTTTCTCTTGGGTATGTACCCAGTACTGGGATTGCTTGGTTGAATGGTAGTTCCATTTTTAGTTCTTTGAGAAATCTCCAAACTGCTTTCCACAGCAGCTTAACTAATTTACATTCCCACCAGGACTGTCTTAAGTGTTTCCTTTTCTCCGCAGCCTTGCCAACATCTGTAATTTTTTGACTTTTTAATGATATTCTTTATGACTGGTGCAAGATGGTATCTCATTGTGGTTTTGATTTGCAGAGTGGAGTATTTTTTCATGTTTCATGTTTGTTGACCACTTGTATGTCTTCTTTTTTAAATATTTATTTATTTATTTTTGACACAAAGTCTCACTGTCACCCAGGCTGGAGTGCAGTGGCGCAGTCTGGGCTCACTGCAACCTTCGCCTCCCAAGTTCAAGCGATTCTCCTGCCTCAGTCTCCTGAGTAGCTGGAATTATAAAGGTGTGCCACCACGGCTAGCAAATTTTTATATTTTTAGTAGTTTTATATTTTTATAATTTTATGATTATTTTCAAATTTTATATTTTTAGTTTTGCCGCATTGACCAGGCTGGTCTTGAATTCCTGACCTCAAGTGATCTGCCTACTTCGGCCTCCCAAAGTGCTGGGATTACAGGCGTGAGCCACCATGCCTGACTTCTGCCCGCTTTTTAATGAAGTTATTTGTTTTTTGCTTGTTGATCTGTTTAAGTTCCCTATTGATTCTGGATATTAGACCTTTGTTGGATTCATAGTTTGTGAATATTTTCTCTCATTCTGTAGGGTGTTTACTTTGTTTTTTTGTTTGTTTTTTGAGACGGAGTCTTGTTCTGTCGCCCAGGCTAGAGTGCAATGATGTGATCTCGGCTTGCTGATTCACCTCCACCTCCTGGGTTCAAGTGATTCTCCTGCCTCAGCCTCTTGAGTAGCTGGGATTACAGGCACTCACTACCACGCCCAGCTAATTTTTGTATTTTTAGTAGAGATAGGGTTTCACCATGTTGGCCAGGCTGGTCTGGAACTCCTGATCTCAAATGATCTGCCCACCTTGGCCTCCCAAGTACTGGGATTACAGGTGTCAGCCACCATGCCTGCTCTGCCCACTTCCCCCCAACCCCGAGACGGAGTCTCACTCTGTTGTCCAGGTTGGAGTGCAGTGCTACTGTCTTAGCTCACTGCACCCTTCACCTCCTGGGTTAAAGCAATTCTCCTACCTCAGCTTCCCGAGTACCTGGGATTACAGGTGCATGCTACCATGCCCGGCTAATTTTTTTGTATTTTTAGTAGAGATGGGGTTTCCCATGTTGGCCAGGCTAGTCTCGAACTCCTGACCTCATGATCTGCCCGATTTGGCCTCCCAAAGTGCTGGGATTACAGGTGTGAGCCACCACACCCGGCCCTCTGCCCACTTTTTAATGAGGTTATTTGTTTTTTGCTTGTTGATCTGTTTAAGTTCCCTATAGATTCTGGATATTAGACCTTTGTTGGATGCATAGATTGTGAATATTTTTTCTCATTTTCTAGGGTGTTTACTTTGTTGATAGTTTCTTTAATGTGTCGAAGCTCTTTAATCAGGTCCCATTTGTCAATTTTTGTTTTTGTTGCAATTGATTTTGAGGACTTAGTCATAAAAATTCTTTGCCGAGGCCAATTTCCAGGAGAGCATTTCTGAGGTTTTCTTCTAGGACTTTTGTAGCTTTAGATCTTACATTTAAGTCTTTAATCTATTTTGAGTTAAATTTTGTATACAGTGATAGGTAGGGGTCTAGTTTCATTTTTCTGCATATAATAGCCATCAATCCCAGCACTGTTTACTGAATAGGGAGTTCTTTCCTCATTGCTTATTTTTGTTGACTTTGTGAAAGATCAGATTTTCTAGATGTATGGCTTTATTTTTCGGGTCTCTATTCTGTTCCTTTGGTCTGTGTGTCTAGGTTTTCTAGGTTGTGTGCATAGGGGTGCTGATAATAGTCTCTAGGATCTTTGTATCTTTATGGGATTGGTTGTAATGCCATCTTTGTCATTTCTAATTATTCTTATTTGGATCATCTCTTTTTTTTTCTTTGTTAATCTAGCTAGTGGTCTATCCATTTTGTTTATTCTTTCAGAAAAGCAACTTTTGGTTTTGTTGATCCTTTGTATAGATTTTTGGGTCTCGATTTTGTTCAGTTCTGCTTTGAGTTTGTTATTTCTTCTGCTAGCTTTGGGTTTTTTGTTTTTCAAGTTCTTCTAGGTTAATTTTAGATTGTTAATTTGAGATCTTTCTAACTCCTCAATATAGGCGGTCAGTGCTCTAAACTTCATCTTAGCACTACTTTTGCTGCATCCCAGAGATTTTGGTATCTGTGTCTCTGCTTTTATTTATTTCAAAGAATTTTTTGATTTCTGCCATATGGTGGAGCCACTTTAGCTGGTAGAAATATTTTCTGATCTTTGACAGAATGGGTAAACCATGCTATTGTTTGTGTGCATTGGAAGTTGTGGCTGTTGTGCTGTTGAAAAAATTTAAATCTTAATATCTCATAACAGTGTTAACTAAACTTTCATTTAGTGATGGTGTGGTACTGAAATATGTCCCAAATCAATAACATTGGAATGGATGCTAAACATGATCTAACACAAAAAAAGGCTAAACAATCAGCCTGACGTTTGGTGCTGTTAATTTAGGTGTAGATACTGTAAAGACAAAAGTACTTAGAAAATAGGATTTTAAAAAGACATTACGGTAGGAATATTTTTAAGCTCACAAAAAAATCACTTGGTGAAGGGTAATGGAAAACAATACTGGTGGTCTGGCTGTGTCCACACCCAAATCTCATCTTGAATTCCCACCTGTTATAGGAGGGACCCAGTGGGAGGTAATTGAATCCTGGGGGCAGGTCTTTCTTATGCTGTTCTTGTGACAGTGAATAAATCTCACAAGATCTGACAATTTTATAAGAGGGAGTTTCCCTGCACAAGCTCTCTGCATGCCTGCTGCCATCCATGTAAGATATGACTTGCTTCTTCTTGCCTTCTGCCAGTATTGTGAGGCTTCCTCAGCCACATGGAACTGTAAGTCCATTAAACACTTTTTCCTGTATAAATTACCCAGTTTCGGATATGTCTTTGTCAGCAGTGTGAAAATGGACTAATAAAGCAAATTGGTACGAGGAGTAGGGTGCTGCTGAAAAGATACCCCAAATGTGGAAGCAACTTTGGAACCAGGTAACAGGCAGACATTGGAACAGTTTGGAGGGCTCAGGAGAAGATAGGAAAATATGGGAAAGTTTGGAACTCCCTAGAGACTTGTGGAATGGCTTTGGCCAAAATGCTGATAACGATATGGACAATGAAATTCAGGCTGAGGTGGTCTCAGATGGAGACGAGGAACTTGTTGGGAATTGGAGTAAAGGTGACTCTTGCTATGTTTTAGCAAAGAGACTAGCGCATTTTGCCCCTGCCCTAGAGATTTGTGGAACTTTGAACTTAAGAGATGATACTTAGGGTATCTGGCAGAAGAAATTTCTAAGCAGCAAATCATTCAAGAGGTGACTTGGGTGCTGTTAAAGGCATTCAGTTTTAAAAGGAAACAGCATAAAAAAGTTTGGAAAATTTGCAGCCTGACAATGTGATAGAAAAGAAAACCCCATTTTCTGGGGAAAAATTCAAGCTGGCTGCAGAAATTTGGGTAAGGAATGAGGAGCTGAAAGTTAATCCCTGAGATACTGGGGAAAATGTCTCCAGGGCATGTCAGAGATCTTCATGGCAGCCCCTCCCATCACAGGCCTGGAAGCCTAGGAGGAAAAAGTGGTTTTGTGGGCTGGGCCCAGGGCCCCCTTGCTGTGTACAGCCTAGGGACTTGGTGCTCTGTGTCCCAGCTGTCCCAGCTGTGGCTGAAAGGGGCCAATGTAGAGCTAGGGCCGTGGCTTCAGAGTGTGCAAACCTCAAGCCTTGGCAGCTTCCATGTGGTATTGAGCCTGCTAGTGTACAGAAGTCAAGAACTGGGGCTTGGGAACCTCCGCCTAGATTTCAGAGGATGTATGGAAATGCCTAGATGTTCCAGGCAGTAGTTTTTTGCAGGGCAGGGCTCTCATGGAGAACTTCTGCTAGGGCAGTGCAGAAGGGAAATGTGGGGTTGGAGCCCCCACACAGAGTCCCTATTGGGGCACCGCCTAGTGGAGCTGTGCGAAGAGGGCCACTGCCCTCCAAACCTCAGAATGGTAGATCCACTGACAGCTTGCATGATATGCCTGGAAAAGCCACAGACACTCAATGCCAGCCCATGAAAGCAGCCAGGAGGGAGGCTGTATCCTGCAAAGCCACAGGGGTGGAGCTGCCCAAGACCATGGGAACCCAGCTCTTGCATCAGTGTGACCTGGATGTGAGACATGTAGTCAAAGGAGATCATTTTGGAGCTTTAAGATTTGACTGCCCTGCTGGATTTTGGACTTGCATGGGGTCTGTAGCCCCTTTGTTTTGACCGATTTCTCCCATTTGGAATAGCTATATTTACCCAATGCCTGTACCCCCATTGTATCTAGGAAGTAACTAACTTGCTTTTGATTTTACAGGCTCATAGGCAGAAGGGACTTGCCTTATCTTGGATGAGACTTTGGACTGTGGACTTTTGAATTAATGCTGAAAAGAGTTAAGACTGTTGGAAAGGCATGATTGGTTTTGAAATGTGAGGACATGAGATTTGGGAGGGACCAGGGGCAGAATGATATGGTCTAGCCATGTCCCCTCCTATCCAGACCTCATCTTGAATTCCCACGGGTTGTGGGAGGGACCCAGTGGTAGGTAATTGAATCTTGGGGGCAGGTCTTTCCCATGCTGTTCTCCTGACAGTGAATAAGACTCACAATATCTGACAGTTTTATAAGGGGAGGGGGGTTCCCTGCACAAGCTCTCTGCCTGACGCCATCCATGTAAGATGTGACTTGTTCCTCGTTGCCTTCTGCCAGGATTGTGAGGCTTCCCCAGCCATTGTGGAACTGTAAGTTCATTAAACCCTTTTTCCTGTATAAATTACCCAGTTTCAGGTATGTCTTTATCAGCAGCATGAAAATGGACTAATACAATTGGTTACATAGTTGAAGACACAAAACTGTGGCAGTGTACCTCAGTCTGCAATGGCTGATGTTTATGGGTGCTGAAAATTCATCTTTACCCCTGCCCTGCCCCGCTACCTTTTTTTTTTCTGTAGGAAAATGTCTCAAGTTTTAAATTATGTAAAGCTTTCAGCACTAGCATCTTTGGTATAAAAAAAGATGATGGGATTTAGATTATCTTCCCTCCCCACCACATCATTTAACATGCCGTCTGTGGTTTTTGGACTTAATAATATCCTTTTTTTTTTTTTTTTTTTGAGACGTAGTTTTGCTCTTTTTGCCCAGGCTGGAATGCAATGGCACGATCTCGGCTCATTGCAACCTCTGCCTCCCTGGTTCAAGTGATTCTCCTGCCTTAGCCTCCTGAGTAGCTGGGATTACAGGTGTCTACCACCACGCCCACCTAATTTTTAAAATATTTTTAGCAGAGACGGGGTTTCACCATGTTGGGCAGGCTGGTTTCGAACTCCTGACCTCAAGTGATCCGCCTGCCTTGGCCTCCCAAAGTGCTAGAATTACAGGTGTGAGCCACTACGCCTTGGCCAACAGCTAATGCCCTTTCTGATTGGTGTGAGATGGTATCTCATTGTGGTTTTGATTTGCATTTCTCTGATGATTAGTGATGTGGAGCATTTTTTTCATGTTTGTTGGCTGCTTGTATGGCTTTTTTTGAGAAGTGTCTGTTCATGTCCTTTGCCTATTTTTTTAATGAGGTTGTTTTTTGCTTATTGATTTAAGTTCCCTATAGATTCTGGATATTAGACCTTTGTTAGATGCATAGTTGGTGAATATTTTCTCCCACTCTGTAGGTTGTCTGTTTACTTTGTTGATAGTTTTTTTTGCTGTCTAGAAGCTCTTTGTTTAATTAGATCCCACTTACCAATTTTTGCTTTTGTTGCAATTGCTTTTGGAGACTTAGCCAAAAATCCTTTGCCAATCCAATGTCTAGAAGAGTATTTCCTTGATTGTCTTTTTTATAGTTTGAGGTCTTAAATTTAAATCTTTGATCCATTTTGGGTTAATTTTTGTGTATGGTGAAAGGTAGGGAGTCCAAGTTCAGACTTCTGCCTATGGCTAGCCAGGCATCCCAGCACCATTATTGAATACGGAGTCTCTTAAAAAGAGTAAGTGCTGTCCGGGCGCGTTGGCTCATGCCTGTAATCCTGGCACTTTGGGAGGCCAAGGCAGGCAGATCACTTGAGGTCAGGAGTTTGAGACTAGCCTGGCCAACATGGTGAAGCCCCATCTCTACTAAAAATACAAAAATTAGCCAGGTGTGGTGGCATACACCTGTAGTCCCAGCTACTTGGGAGGCTGAGGCACCAGAATCACTTGAATCTGGGAGGCGGAGGTTGCAGTGAGCTGAGATTGTGCCTCTGTACTCCACCCTGGGTGACTGAGCAAGACTGTCTCAAAAAAAAAAGAAAATATATGTGTGTGTGTGTGTGTGTATATATATATATACGTATATATATATATATATACACGTATATATATATATATACGTATATATATATATATACGTATATATATATATATATATACACGTATATATATATATATATATTTGCAGAACAACCTCTGAGCTGCCTCACTCTGGGCACACTGCCTATGGGATAGCTGTGCTCCACAAGGAGTCCTACTTCTGCTGCTGCTGTATGCTGCTGCTTCAATGAAAGTTGCTATTTAACACGACCGACCCGCCCTGAATCGTTTCCTGGGCAAAGCTAAGAACCTTCCTGGGCTAAGCCCCAATTTTGGGGCCTGTCTACCCTGCATCAATTCTATATGAATTTTAGAATAGTTTTTTTATAATTCTGTGAAAAATGATGTTGGTAGTTTGATAGGAATAGTGTTGAATCTGTAAATTGCTTTGGGCAGTATTATTTGCTTATTTTTCTGATGAGGTATTGTTTATTTTTATAGGTTAGCAAAAGCTCTTTAAATGTCCTATTTGATAAAAATTGTGAAGATGAAAATTTTAAACATTTATTTAAATGGCTTCCAACTGCTATTTTACATGAAGTTACATATTCTCAAAATAGTGTAAAATGCTTTTTGCATAAATAATTTGTGTGGATTGCTTTATATTAATTTCTTCTAAATTAAAACATAAGTATTATGATCTTAATACTTGAAAGTATTCTTTTAAGTTTTTAAAAGTATTTTTTTCTTCATCACTTGTGACTATATATTACAGTACAGTTTTTTTTAAACCGCAGGTGACAACTATTACAAGGTCATGAAATCAATTTAGTCACTCCCAACTAGCATTTTAAAGAAATCAAAAAGAACATATAAAAACATATCATCTTTTGCAAGGGTATTATCTTAGGAAATGTTTATTTAGCTATTTTACAAGTATATATGTACTGGGTCATGATGTAAAATGAAATTCGTACTGTGAGTCACAGTTAAATAAAGTTTTTTCTGAAAGTCATTGGTTGGAATGGAAGAATGTCCTGCCTGGGCTTCTTTCCCAGCTGTATCCCTTTTTCAGCTTTGTGACCTTGGGTTGGGTATCTAACCTACTCATAACTCATCTTTTCATCTGTAAAGCAGGGATAATATTAATATCTACCTCATAAAGTTGCTGTAAAGATCAAATGAGTAAATCCAAGCAAGTCCTAAATAAATATTAGCTAATATTGTTAACATAGGTATTAATACAGATTCATTGTTCATTATAGCAAATTTTAAAAATACATTTAAAAAGAATTTAACACTTCATATCATCACACAGAGATAAGCACTGAAATAATCTTTTTTCCGAATACCCAAGAAATATAGAAAATTTAATGTAAATTTAAAAATTCTGCTGGTATCATAGAAATTCGCGTATTCAGACTCAGAAGAAAAGCTTTAAAGATCAAGTATCCTGACATGTCCACAAATCTTTGTATTTAAAGATAAGCTTGAGATAAGTAAGCTAAACTAGATTCACCAAAGACAGAGTTAAGCCTAAGCTTCTTTCTAGAATAAAGATGAGAGAAATGAAATCAGGAAGGGTGCAATGTTATCATTATAAAGAAGAGCTTATTACCACAACATTATGGGGGCAGCTGTTTCATTAATTCCTAAGGCTGAATGCAGGAGCCCATCTAAACACTGCATTTGTCATAAGTCATACAGATGAACACCGTACTCCAAACATGGCTGACCGAAGTACTTAGTTTCTTTACAGTTTCTCCCTGGGTGATCTCATCCGTTCTGTGACCTTAAATCCTTTCTAGATATTGATAAACTCTTAAATTTACATCCTTAGCTCAGACCTCTCCTCTGAGCCCTGATTTACAGATCTAACTTCTTGCTTTACATCACTTCTTGGAAATCTAACATATTTAAAACAGCTTTTGCCTTTTTTCCTCCTGATGAAACCTGTCCTTCCTCGAGTCTTTCCTACCTCAGTAATGAGCACCACCCGGCTGCTCGAACCTGAAACCGTAGAGCACCATTCCTTCCTCTTTCTTCCCAACCTGACATCCAGTCCATCGGCACCTCCTGCCAGTTGTGCCCCCAAGATTCGCCTCCAGCATGTCCTGTTGGCTCCATCCCTACAGTCGGCACGAGGGGCTGGCCAGCCACTGGGCGCCTGGAGCTGTGCTAACCTGCTTCTGCTCTGGAGTTTAACAGCCAGGTAATTTGTCCTAACAGAAATCAGACATGTCAGTCCCCTGATTAAAAGCCATGAGTGGGCCAGGCACAGTGGCTGACGCCTGTAATCCCTGCACTTTGGGAGGCCTAGGTGGGCAGATCACAAGGTCACGAGTTTGAGACCAGCCTGGGCAACATGGTGAAAACCCGTCTCTACTAAAAATACAAAAATTAGCCAGGTGTGGTGGCGTGCACCTGTAATTTCAGCTACTTGGGGAGGCCAAGGCAGGAGAATTGCTTTAACCCAGGAGTCAGAGGTTGCAGTGAGCTGAGATTGCACCATTGCACTCCAGCCTGGGTTACAGACTAAGACTCCATCTTGGAAAAAAAAAAAAAAAACCGAGATGGGCGGATCACGAGGTCAAGAGATTGAGACCATCCTGGCCAACATAATGAAACCCCGTCTCTACTAAAAATACAAAAAAAAAAAAAAAAAAAAAAAAAAAAAACCCAGCTGGGCATGGTGGTGCATGCCTGTAATCCCAGCTACTTGGGAGGCTGAGGCAGGAGAATTCCTCGAACCAGGGAGTCGGAGGTTGCAGTGAGCCGAGATTGCACCACTGTACTCCAGTCTGGCAGCAAAGTGAGACTCCTTCAAACAAACAAACAAAAAACCATGAGTGTCTTCCTTTGCACATAGGATAAAATCTGTATTCCCAGCCGTAAAAGGCTCTGCATTATCTGGCCCCATCTGCCACTCTTCCTCTTTTTTGTTTTTTTCTCATTGTTCTTTGTCTCACTTTGGTGATACTGGCCTTTTCTCAAGAGCTTGAACTCACCCAAAATTCCTACCTTTGAGACTTTGTATATACTTTACCCTCTCCCTGAGACACATCCCTCTCTCTCCCATCCCCAAAATTTAGCTTTTCATCTATCAAATCTCAATTTATGTACTTCCTTAGCGAGGCTTTGCCCAGCCACCCAGTCCAAAGTAGTGGTTCTCTTGTTACCCTGAACCCATTATTCTCTTTCTCAGCATCTTGTTCACTTGTTTTATAGTATTTGTCACAGTTTAGTAATTATGTATTTCTTGTGTATCTTTCCCAATAGACTGCGATGAGGGATAAAGTCATTCCTGTTTAATTCCTCATTGTATACGAAATGAAGTAATAAGTGAACACATGAATAAAAAGGGACAGTCATAAATTTTGGAAACAGTTCAAACTTATAAACATTCTCATTGCCAACTTTTATATTAATATAGATCTTTTGGATGATGCAGGTACCTGTTTTCAGAGTGTATCATAATATTCTGTCACTAGGGGGCAGTTACACACCTGAGATTCAACTTACCTAGTTTACTCTCAAGACATTTTTTTCTTCAATATTACCTGTTTTCTTCATGTGTCTGTTTTGAGGGAAATTATACAAATTGGAAGATCCTGATTGTGTTTGTATAAGTTTATTTGTATTCCCCTCATGCTTGAGTCCCTATTGATATAATGTATTTCTGACTATGCTAGATCAATCTTTAATCTAGAAAATTAGATTTTATATTTACACATAATTTCCATTTCTAATATATAATATTCCCACACAGCCATCCTCTAGATTTTTGTTTGGGAAAGGGGTTAGGTGTCGGGGCAGGCAATTGTATTGTCAGCATCGTAGTAGATAATACAAAATGATCTTAATATGAGATGCACACACACAAAATGTCTTTTCCCGTTGGCAAACACTCAAGTTACATGAAAGGAAAGGAGCAGAGCAGTCTGCAGAGATCTGACTTTCTCTAGGAATTAATTTCACAGCTACAACTTCTGAGGATTTGCCCAAGTACTTACTATCATTATTCCTGTTTTAAAAAAACAAAACTTGGTTCATGAGTTCACCAACCTTGAAATTAGTAAGCATGCTTTACTATTCTTCATGTCATTTTATATGCATATATTTGAAATTGTGCAGATTAACAGTATTGAGATTCTTACTCTAGCAAAATCAGAAGCATTGCAGAAACCAAAACTGTTGTCAGGAATCCTGTAATTTTAAGCTGGCAGGCTGTGTGAGTTGTAAATTTTACATTTGTTACTGCAGCTAAAGATGGACCATTTTAGCTAATAAACAAATCCCTGCCATCCTTTGTCAGCACCATGTGAACCATGCTGTTTATAGACATCTGAATATCTGTATGATTTTCTTGACTATGGTGATGATATTTTAAACTGTGGTTATAATTTAAAATCATTTTTAAAGCCTGTATCAGTTTCAGCCAAGCATTAAGTGCTAATACTGAAAAATGTATCTGAAAATGAGTTATTTTGGAATAGAGGTTAGATATAACAAAATGTTAGGAAGAAAGCCAAAAACCTGTCATGATACATACTACTGTTAATTTAGGAGAAAGCACTCTGAATTGTTAGCCAGTATGTAAACAAAATCAAAGCAGTACTAAAATGTATATACTTTTAAGTTCATGAAAATTGTTGTATAACCAAGCCAGGATGGTGGCTAAAATGCTAGCACCAGGGGCTAATATCAGTGTTGCTGTAAGGTGTTCCTAAATCAGGTTATTATCTGTGCTAAGGCATGAAGTATGTTATTATTATTAATTTTAATTGACAGATCATAATTGTATTTATGGGGTAGGTACAGTGTGATGTTTTGATACATGTATACAATGTGGAATGATTAACTTAAGCTAATAAACATATCCTTCACCTCACTTATTTTTTGTGATGAGACATCTGAAATTTACTGTTAGTAACTTTTGAAATACACAATACATTATTATTAACTGCAGTCACCATGCTGTTGCTATAGATTTTTTAAAATTAATTTTTTATAATATTTTGAGACAGAGTCTTACTCTGTCACTCAGGCTGGAGTGCAGTGGCATGATGTTGGCTCACTGCAGCCTCCACCTCCTGGGTTGAAGTGATTCTTGTGTCTCAGCCTTCCTAATAGCTGGGATTATAGGTGAGCACCACCACACCCAGCTAATTTTTGTATTTTTAGTAAAGATGGGGTTTCACCATGTTGGCCAGGCTGGTCTCGAATACCTGACCTCAAACAGTTTGCCTGCCTCGGCCTCCCAAAGTACTGGGATTACAGGCATGAGCCACTGTGCTCGGCCTGTGCTAGAGATCTTAAACACAAATTCCTCCTAACTGAAACTTTGTAGCCTTTGAACAGCACATGCTCATTTCATTTCCTTACCCCCACTCCCATCTGCTGGTAACTACCGTTGTATTTTCTAAGGCAGTGGCCCCCAACCTTTTTGGCACTAGGGACTGGTTTTGTGGAAGACAAATTTTCCATGGGCAAGGTTGGGGTGGGGATGGATTTGGGATGATTCAAGTGCATTACATTTATTGTGCACTTTATTTCTATTATTATTACACTGTATCATATAATGAAATAATTATACAACTCATCATAAGGTAGAATCAGTGGGAAGCCCTGAGTTTGTTTTCCTGCAACTAGATCTAGGTCCCATCTGGAGGTGATGGGAGACAGTAACAGATCATCAGGCATTAGATTCTCATAAGGAGGGTGCACCCTAGATCCCCCACATGCACAGTTCACAGTAGGGTTCTCATCCTATGAGAATCTAATGCAGCTGCTGATCTGACAGAGGTGGAGCTCAGACGGTAATGTGAGCAATGGGGAGCAGTTGTAAATACAGATGAAGCTTCCCTCACTTGCCCTCTGCTCACCTGCTGTGTGGCCTGTGGCTCGGGACTGCTGTAAGACATGATGTATTTTTGGTTATTTGAAAGGTGGACATAGTAATGAAAAGAATTTTACATCAAACATTTGTTCTACTTAAGTATATTTTAAAACAAAAATGTTTGAGGATTTTAGATTTTTAAACTTTAGGAATCCACTTTTCTATTTTGTTTCTTTGAGAAAATAATTCTTGAAATATGAGACTTGTACAATTTCCAAAATCTTTGAGAATGCATTTCTCATAAAACATCACTTTGTGTTTACATATATGTGTATATCCATGTATATATATACATGTACATACATGTATACACATAGACATACACATTTTCCCTGTTCATTTACTTTTATATAGCCAACCACTTATAAAGACACTAAAAGCTGACAGCCACCAATATTACTCTGGGGCTGTGTATATAATAAGTTATATAACTTTTGCACCTCATTCCTTCATATACATCATATATTAGTATACCCATATTGTGATCAGCTGCAAGTTTTAGCCTTGTAGTTGTTGTTTGTTACTTTTATATCCTTTATTCTTTTATAGTTTTATAGGTTATCTTCCACTGTTTATTTTGTAGGGTTCTCTGTGTATATGAAAAGCCAAAAAAAAAAAAGCTCCCCATTTTGTGAATAGCTTTTGTTTCCATAATCTATTTTCAGGTCAGCTGCTTGTTATTTGGAATTTGTTTTCCCATAAAAAATAATGTTGGCTAAATTTTTGAGCCAACACACAGAACCTATTTCTTCACAACTGACTTAATCACCATTTATAGCTTGTTTTTTGGGATAAAATGCATTGCACCTTCTAACTCTTGTAATTGTAGCTGCTGCTGCTTTTCTTCTACTTTTTTAAAGAGACAGGGTCTCATGCCAGTCAGAATGGTGATTATTAAAAAGTCAAGAAACAACAGATGTGGTGAGGTTACAGAGAAATATGAACACTTTTACACTGTTGGTGGGAATGAAAATTAGTTCAACCATTGTGGAAGACAGTGTGGTGATTCCTCCAAGATTTAGAACTGGAAATACAATTTGACCCAGCAATCTCATTACTGGGTATATACCCAAAGGAATATAAATCATTCTGTTATAAAAATACGTGCATGTATATGTTCATTGTAGCACTATTCACAATAGCAAAGACATAGAATCAACCCAAATGCCAATCAATGATAGGCTGGATAAAGAAAATGTACATATACACCATGGAATACTGTGCAGCCGTAGAAGGAACAAGATCATGTCCTTTGCAGGGACATGGATGGAGCTGGAAGCCATTATCCTCAGCAAACTAATGCAGGAACAGAAAACCAAATACCACATGTTCTCACTTACGTATACCACATTTTCTTTATCTCTTTATCACTTGAGAGATATTTGGGTTGTTTCCACCTCTTGGCAATGGCCAATTGGTTTTTGACAAAGGTGCAAAGCAATTAGTGAAGAAAGGGTATTCTTTTCAACAAATGATGTTGAATCAATTGGATATTCATGTGGGAAAAAAAAGGTGCATCAACCTAAACCTCACATCTTATAAAAACATGAATGCAAAATTGACTTAGATCTAAATGTAGAACTTAGAACTGTAAACTCCTAAAAGAAAGAACAAGAAAAAATCTTTAGGACCTGTGGGTAGGTAGGCAGAGAATTCTTAGACATGACTGGAAAAGAATTTATATATAAATTCTTATATATAAGAAAAATAAATTAGAGTTCATCAAAATTAAAAACTTTTGTTCTTCCAAAGACACTGTTAAGGGACTGAAAAGCCAAACTACAGACTGGGAGAAAATACTTGTAAATCACATATCCAGTGAAAGGACTTGTATCCCGGCTATGTAAAAAGCTCTCCAAACTTAACAGTAAGAAAACAACACAATTAAAAAAATGGGCAAAAGATATGAACAGACACTTCACCAAGGAGAATTTAGAGATGGCAAATAAGCTCATAAAAAGATTGAGGGGCATCTGGACCTGAACTTGTATGTGTGAATGAGTTTGTGTTGTTTAGAGTTTCTCCTAGAGGCACAAGAGACTAATGGTGATGTCATACTCCCAAGTGGCTTTGGGAAAAAAATGAGGCAAAGTTAAAAAAAAAAAAAGATATTTTACACCTTTAATTTCTTGGAGAAAATGTGAATGAAAGTCACAATGTGACACCACCAGATACCTACTAGAAACAAACCATGGGACATTCAAACAGTGGAATGCTTCTTAGCAATGAAAGGGAGCAAACTATAGATACATGCAACACATTGGATGAATCTCAAAGGCATTGTGTTGAGTGAAAGAAGCCAGTTTCAGTCAAACACTGTATGATTCTATTTATATGAACATTCTGGAAAAGACTAAACCACAGTGATAGAGAACAGATCAGTGGTTACCAGGGGTTAGGGATGAGGTAGACTGTGACAACAAAGCAACAGCAAAAGGGAATTAAAAGTTTTAGGCTGAGGAAGCTGCTCTGTACCCTCAGTGTGGTGGTGGTTACACAAGTCTATACATACATTAAAACTCATAGAACTGGCCAGGTGCGGTGGCTCACGCCTGTAACCTCAGCACTTTGGGAGGCTGAGGCAGGCAGATCACCTGAGGTCAGGAGTTTGAGACCAGCCTGGACAACATGGTGAAACCCCGTCTCTGCTAAAAATACAAAAATTAGCCAGGCATGGTGGCTCATGCCTGTAATCTCAGCTACTCCAGGAGGCTGAGGCAGGAGAATCACTTGAACCCGGGAGGCGGAGGTTGCCGTGAGCCGAGATCGCACCATTACACTCCAGTCCAGGCAACAAGAGTAAGACTGTCTGAAAAAACAAACAAACACAACAAAACAAAAAGCCTCATAGAACTGAACACTGAAAGAGACAACTAGTAATTGGAGGACATAGCTCTCATGAAATTGGCAATATTTTATGAGATAAAGAAAACAGAAAAGGAGTAACTTTTTTTTTTTTTCTTAAATAGCCTCTTGTTCTTCTTACAGTTTTAGGCTCTTTTTTATACCCAAATATTTACCTTATTTTTGCAGGTTTTTTTTTTTCCTCCTAAATACCCTTTTTGGTTAGGTGTCTCCAATATTCTCTAAAATTCTTTAATTTTTAATAAACCGTATAGGTTAAATCTCAAAACAAACTCTAGAAAACTACTCATCTGTCTTCTTATGGATTTTTGAAAGATTGAAAGTTTCTTTTTACTTTTCTATTTTTTAAATTTTTCTTTGAGCCCTGACCATGGCAAGGACAGAATAGTTCATAAGTGCTATCCATAGGGTCTTGGAAACCCTTGGTACAGATCGTTTCTGTAGTGATAGTTGTTCTAACACAGTCTGACCGTTAGCTTTCTCTGGTTTAGTGTTAGCTCTCTCACATAGGCTGGTTTCATTCTGAGTCTTATAGTTTCTATTATATTTGAACTTCTTCCTAGTACAAAGAATAACAAAGGATAAATTGTTGGCAAGTTTTTTTGGCAGAAAAGGTTCGAAAAGGACCATAAAATAGTGAGGGATCATGAATGTGATGTGTTCATTTAAAGAATAAATACGGGACTAGAATGTATAATGGGAACTTAGTGTGTAGGCACCAAAAGTTAATCTGAAAATATTCAGCATTTTTCAAATTCTTATTAGAATAGTCTCTTCAGCGCTGAGCTTAGCAACTTAAGCAAGATGTGGAAATAATTGCCAAGGTTCCTGAGAAGAGCCATGAAAATTTAAATAAGAGAATAGAATAATACCTTTAAGAGAAGGTTAAAAGAACTGAAGCTTCCTAGGGAAGAGGGGGAGAATTTGAAGCCTATGAACAGCTAGAACAGGTTGGTAACTCTTCCTTTCGACTGGCTACTGGTACAAAAAGCAATGTCCTTTGTTTTTCAGGAGGGATTTGTTGGCATATGAGCCTTTTATCTCCATTTAATGTATAAGTAAGGCAACTTACATTATTGTATGGCGGTACAATAATTATTAGTTGCCTACAGCATTGGGAAACTTAAGTCAAAGTCATAACTCATCTCTAACTAGTGGTATGACCTTAGTCCATTTCTTTAACTTCTGGGGCTTAATTCTTAATTCCTCTTATGTTTACAAATAAAGTTGAATTACTCTAAGAGTTTCTGTAACTTTGGATAATAATAATAATGTTTACCAACACTTACATAGTACATACTATCTGCCAGTCATGGTTGCCAGTATATATATTCATATATATTAAGTATACAGTCATGTGTAATTCTTGGAACTACTATGTGAGGTTAGTATAGTTACTCTTGAGGAAACTGAGACATGGAAGGTAAAGTAGCCCAAGGTGACAGGGTTAGTAAAAAGGAAAGCTGTGGTTGAAGGGAGGAAGTCTGGCTAACAGCCCATGCCCCTAACTCTGAACTTCACTATATGGTCTCCCTCTCCCATAATTCTACTGTTGCTTTGAATTGGATTTAATAAAAATGAAGATTTAGAGAAACTTCACGATGGTGTTTTTTTGTTTTTGTTTTGTTTTGTTTTGAGATGGAGTCTCACTCTGTCGCCCAGGCTGGAGTGCAGTGGGGCAATCTCGGCTCACTGCATCCTCTGCTTCCCAGGTTCAAGTGATTCTTCTGCCTCAGCCTCCCGAGTAGCTGGGATTACAGGTGTGCACCACTACACCCAGCTAGTTTTTGTATTTTTAGTAGAGACAGGGTTTCACTACGTTAGCCAGGCTGGTCTCGAACCTCACGTGATCCATCTGCCTCGGCCTCCCGAAGTGCTGGGATTACAGGTGTGAGCCACCGTGCCCGGCCTGTTTTTTTTTTCCTTACGGTAAAATATAAATAATAAATGCTTAAATTATAAGGAAGGAACAACTCTAGTTAAAATGATCCATTCAGAGGAAAATTAAGAAGGTTACTAGTTGTTAACAGTGGTTGTGTATATTTCATATAATATTTAGTGACCAAAAGAGAATATAAATCAAACTGAAGTTACTCTGAGGACTCTATATTCTTTGAAATTGTACAGTGGCTTTAAAAAAACTGTAAAAACAAACCCGAATCACTGTTTTTAAAGTCAGATTTAAGCAGACTGTGATTCTGCACGCCTCTGTTGTCAGGTCCTCCCCTGGGATACTAATGTGTTCTGGATGCCATATTTTAAGAAAAGCCCAACTGGCCTGAGGGATGGGATTTAGAACTGTGTTATGTAAGAAACAGTGGAAGGACCTAGTGGAAGGACCTGGGGATGCTCAGCTGGGAGAAGGAAGAATGATCTCAAATAAATGAAAAGCTATCCTTTAGAAGGATTAAACTCCATGGGATAGCGTTGGACCAGTAGGTGCTAGTTACAGAGTGGCAGACTTTAGCTTGGTAGAAGCCAGCCGAATGCAAAATTGGCTGACTTATGTGGTGTCGGTTTCTTTGTCAGGAGATTTTCAAGTGAAGGCTGAGTAATACCAGGAAAGGGATGTTACAGAGCAGATTCGTCCTGGTTTAGTTGGACAAGGTGGTGTTTTAGTTCTCTCATCACAGTGTCTGGCGTACGATATGTATTCAGTAAACCACTGTTAAATTAATGACTTAAAAAATGGAACAGGATAAATATTCTGATTATTTAAGACCATAGTGACTTATTTTAAAATGACTTGATTCTGTCCAAATTACAAGGAGAGATTGAGAGGGAAGAACATTTAACTTAATTTAGCTATAGGTTTGATTGCTTTCTAGTTCCTCTTATATACCATAACTTTCATCGCTATTATGTCAGTAATTACTATGTAAGTTTAAAATTGCACAAATTTTTATATGTATGCATGTCTCAGCTTATTAACTTGTAAGCTCTCTATTAGGACTATATTTTCATAGGTATTCCTTCACAGCACCAAGCCAGAACCTTTGTGAAATAATATAACGTGAGGGATTTCAAACTCATGCGTGTGTGTGCATGCGTGTGCATGTGGCAGGAGATGGAGGCTTGTTGCCCCTGTTCTGTTCATTTTCACCTTTCATTTATGTATTCTTTTTTTTTTTTTTTTTTTTTTTGAGACAGAGTCTTACTCTGTCACCCCGGCTAGAGTGTAACCTCAGCTCACTGTAACCTCCGCCTCCCGGGTTCAAGTATTTCTTCTGCCTCAGCTTCCCTAGTAGCTGGGACTACAAGTGTGTGCCACCATGCCTGGCTAATTTTTGTCTTAATTTTAGTAAAGACGGGATTTCACTATATTGGCCATGCTGGTCACGAACTCTGACCTCAAGTGATCTGCCTGCTTTGGCCTCCTAAAGTGCTGGGATTACAGGTGTGAGCCACTGTGCCCGGCCTCACTTATGTATTCTAATGCTGATTCTAACATTTAGAAGCCTTTACTGAACCAGGTATGAATCGTCTGATGTAGAAGGGACTATGTTCAGTGTTTGTTGCTTTTGTCAGGTGCATGTGAGGGAACCCTGGCTTGTTCAACCTGTCACCTCATCTTTGAAGATCACATATATGAGAAGTTAGATGCAATCACTGATGAGGAGAATGACATGCTCGATCTGGCATATGGACTAACAGACAGGTAAGATTTTTGGACTGCTTCAATTGTAATAATAATCTGGGAACATAGATGTTGTATTATGTTGTCTATGTAAGACCAGACCCATAAATGTAATAGTGTTCTACCAGGTTAAATAACAGTCACAGATTTTGAGTATCAGATATGTGGCATTTCTCTTTGTTTTCACTGTTCTACAGTTTAGACCTTATGAAATTTTACAAAAGTAAAAAAAATTAATTGGAAGTATAAGTTCTAGATCCTAACACCTCTTCTTTAGTCTCTTTTTACTCCAGGAACTAATATGTATCACAACTGAATGGAGGGGTTAAATCTAATGCTTTTATATTTGATAATTGAACACAATTATAATGGAAAGTTTCACCTATTAGAACAGAATTTTTAAAGAAACTTAATATATAATAGTAATTATGTTAAAATGAATAGCTCTTTTTCTAAGTGTACCTTAAAGTAATCAGAGCTTATTCTTGTTATTAATTAATAGTTACTCTTAAAAGTGGTGAGATTTACAGTAGCAAGTGACATCAAGTGATATCTTATTTTTTAAAAAAATTATCTAGTCTTTTGATTGGAGTCAATGAAGGTAGCTAGCTGATATACTATTTCAAGGGGTAAGATAATGAGGGCATATTACTTAATTAAGGTTGGCTTTGTTTAACTCTAGTTTGGTGACCTTAATGACAAATAATTTTTTAAAAATTAAAGATAGTAATAATAGTTTTATTTCATGTGTATTATATAGCTACAATTTTGTTATACACTTTTAATATAAACTACCTCATTTAATCCTCACAAACATTTTCAGGTCATTTGTATTTATTTAGAGAAGAAGAATCATTTTGTTCCTTTTATAGTTCATTTCCCTCTTGGTGGATGTGAGACTGATAACCCTGGGAAGAGAAACTGGTGAAATAGTATCTCTTTGGACACCAAAGCAGAGTGGATTGTGGCTACTGTCTGCCTGTCCTCTCACATCTTCAGTGCCGTGTTCTCTATGAGCACCTCCTTTCTTCCCCTTAACACAGAAACTAAATCCAATGACTGTATTAGTTTGGTTCTGAGAATTGTGTCTCTTAATAAGAGAGTTAAATCATAGCTAACTGCTTGCTCTTTTATACAGTTACAATTTGTAGATGCCTGTAATAGATAATATTCTAATTGAAAAGAAAGGGAAAAGGGAGAGCTACAGTTAGATACAAAAGGTCTATAATAAATGTAAGCTAGCAAGAGTATTGATGATAAAATTTCCAAGTTTTACAGCTACACAATAGAGAGCAAGGAATAGCTTTTATGGTGTTTTATAGCTGGTATTCTTAAGTACACAGCATTTTAGTAGAAATACTTTGTGGGAAAGAGTATAATGGGTTTCACAGGTAGCATTTACAAAACACATTGACATATTTGGAATGGAAAGAATTTTGCTCAAAGCTAGTAACCACATGTAAACTTATTTTTAGGGTATCAGAAAGTTTCAGAAAAAGAAATAAGGAAATTCAGCCTTTTAGTTCATATACTTACTTTAAATACTATGTAAATGTTTTTAATTTTTAAGCAAAAACACCATCGTTTCTTTTTTTTTTTGAGGCAGAGTCTTGCTTTGTCACCCTTGCTGGAGTGCAGTGACATGATCTTGGCTCACTGCAACCTCTGCCTCCCGGGTTCAAGCAATTATCCTGCCTCAGCCTCCCGAGTAGCTGGGATTACAGGTGCCTGCCACCATGCCCCGCTAATTTTTGTATTTTGAGTAGAGACGGGGTTTCACCATGTTGGCCAGGCTGTCTCGAACTCCTGACCTCATGATCTGCCCACCTTGGCCTCCCAAAGTGCTGGGATTACAGGCGTGAGCCACCGTGCCTGGCTTCAATGTTTTATTGGTTGTCCTTAACCTTGATTGTTGATGGATGGATGGATGATACATGGACAGCCTCATTGTTTTTTTCATACTGGTTACCTATCTCCCTTTTCCCATTAAAGGAGCAGCCATGTCTTATTTTACCATTGTATCTCTAATGCCAGATTCACAGTAGAGGTCACCAACTGCTTGCGGAATTAATAGTTGATGGAAAGGGAGATTCAGGAATTACCTGTGAGTTTACATTGGATGATTGTAATTGCTCCCTGCCACCAGTTTGCATGGGTAATCTACACAGAGGCCTCAGATTCCTTATATGTAAGGTGAGGATAATAATAGTACCTACCTCACAGTATTGCTGTGTGGAGTTAATGAGGAAATATATGTGAAGCTCTCAGAACAGTGCTTGGTGGAGAAAGCATTCATTAAATGGTAGTTGTTAGCATTGTAACTACCATCATATCGACTTATCTATTGGGAACTTACTGTAATGCCTAGGCACTTAAGTATTATTTCTAACCTTCAGGGTTAGGCAGTACTATCACCATGTTGTAGGTGGGGAAACAAGGTTTAGTTATCACGGATTTGCTTAAGGCTGCACAGCTAGTGGGTAACACCCCTGATTTAAATCCAGCTGTGTTGGGCCCCAAAGCCTTTAGTCTTTTACTATTTCAAGCTGCTTCTCTGAGTTGAAAACCAAACCCTAGAACTAAAGTAAACCTAATACCCAGTATATTTTCACCATCAGGGATATGTGGCAAGAGTAACTGGAGAAAATACCTTCCAGGTTTGCAGAAGTGTCAAAATGTTGTGGGACTCAAAGTGTGAAATCAGGGGAGCCTTGTTGTTTGTCTCCTTCTCTAGAAGTATGAGACACCATCTATACTGGTGGATCTTGGAGCCAGAGATCTTTAAGGAGGTAGAAGAAGTAGGAGAGTGAGAAACTAGCCACAGAGCGCCACTGCCTTATTCTCTAGACTGAGCAGGAGCTTTTTGTTCCGTCTCTTTCTGTGTTCCCATAACAGATTTATTGTTCTTCTATCACCACACTTGTGGTACCCTGCCATGTTTCACTGATAACTGTTTCCATCTCTGTTTCCCTTACTAAAGTAACCGTTCCTTGAAGACCAGCATCATCTTGCTATCTGTGTATGAATACCAAGAGTAACCAACAGACTCTCTAGAGCTCACTGCTGTCTTAACGAATTTGTCCAAATTGGCTTGCCACTTTTTCTCTCTTGCAGACAGAGCTTAATGCATAATTGAGTATTGTGAAGGCTGTTTCCAATTCTACAAATAAAGAACTCTTGATAGAGGGGATTTTTTTTCTATTAGTAATCAGTATTTCTCATGGTTAAGCACACTCCTTTACTCCAAAACTTCCTGGTGGTTCCTCCTTGCTCACCAGTGAAACACAGGCCCCTTAACTGATATTCACAGCTGCCTGTGGCTCTGGCCGCTTTTCTGGCCCATCATTCCCCTTGTCCTTGTTTACGCTGTGCAGCAACCAAGCTAAAACACCCATCTTGCTTTAAATGTGACTTGAGCTTCTTTGCATTGTGTTGCCTTTGCCTCACATACTTTTCTCCTTTATCTTGTACTAAATAGTAAATCCTACCTATCCTCCAAAGCCCATTGTGGACAACACCTTCTGTGGCCAGAAGTAAGGGCTTTCTTCTTAGACCTCTCAGAGCCATTTGGCTTTCTCCCTCGGTGGCATTTGCCACAGTCTCACATGTTAACTATCTGAATGTGTCTCATCTCATCCCTTTGATTGAAAGTTTACTCATTAATGCTGGCATTAGCAACCAATCCTCACAGCAGTCCTGTGAGGAATTCTCCTGCTCATCTTGAAGATTAGGTTAGGAAACTACCATTTGGTGAGGTTAAGCAAGTTGCCTGTGAACATGGTATATTAAGTGCTGGATTCTGCACTGCTGGTCTCTTTGGCTGTAACTCTGATGCTGTCTCTTTAGTGCATCCCAATGCCCAGAAAATAAGAAGTGTTCAGTAAGAAAGTGTGGAGTTGATTTGCTCTTCCTCATTGACATTTAGTGTTGTGCCTTTAGGTGCTCAATAAATGCTTCATGAGTACATTAATAAAACCAAGACCTGAATATCAGATTTCATCAAATTGAAGACATGTCAATTGTAAGATTAACATTTCTTTTTATATGCCACTAAGGAAGATAAAAGCACTGCTAATTCAAATATGGCACAGTCTTATCACTTAACATATTTTCTGAATATTGAAAGAGTTATTTAGACTTATCTAGACATAGATTTGAATTATATATCACTGCTAAGAAAAGAAAATGGCTGAGTGCGGTGGCTCATACCTGTTATCCCAACACTTTGGGAGGCTGAGGCGGATAGATCACTTGAGCCCAGGAGGTTGAGACCAGCCTAAGCAACATGGTGAAACCTTGTCTCTACAAAAAATACAAAAATTATTCAAGCATGGTGGTGCATGCCTGTAGTCCCCGCTACTTAGGAGGCTGAGGTGGGAGGATCACCAGGGCCTGGGAGGTGGAGGTTAACAGTGAGCTGAAATCATGCCAGTGCACTCCAGCCTGGGTGACAGAGCCAGACCCTGTCTTAAAAAAAAAAAAAAAAAAAAGAAGGAAAATAAACACAAAATAAAATTAGTAGTAATTCTGCAAAAAAAAAAGGAAATTAGTCATTCTTAAAATGACAAATATTTATTAATTCCAAATTTACACCCTGCTTTCTTTCTGTATTCTTCTTCATTTTCATTTTGTAATCTTTTTAGACTATTTTGAAAAGTAGGTAAATTCGACATGTGTACTTACATACTTTGCATAACTAAGTTGAAGAGACCCCTGTATGAATATTGTCACCAAATCTGTAGCTGTGACATGACCATTACCTGACAGTGTAGCAGTGATTGTAAGATTCCATTGATTTTAAGATGCTTCTTGATTTCCAGAGATGGTAAAAATTTGAGAAAAAATATGCTCTTATAATTGATGACTTAAGTCTATGTATTTATTCCAGATTTCTTCTTTTAAAGGCTTTAAAAAGTGTAGCTTTCTTTTATAGTCTGTGTGGTTTTAATTATCTAGGAATTGATTAATCATTTTCTTGGCCTTGCTAATAACCTCAGTTCTCCACCATTGTGCCTTCTGATTGTTTCCTTGCTTGTCAGCTCTTTGACCAAAAAGTAGTGGTCTGGTGAAACAGTTAATAGATAATAGGAACCAAAGGCTAAAATGAAGCTTTGGTACACCAAGTTTATTGTATTCATATTTACCTTTTGTTATTCTCTAGTTGATAGGGTTGGTTATATCTGTTTTGACATAAAGGAAATTTAAAAGGTTAATAAGTTCCCTGACTGCTTTGGGTAAGAAAATATAAAGACTATCTTAAACAACTGCATTGCCTTGTGAATATATATACGTAATACTAAACCATACCTTCCCCCTTTTCCATACAGATCACGGTTGGGCTGCCAAATCTGTTTGACAAAATCTATGGACAATATGACTGTTCGAGTGCCTGAAACAGTGGCTGATGCCAGACAATCCATTGATGTGGGCAAGACCTCCTGAACTAGAACAAATAGGAATATTTTCATGGAATTTTACCTATTTTTATAATTATTATTTCTTAAAGTGATTAAATGAGAACATGGATGAGTGGACTTCATATTATGACTAGCTTTACTATTTTAATTCACCTTGCATAACTACTGAATTTTGTCATTCTTGAAAGTATGCAATTTTTATTTTGGTTATATTACAAAAATGTCAATCAAATATTAAAAAATAGTTAATGTGATAGAAAAACCTTACATATTTTTTTCTTATGTTTGTTTAGCGACTTTAGCAAAATGTTTTCATATAATCTCATCTGTTTACCTAGAAGATAGGTTAAGGAAATATATTATTATTCCTGTTTGATGTGGGTGAAGGCAGAGATCTAACCTGGCTTGTTTAGGGCCATACCACTAATTAGAAAATCTGTGCTAGAACCTGTGTCTTATTCCTATAAGCTATGTGTTCAGACTGAAACTGGAGAAATTATGACTATTTTATTTATAGTAGTAGTTAAATCTGAATGTGTATGGACAAAAATATTTAATTGCTCAGTAAACTGCTTAACTTCAAAGATAGTTATTGACCTTATAAATAAATATTTCAAAATTTTGATTCGGAAGACTAAGTCTGGACGTAGACATTATAATGCTATCAAAGAAGTTTGATCTCTGTTTTGACTAAACTAGAGGAAAAATGATTGGATGTGTTTATTCTTTTCTAAGCAGAATGGTTTAACTTTGTACTCTTTGAAAAATAATGCTGATTTATAAATCTCTGCCTATAACAGAATGGAAACCTTATGAATGAATTGTGTTTCTCTGTCCTGAGCTGGAGAAGGGAATGAGCAGGCTGACACGTTGCACAGCCCCAGGTGGCGCCATTCTCTCACGCAAGGATGGGGCTGCAGGGTGAGCAGCGTGGGCTGCAGTGTGTCAGTCCCAGGAGTGAGGGAGTGGCAAGCACCACAGATTACCACGTATGTGTGGAAGACATTCGTACTCTTATCTTTACTATAAATAAATTCATAAAAGTTAACAAAGGGGTACACAGTATGGTCTTTGGAAATATAATAAAACATCAACTAACTTGGACTAATTGTGAGGAAGAGCAGAACAAATTAGTAGAAAGAGGTTATAAGACAATTGAGTTAGCTTCATGTGTATTATTGCAGCTTGATCATTTATATAAATATTTGTCTAGTACAATGCTTGACATACAGCATTGTGTTATGCCCATTGGGGACACAGAGGTGAACAAGACAAGGAATGCCATCAGGGAATTCACCTTTTATTAGGAAAATATAAAATATGTATGTATGTGCAGATAATTTGCTTGAACTAAACTGACTAGTTCTGCTAAATAAGATTTTAAACTAATTCATATGTAAAAAGTGATTAGGAAGAACTTGAAGTATCATTTGATGCTTAATAACTATTGAGTAGTTTTTTTTTTTTTTTTTTGGTGGGGGGAGCGGGGGACAGGGTCTTACTCTGTCACTCAGGCCAGAGTACAATAGTATGATCTCGGCTCACTGCAACTTCTGCCTCCCAGTTTCAAGGGATTCTCGTGCCTCAGCCTCCCAGGTAGCTGGTACTACAGGCACGGACCACCACGCCTGGCTAATTTTTGTATTTTTTCTAGGGACAGGGTTTTACCACGTTGCCCAGGCTGGTCTTGAACTTTTGAGCTCGAGTGATCCACCCACCTCAGCCTCCCAAAATGCTGGGATTACAGATGTGAGCCACCGTGCTTGGCCATAACTATTGAATGCTTTCTATGTGGAGAGTGCTTGTCTTAATTTTCTGTTGCTATAATAGAATAACACAGACTGGGTAATTTATAAAGAAAAGAGATTTATTTGGATCATGGTTCTGGAGGCTGGGAGGTCCAAGAGCATGGTACCAGCATCTGCTTGGCATCTGGTGACAGCTTTCTTGCTGCATCATTACATGGTGGAAGGGCAAGAGAATGCGAGTGAGAGCAAGAGGGCAAAATGATTATCCTTTTATCAGGAGCCCACTTCTGACATAACTAACCCACACCTGAGATAACGGCATTAATCCATTCATGAGGTCTCTGCTCTTAAAGGAGATCACCTCTTAAAGGACCCACCTTTCAATGCCATTACACTGGCAATTTAATTTCAAGATGAGTTTTGGAGGGGACATTCAAACCATAGCAGTGCTATAATTTTAAAGTACTTCAAAGCCAATTTATTCTCTTAATTAGCTTCATTATTCTTGTCTTTGTGTGTGGATTACCTAAACTCTCCTTCCAGAGCTACTTTAATGATTATATTCAACCAAAGCACTCTAAAATTTAGAGTATAAATTGTCTTATATTTCAAATTAGAAAAGTTCAAATGAAGTTTAATTGTGTTATTTTATAAAACCTTCTAAAATTATTAAATGGAGGATATAATCTATAATTGGTTTGTATAAAGGTGATTTTTCAGTTTGAAAAAATCCTTCTGTATTTGATATATGTGTGTTGTAGGTAAATGTGTTGGTTTATCTATTGCTGCAAAACAAATTACCCCAAAACTTAGTAGCTTAAAACAAGAATCTTGTATTATTTCAGACAGTTCCTGTGAGTCAAGAATTTAGAGTACGGAGCAGGGATAGCTTGTCTCTGCTCCACAATGTATTAGGTCTTAAGCTAGATGACTCAAAGGCCAGGTTCTGGAATCATCTTCAGGCATATTCTTCATATGACTGGTGTCTGCTGTTGGCATCAGCTGGGGGGTCTAGGAGAAGATACTGGCTGGAACACCCACACGTGGCTTCTCTGTGTGGCCTGGACTTCCTCACAACCTGGCGCCTGGGTTCCAAGGGCAGGCATCCTCAGAAGAGCATGCATGCCAGGCAGAACTGGATCCTCTTTATGAGCTAGTTGTGGAAGTGACACAGTATCACTCCCAACTATTCTTTTCATTAGAAGTGAAGCACTAAGTCTGGCCCATCATCAGAAGGGAGGGGTTTCCAAGTATTTGGAGATATCAGAGTAACTGTTAACTTATTGGCCCCTTATCTCCTGTGAATATTGGCCTTTTAACTAACAGTGTTCTAAACTTAAGAGGAGCTAGCTTTTTCTCTTACATTTGAAAGATTCTTGTGTCTGCTTTATTATGATGGCTCACTTGTTTTATTCTATAACTCCCAACATTTTGCTTCTTGACTATTGATTTAAATGAAAGGAAAAAATAGCGGGCTCTCTTTCAATGCTGTGTAATTTTTTTTTTTTTTTACCTTTTGTAGTCATTTTTCCACCAAGAAAGGCATCTTCCTTTGGTATAGAGTTCTATGTAATTATTGGTTATGTGCTAATACTTAATATTGTATTTGGCTTTCACAGATAAAACCAACCTATAATTAAGTAATTCAGAACCACTGAATTTCTTAAGTGAGCTGTTCTAAGGAATTCTAAACCTTTTGCCTTTAACTGTGAAAATACTGTCTAATTTTTCTGTCTCAAAGGACAGCTTTCCAATTTTCTTACTAGCTATTTAAGTATCATATGATGATCCATGTGGTCACTGTAGTGGTCATTCAACAGTTACTAGAATGATTATATTTACTTGAAAAGTTGTTTTCTAGGAGAGACTTCGACTATTCATATGTTTCCCCATCTTTTCTTTTTCTTCTTTTTCACAAATCTTTTAATTGTTTTTCCTTCCTTAAACTACCTGAAATTTTGTGGTAAGCCACATTTTGGATCAGAATTTGTTAGATGGCTTTATTTATAGCACAACTTATTGTTCTATTACCCAAAAAAATAGGAATAATGTATTTTACATTACTAAAACTTTATAAAGTAAATAAACCATAGTAAGACATTCAAACATTACATATAAACTTTGTTTTCTATTAGAGAAATATTGAAGAGTAGAAATGTGATCTTGGTTAGGCAATGACAGGATTCTTTTAATGTGTCAGTATGTCACATGATATCAAGTTATTTTTATCAGATTTTTTTCTGTTTATAATTTCTAGAATCTGAAAAATTAGAAAACCAGCTGGCAGGAGGAAGGCATGATCAGTAGCAGGCACAAATACATGTGGCTATAATAGAACAGAAATGGGGAGTTAAAGGATAATTTAAATCTACCAGTAGCAGCTTCCAAGGGGAGTTGATAGAAAGGATCTCACGGTGAGGGGCATCACTGCCTCAGTGACTGTTAGTAGTAAACTATCTAATAGAGGTCTCTTTCCTTTTTCCTTTGACTCCCATTTGCTTATTATCTAAGATATTATTTGTCATGTAATTTTTAGACTTGATTTGATAGTAATACAAAATTAAGCAAGCAGAGCCTTTTGCCTTTCTGGCTCCCTTGCTTACTAGTCATTTCTGAAATCATCAGCACTCAGCTTGGTTTACCTCAGTGGCCTTTATCACTGTCTTGTCTGTCCCATTACTCTGCTTCAGGGCGCCCTTTAGAGCATTTACTACATATGGCATATGTAGCATGTACTCCATGTAGCAGTTAGCACATCAGCAGTTTTCATCATCAGTTTTTCCCTGATAGAATAGCATCTACTTTTTTTTTTTTTTGAGACAGAGTCTTGCTCTCTTGCCCAGGCTAGAGTGCAGTGGTGTGATCTGTGCTCACTGCAACCTCTGCCCCACTTGTTTCAAGCAATTCTTGGGCCTCAGCCTCCCAAGTAGCTGGGACTACAGGCGAATACCACCAAGCCTGGGTAATTTTTTGTATTTTTAGTAGAGACGGGGTTTCACCATGTTGGCCAGGCTGGTCTCGAACTCCTGACCTCAAGTGATCCACCCGCCTCAGCCTCCCAGAGTGCTGGGATTACAGGCCTAAGCCACCGTGCCTGGCCAGCGCTTACTCTTTTTACGAATAAGGACTTGGTTGGTGTTCAATTTTATAACTGCAATGTCTATCATAGTATTTAGCCCACAGTAGGTATATAGTAAGTGTTTGAATTAATCAAATCCTGATCTTACAAGGAATCTGCTTCTAGCATTTGGCTCTGGCAGTCACTTGTTATGGATGGGACTACGTAAGCTCAATACAGACCAATATACTGAGCTTGCATCCTAACTAAACAGGAGTCAGGTATTACATAGGAATGTTTTTTTAAAAAATGAGGTAATTTCCACTGCATTGAAAAGGACAGTGTTCAATTCATCAACTTTTTTTTTTTTTTTAACATATCTTGGAGGAAACCGCCTTCAAATGAGCTGAATACAGGTCCCTCTGCTAGTTTTGATCTTGTAGGTCAGTGGTTCTGAGGCATGAGTGCTAAAGGTCCTATAGGTGGCACATGGACTCCACCTTCCTGCATCACGTGTTTCCGTTGTGATCATTCCTCCAGATGAGTGCTCTTCCATCACTGGGAAGCACCTGGCCTCATGCATTTCTGATAGGCCTTGGTGATGTCTTACCAGTCTTAGGCTTCCCATGGATTCTAATGAGGATTCCTCAAGGTATGGGAAAGGGATAGGTGGTCCACAGAATATTCTCCCCAAGCAAGCAAGCCAAAGACTGAGAATTACAGAAAAACACTTTTCTTAGTATTTTTAAATTTTAATCTTTTTCTTTCATACAGCTTTATTTGTTTCTTATCTGAACTCTAAGGACTGAATGAGACTGAGAGAGACAGCAAAGTCAGCTCTCTTACGTAGTAGGGGAAAAGCATCAAATTTATCATTTAAAGACCTGGATACTGTTTAAAAATTATCTGAAAATTGGAAATGAAGAACTGCATGTCTCTTCAAAGTTGTATATAGAGGATTGTCTAACTGGGTCACTGAAGGATGACTTGATGTTTTATTAGGATGGGGGTTAACAAACTGTGTCGTAATACAGTTGTATGGGAACACAACCATGCTCATTCATTCCTTACTGTGAATAGTTGCTTTCATACTACAGCAGCAATGTTGAAGAGTTGTGACAATGACCACATGGCCTATAAGGCCTGGAATATTTGCTGTCTGGCTCTACGCAGTTTAAGTTTGCTGACCCCTGTGCAAACTTCGTCAAAGGTAACTTTGACTTAGTGCGTACTCTTGATTAGTACCCAAACTCTCTAAAGTTAGATATTAACTTAGAAAAAATTGATAAGTTTCAAAAAAAAATTTCTCTTTGGTAGGGAAGGTAACTCCAAGAGTTAACGGTTTTCTTGCCTTGAAGGGCGTTATCCAGTTTTGTATCTATCTCTGCAGTCTTATTTCCCATTGACATTCTTTTTTCCATTGACTGCATGTGTCAGTTTCTCATGTCCTGCTTTGAGCCACCCATTGTCATTCTGCAGGTCCCTTCATTAATGAATTAAATAAATCTTAGACACACGCTCACTATATATTCCAATGAGAGTGTTTATTGTATGGAGAATTATATGTTGTCTCCTTGAGGCTTGGCAGTGCCTCTTGAATGTAGTCATTTAACCCTCTTGGGCCTCAGGTAACTTCTCTGTTAAGTGGAAATAATTATCCCCAGTACCTTAGCCAAATTACTGTCTCACCCAAATAATAATTGGACATAGTTTTGTAATTTAAGTTAAAAGATGTTATGTTTATGAAAGAGTTTTGTTAGCTGCAAAGCGCTATTTGTTGGATATTGCTTCTTGAAAAAATACAGATCTTAGGTATTAAAGAATAGGTAGAAGCCTGTTAGGTATGAATTATGAACAGATATTCGATTCTTTGACTTCTCCATTCAGAATAGTTATTTTTAAAAAGCAAATATGTAAAGATCTTTCTGCTCTTAAGCCTAACCACTCATCTGATGAGTGTACTGAAAATAGAAGTGGTTTATTGCAATATGTCAGAGAAGTATTCTACTGATAACCACCCATACATGAAATCTTAAAGAAGTAGTTATGAGTTGGAAATTTCTAGGTTGTAATCAGAAGAGGGAGCAAATGACAGAATACAGCTGTGCATTGTTTGGAAGTGGGCTGGAAAGAATTCATTGCCTCTTTAATTGAAGAAAAGCAAAGAGTGACACTAATCAAAGTAAAAGAAGGGAAGTACTCATAGCTGAAAATGGAACTATAAATTGTTTGCTTTTTAGAGCAACATCAGTTCTTTGAAACCCATACAGTTCCTTATAATATTCCAAAACAAACTGCCATATGGAAACCTGTTTAGAAAGGAATAATAGCACTCTACCCTCCTCCCCAGCCACTAAATTGAAACATACGTGAAAATTTAATGTAGTTTTTTAATCAAGCTCAGAAAATTTTTTTTTTTTTTGAGACGGAGCCTCGCTCTGTCGCCCAGGCTGGAGTGCAGTGGCGCGATCTCAGCTCACTGCAAGCTCCGCCTCCCGGTTTCATGCCATTCTCTTGCCTCAGCCTCCCGAGTAGCTGGGACTACAGCTTGGCTAGTTTTTTTGTATTTTTGGTAAAGACAGGGTTCCACCGTGTTAGCCAGGATGGTCTCAATCTCTCCTGACCTCGTGATCCGCCCACCTTGGCCTCCCAAAGTGCTGGGATTACCAGCGTGAGCCACCGCGCCCAGCCCAGAAAAAAAATTTTTAACACACTTTTTGACAGTCTGATCTAATTTTTTGAAGTATGAACATTGGGTAGATCTTGCCCAGTAGATAAACCATTCTTTTTTATTTTATTTTGTTTTATTATTTTTGAGATGGAGTCTTGCTCTGTCACCCAGGCTGGAGTGCGTGGCACAATCTTGGCTCACTGCAACCTCCGACTCCCGGGTTCAAGCAATTCTCCTGCCTCAGCCTCCTGAGTAGCTGGGATTACAGGTGCGCACCACCACACCCAGCTAATTTTATTTTTAGTAGAGACGAGGTTTCACCATGTTAGCCAGGCTGGTCTTGCACTCCTGACCTCAGGTGATCCACCCGCCTTGGCCTCCCAGCTCATGCTGATATTACAGGCATAAGCCACCACACCTAGCCAAGAAACCATTCTTTGAACACAAGCAAATATACTTTGGAGAAAAATTTAATAATCCTGGCAGGGCTACATTCAACATAATTCTGTTATGGGGGAAGGCAGCATGCTTTGGCTGCTCAGTGAGCTATGTTCTGTACAACCAAGTGAAATTGCTAAAAAAAGATTCTCCTGTATACAGTAACTTAAAGTGATGCAGTCTACTTAAGATCAGATCTGAGTTACAAAATCAAAAGTGACAGCTCCTATGTTCTTTTAAAGTCCAATCTCTTTTTTTCATTGTTGTGCTCCAAATGCCTTGAGTACCTGATGTAGAGTAGGTGGCTAATAAATATTGGTTGAATTTCTTGAACGAATCTGTTATGAAAAGATCTACTTTGCTCATCTCTGTGCCCCAATAGCAGGAGCTTGAGGAGAAGGAGAAAATATTGGGTCAGAGCTTTTGATTAATATGTATGATTCTATTAAACGGGTTCACTAAACCAAAAAAGGCAAAGGAAAACAGTTAAACCAAGAGTTCTTGAGGTTAAAGTCTTGTGATGATTAAAATCATCATCCTAAGATGATGATGACATAAACTTTCAAGTATTTTCCTGTCTTTATTGCTTTTGTAAGTTGGTCAAACTCTTCAGTTCTTTTAAGAAGACTGCCAGAATTTACAAAACTGTTGATGTACACAGTGGAATGGACATACTTTGACCCAGCACCCACGTCTACCAGCCTCTCCTTGCATGTCCTGAGGTGCACTGCAAAGTGGCTATACTTGTGAGATATAGAGGTTTCTTTTATTTTAGAGGACAAAAGAGAGGGTCACCCTGGGAAGCTGACTTTCCTGGCTTTTCTTTCCTGCACCAGGGACTAAAACCTACGTCCAGCCATTGTGCCAGCTCTCAGTCAGCCAGCCTGTTACTTTTGGGCAGTACTCATTGCACAGTCTTGGAGCTCTTCTGCAACCCCGGTGAAACCCCATCATTTGGAGGCCATGGCCTCATCTTGATGTAGTTAAAGTACACACCTCAAAATGCCCATTATCAGGCTCAGAATCCATGCTGAGTGGCAGGATAACAGCTGATCACAAGGTATTAGTTATGAAACAACCTGTTGGCACTCTTCTGTCTCCATTATTACCCAACTTTTTAATGCTATAAGTCCAATTTTGTGGATCAACTACAGCCTACCAAGACAAAAGTTGTTTGGAGAGAGAGCAAAGGAAAAACTGAGCAGGAAATAAGTAAGCCAACAGTCATCACCTAATGCAACTGCACAGAAAGGCTGAAAAATATTTTAAGTCATTTCAAAATGTTTGTAGATATCAAAGAGACAAACCATCTGGGTGAAATATTCCATTACTCTTCTTTCTTTTGTAGGGGCATTAATATTGAACTGGAAAAATCTCACCCCTGCCGAAGTTAACATACTTTGTACTTAACACCTCATTCAAAACTCTCAAGCAAGTTAAGTTCTAATTAGTAATAAAACTTACAAGTGCATAGCCATTAATGTTTTTCTTTCAAACATTTGCCCATGAGGCTTGAAAAGGAGAGGAATCCCTCCCTGTCCCACTCATACTTCCTGCCAAAATATTAATTCCATTCTAGCTCCTCCCCTATGCCAGGAAAGTCATGCCCTCCTCATTCATGTCTTTTTTATATATTCTATCCAGGTGCTTTACCTTCTGCCCTAATTCTCTGGGGTGCTCTGCCTACCCTCTCTCCTTACCTGAGTCTACACTTTTCTTTGTCCTCTCCTTCGGGTAGTGCCTATGCTGCCTTCCTTTTCCAAGGTGTCTTCCATGCCTAGCCAAATACTGGCCTTGGATAGTTAGCAGGGGAGAGCTTATTGGTAGGACTCCTTAATCTCGAAAGAAATGATCAGTTTGGTCACCTGAAAAACCCAGACTGGAGATTGGGGACTATGATTTGATTGAGGAGGAGACATCCAAGAATGTTTAGGGTCAGTCTCTGAAGATCAGGTCACCTGTAAAGGCCATGAGGGACTGGCAAATGAGATTATGTCCCCTTGAGAGGAAGGAGGACTGGAGGGGACTGGAGCTGCTGTTTCACTCTAGCTTGCTATTTCCAAATAGCAGGGCAGGACACTATTTTCAGAATTTTAGAAAGAGAAGGCAGAATCTAAATTTTTTTTTTTTTTTTTTTTTTTTGATATGGAGTCTCGCTCTGTTGCCCAGGCTGGAGTGCAGTGGCGCAATCTCAGCTCACTGCAAACTCCGCCTCTATGGTTCACACCATTCTCTTGCCTCAGCCTCCTGAGTAGCTGGGACTACAGGTGCCCACCACCACGCCCAGCTAATTTTTTGTATTTTTAGTAGAGCCAGGGTTTCACCGTGTTAGCCAGGATGGTCTCAATCTCCTGACTTCGTGATCCACCCACCTCGGCCTCCCTAAGTGCTGGGATTACAGGTGTGAGCCACCGCTCCCGGCCACCGGAACCTAAATTTTGATGTGAAATCTGATTTTTATATGTTCGCAAGGATTTTAAGTAGTTTCAGTTTGTTTTTAATATTACATGGGAGGAATAAAACATCCATGACAGATACAATGGGCTGCAACCTCTGGTCTAGAGGATCCCTTGGGAGGGGGTTAGTTGAGTCCTAATTTTTAAAATTTTTATTTGTTTTATTTTATTTTTTTTAATTAGAGACAAAGTCTTGCTGAGTGGCCCAGGCTGGAATGCAGTGATGCAATCATGACTCACTGCAGCCTTGACCTCCTGGGCTCAAATGATCCTCCTACCTCAGCCTCCTGAGTAGGTGGGGCAGGTGGGGCTACAGACATGTGCCACCATGCCCAGCTAATTTTTGTATTTCTTGTGGAGATGGGGTCTCACTATGTTGCTCAGGCTGGTCTCAAACTCCTGGGCTCAATTGACTTTCCGGCCTCAGCCTTGCATAGCATTGGGATTACAGGTGTGAGCCACTGTGCCCAGTCTTGATTCCTAATTATTAGGACTTTGGTTGTACTCAGTGGGCTCTGAAATGTCAACAGGGGTCTTGGGTGAGTTTGAATTTCAAGGAACCTCAAAATTGATTATTTACCTCCTAAGGGATTCTCTGGTCTTAGGAGGCTGGCCAGACCTGGAGTGAACCCTGTAGGTTGACCATGGACTGGAACAGACCACCTAGTCTCTCTCTAGGTTATATGCCTGATTCTAAGGGGGCCTCTAGGCTACACAGGTTTCTGAAGGGTCTATGTCCCCTCCTGTTATCATGTGGAAAGGGCCAGGTGTGCCATCTAAGCTTAAGTCGTTAGGGAATTCTCTCTCCCTCAAAAACATTTTAAATAATCTCCCTGAGTCTTCCTTTAATTGGCCTTCTAAATCTTTAATAAGCCTGGATTAAAACCACCCTCCATTAGGATGATCAATCTGAAAACAAATTAGATCAATTCCACAAGTCCAAGCCCCTTCGTATAGCACATGAGAGATGCCGAGCCCTATAGCTTACGTTCTGATAATACAAACCTCCTTGTGTTCCCTGAATATGTCATGCTGTTTCATAACTCTGCATTTGCTTAGGCTGAGCTCTGACTGGAGCTCCCTCCTGCTCTGTCTTGGCCCAGCTCACTCAGTTATCTTTCAAGATGTCTCTGGGAAGTGTTCTCTGAACTTTCAGCTGGGATTATATGTCTCCCCGCTTTTTGGGACCTCCCCCCGCCGGCCACAGGATATAGTTCCATCTTAGCCTTTGCCATGTTATAGTATATTGAGCCTGGTGGTGGGTGATTGTCTCTGCCGGTAAGCTGTAAGCACATCCTGTGTACCATCCAGCACAGAGCATGGAGTCTGACACCCAGTAGTCAGTCTATAATACCAAAATATTGGAAAGCAGAGAAGGTGCCTTCATGCTGCAGGGACAAGCCACATGAACACTTTTAAAAAAAGGAAACAGAGTCTGGACACCTCAAACTCAGGAAGGAGTTATAGTGTGGGTAAAGAGGCCTAGGCAACATTATTTGTCCCTGGTTTGGACATGCCCTTTGTCTTGAAGCCCGTTAACTGTGTTTTGTATTTACTGACAGTTCAAGTTTTTCTCTTTTTTTTTTTCATACTTTGGAAGGGCAGAGACATCTGATCTAATACCATCTGTGACCAAGGGAGGGAAGGTGGGAGGAAGGAAGAGAATATCCATTTATTCACTTAATATTTCTGGAGCATCTGCTAGGTGCTGAGGATTCAGCAAGGACAAAACAAATGAATTCCTGCCTTTGCAGCTTCCTCTCCAGTGTGTGGGGGAATAGAAAATGAATAACAATAGACAGTTCCTTAGGTAGTGATAAGTGCTATGGAGAATGTAAAGCAGAGAAAAATGATACAGGTGTTGAGGGTGGGGAGCAAGGAGCTGCAGATTTTGAATGGGGTGGTCTCTGAGGTGGATGCCACAGGAAGGCATGCTCCGGGAGATGGCCTGGGAGGGCAGGGGAGCAGCAGGAAGGGTGGTCAGGAAGGTGAATGAGCAGGCAAGGGGAGTTTGCAGATGGTGCAGGCCCTGTAGGCCAGGGCAAGGGCTCAGCTTTTACTTCCATGGGATAGAAGCTACTGGAAGGTTTTGATAAAAGCAGTTCAGTGCTCTGACTTACCATATGTCCAGCACTGTGCTAGGTATTCACACAAATGACCTTATTTAATTTTGTAAAGTACCCTGCAAGATACATGGTTTTATCATCATTTTGCAAGTGAGGACTTAACACAGACCTTCTCCAAGATCAAATATGTAGAAACATGGGGAGCCAGGAAGACTTAACCTCTGTAAGGCCTAGCTTTGACCTCTGTAAAATAGGAATGATGCCTATAAACCCTATGCAATTCTGAAAATCAAATGATAATGTAAATAAAGAGAGTAGCAAAGTACTTGAGGAACTCAATAAACGTCAGTTTCCTTCTTTGTTCCAAGGCCACACACACAATAGCAAAGTGAACACTGGTTAGAAGATCTGCTCCATCTTCAGTGAACTCAGAGTAGGCACATCCATTGCACTTAATAGATTTTTGTTTCTTCCCTCCTTTCCCCTCCTCCTGTCTCTGGGTCCAGTTTCCTTATCTATATATTGAGACTATTGGTCTGCTCTCCAAGGCAATTTCCAGTTATAAAGTTCTTTATTGCTTCGACATTGTCTTAGCTGTTTGGTACACACCTTTCCTAATAGCTAGCAGAGGGTGATGCACACCGTGGGAACTTCATCAATCCCCAGTGATGATCTGAGAGGTGTTATGATAGAACAGGTTAAATGCCAGTGTCCTCTTCAGGTTTGACTGGGTCAGTGATCTTGTCAAAGGGGCATGATGAAGTGCCCCAAGGAGGTTCCTAGAGTTTCCGAAAATGGATGCAAAGTATGAAATGTCAATGCTTCTCCAGTGATGCTGGAGCACTTCTGCCTCTCGGATGTCATTCTTATTACTTTATAATTACCTTCTGACCTTTACTGACTCTGACAGTTGTGAGTCTTTAAAAAAAGGATTCAAGAATATTATCATTAATGCAGTTGCCTAGAAACAGGGCCTAAAATACATCTGGCTTTAATAGAAGAGCTAAAATGAGTTTTCATTTTTTGGCATTGTCTCTCTTTCTCCTTTCTCTTTTCTCTCCTCCCTCCCCCAACTTTTTCTTTGTATTAACCAAGAATTGCAATAGAATTTTTCACTAATCCTTTCTGAACTGTCCAGAGCCAAGGTACCCAAAATAGAGAGCATTTTTCCATCATAGGAAGCTTTAGCAACACTAACTGGGCATTATGAAATCTAATCCCTAGCCCACTTACACAGCAGGTATAGAATCTGTATTGTCAAATCACTCATCGCGCTCTCTGTAAGGAAGCTTTGCCAGTACTCATAAAGATGCTAGAAGAAGGAGATTCTATTGAGATTCTATTTATCTCTTCATCAAGGCATGTTCTAGAACACTATGCCAAATGGCTACAACTGTGATTTTCTGACCCATAAACATTTCCGTTCACCACTTTAATGTCTCCTCCCAGATGTACCCTCTTGCTTTCCTCTGTCCTTTTTATCATTGCAATGTTCAGTCAGTCTGTAGCTAGCGCACCTTGCAAACACAGCCCTTATCATCTGATAAAAAGAAAAGAGAAAACAGTAAAAAAGAGCAATAGAATATATTCCATTTTTTTCTATGTCTGTTATTAGATTTCTGCTTGTGGAAATACACTGATTTGCAAAAATGCTTCTGGTGGCAAAGGTTACATCAGCCTTACTAGGTCAAGAGGCCTAGAAGTCTGCTGGCCAGGTCAGCACAGCACCCTCTACTCACCATGCAGGTGCTTATGGAGGTTTAGGGAAGTGGAGTTCTGTAAGGGGAGGGGGCCTCCAGGGATCAAGGCACTCACCGTTCAGAACTGCTCCAGAATTAATTTCCATGGCCGGCATCACTCCCAGGCTGTTTCCAAACTTGCCTGATCATAAGAACCATCTGAGGGCTTGTTAAAAGTACTGATTCAAAGCCTCTTTTCTGAAGATTCTGATTCTGTAGATCTGGTATAGAACTTGGGGAACAGCTTTTAACAAGTACCCTGGTGGTTCATGTCAGGCAAGTTTAGGAAACAGACCAACAGTAGAGTCCAGGCACCTTTCAACTGCAGACAGGGCTTTCTGTGGTCTTGCTGCAGATTCCACTGTTAGCTCCAGACACACACTGGTTTGTGCTGCCCTGTCACACAACTCCAGGCCTTGACTCCTTGCTATGCACACTGCCTAGTGGCTGTCTGCCGTCTTCAACAGTCTTCCCCACGTCTTAGGACAGTGCAGGCATTGTTTCCTTGTGTTTCTGGAACACCTGCTCTTGCTTCTAACAAAAGAACAGCACTTAAGTTTATTACAATTATTGGTTTACCTTCTGTGATCCCATTTTCTGCTTTATACTTTTCATAGGATGTTTACCCCATACTCCTCAATTTGAATGAAAGCGCTGGGAAGGGGGACTCTGCCTGGACTAAGCTGTGTCCCAGGCTTCTACAAGAGGCCCTGGCCTACAGTAGGTGCTCAGTAGATATTTGTGAATTAAATTCTGTCTGTGGCACTAGACTGCGAGCCAGTCTTTAATCTCTGCAATCCTAGCACCTTGCTCAGTGTCTGTCACTCTAATGATAGTTGGATGAATCACTGAGATATTTGACTTCATAACCAGGTTTCGGTCCACTCAGCGCTCTTAGTGAGGAAGAATTAGGCAAATACAACCCTGAAAGGGAAAAAAGGAGCCAAATGGGGGAACAGCATGGAAACCTGGAAAAGAGCAGAGGAAACAGACACATAGAGACTGGACAATGGTGGGGACCAGGGGAAGTTGTCTTAGTCCTGATGGTAAGAAAGGTATCAAGAAGGGGATAATTGTTGATTGTTTCTAAACAACTCAATTCTTGTTGGTAGTTTCCAAAGACAGCCCAGAGATCACCCAGGGCCATCTCCACAACCTGCCCTCCCCTTGAAATGGCTCTGCACACAGTCTAACCCAGAGAGAGCATTAACCCAGTACCATGGTTAGGAGGGCGGATTCTAGAGTCAGAGGACCAGGTCTCCAATCCTAGTCCCACGCCTGACTGACTTTTTCCTGGGGCAAAACGTTCAAATCCCCTACTACCCCAGCCTCCTCATCTGTAAAAGGCTGTATGTACTAATGGTACCTGATCCTAGGGCTGTTGTGATAAATATGGTAATCCACACAAGGTGCTTAACACTGTGGCTGGCACCTAGTAAGTGATTAGTTGTGGCCTGTGTGGCACGCACTCTGCTGGGAACTGGGTATGTATGAAATAGCTAAGGGGCCAAGTGCATAGACTTCGGAATGAGATACATATGGCCTGGATTGGGAGCTCAGGGAAGTACTTAGCCTCTCTGAATCTCACATCATCGAGTGTAAAGTGAGGATAATAGCAACTGTTTACTGAGGCACATCCATTTGCCTGTGATCCACACAACCATCCTATAAGGATATTACCTCATGTACTCATCACACAGTTTCAGTAAGTGTCAACTAGCGATCACTTTATAACCTCTACCTACCCCTCACCCTTGCCTATCCCCAGTACCCTGGTTATTTTCACACAAACCCCAGATAGAACATCACTTCATCTGTCAATATACCTTATAATGTTTGTTGGCTTCACCATGTCTGGAATTCTAAGTAAACAAACTTGGTTCTGGACGAGGCACACAGTTGAACACCGTGCCTGTGGTCCAATGTCAGAACAACCGTTCTCATTCCACGGATGAGCTGATCCCCTTCAGGCTATAGGGGGCGCTGGAGCTAGAGAAGGAATGACAGCCAGGCATCCTGCTGAGAAGGCGGCCTGAGAGCGGTGCAGGGAGTGATCTCTGCGGCCTTGGCCTCCTGCGGAGAAACCTGGAAAAAGGATGCCTGGTACGACTGTTTGAGGCCACCGCCCAGCCAGGCTTTCCCAGTGGAAACCTGTATCCAGACCTAAAACTGTACACACAGTGCACGCTACAAGGGCTTGGGAGAAAGTAGGGTACTCTTCAGGGGACTGCCTGGAGGCACCGAGGACTCCTTGGAACTGGTCTCTTTTAAGTAGCACCAATGAGCTTTAGCTGCCGCACGGGCAAAATGGCAAAAAGAAAAGCCCATTTTGACAAAATTGTTCCTTGGTCCTGTCACATCAGGCTGTCATTTTGGCTAACTTGTCTTTTGTTCTTTGCACCTCAAATCTGAAAAAATTCTAAAATGCCTGAGCTCTATGGTGAGCAGAAAACTGTCCTGAGTATTTCTTCTCCTTTTCAACGTGCATGTCTCTGCCATTTTGAGTCTATTGTGCTGTTTAAAAGTCTCTTCCTTCTCCGAGCTCACTTTGCTATGTAAGCAGTTAGCTCCAAATAGATGGGTTCAGCACCACTCCAAAAAAAGAGCAATCCTTGTCTAAGAGGAAATATGGTTAAGTTGCAGCTTCCTAATTCTTCTTGTAGATAATATCTGTTCCTCTTGAGGAAGACTCTAGCCCTGATGCAATCATCTGATGCATTCTTTGTGATTGCTGCAAGGCAAAACTAAGGTAAGCTTGGAGCCAGAGAGAGCGCTTTATCTATTTATCTATTGATGGTGGTGCTGGTGGGGAAGGTAGAGCTGCCAGTATTCCTATTACAGTATGATTTCCAAGGGAGACAGTATTATGTAACCAGTGAATCATGAAAACCACCTCCAGTCTTCCAGCTGAGGAGGGCTTCTCCCTCCTCCATGATAACAAGCTGCAGATTGGCAGTAACAAGAGGCAAGTACTTACTTCACTGCTTTCTCCTGTTGCAGAAGTTTTGATGTCACCTCTTGGCATGAATGGGAACCTAGTATACCTCTGGAAGTGAAGCCTGCTTAGCTGGGTTCCACCCAAGGGAAGGCAGAAGTTTCTATTCCTCCAGGCTGCAATCCAAAGTATAGTAAACAAGTATGGGATAGAGTTCTTGTTTACAGGGGTTGCTGAAGTTTCTGTTTCAAGACACCATTTATATCATGACACAAAGGCTGCTTTCACTACCCTTCGTCATCGTTCTCTGAGTGGTGACTGAGCTGAATTTCACTGCTAGTTTGGAAGAATCTAAGGCAAAAAGACATCCCCATTGGCTCCCTCCATTTTAGCTAACAGCACTTGATGGCTGAAGGCACTACTCAGTCTGACTTGGCATTGTGCCAAGAGACTGCTTCTCAGCTGTGGTGAAGTTTGGCTACAGTCATTATCATAATTAACCTTAGCTGCCCTAACCGACAAAACCCTATTAAGCCTTGATGGCTTAATACCCAAGGGTTTATTTCTCATTTATGTGAAGTCCAGTAGGGGTCCGGCTGCCCTCTTCTCTCTGAAAGAGCCATCTGGAACACAGGGCCCCCAAGGTCTTTGCTGTGGGGGAAAAATAAGGTGGAGGAAGTGCCTGGCTCATAGTCCCTTGGCCAGAATCAGTCACATGACCCCAACCTAACTTCAGGGGAGGCTGGGAAGTACAGGTTGGAAAACATGAAATACCTGGTAAGCACTGATCCTCTCTGCCATATTGACTAGCATGATTCCATGATTTTCTGTGTTTTCCAGCAACTCACCGATGAAGATGTTGAACAGGTTAAAGCCAGGCAGGAGGACTGTCAGCGAACAACAGCACCTTAGTCCTCAAGGAAGTTATTCTTCACAGGGCTGTGGGCAAGAAGAATGCTTTTGCAGACAACCAGAGTCATTCCTAGAAGCAAGGACTATGACAGCAAGCTAAGATAGTTCTCGTTTGCTGGTTGTAGTGGATACACTAATTTCATTCCTTTGTCGAGGTAGAGTCCAAGTCCCAGCTGGAGGATGCATTTTGTTATCCTGTTGCTCAATTCCTAATGGACATAAGAAAGGTAGGAGCTACTGAAAGTTTCTCAGCAAGGAAGCTACTAAAAATAAAAGAGAATCCTTGTCCTATGAACAATTCCAACCCTTACTCTGGCTGACCCAGAGATTGTGGATTGAGTCTGGCCACGTAAAAAAAAAAAAAAAAAAAAAGGGAACAATTCAGCAACCCTCAGAACCGAACAGTTTTTTCTACATCTTGGGACGCAAGTAGAGCTAGGCGAACTTTCCACCTGGTCCATCAGCTTAGTGTGAAATGACAAGGGAGAAGTGAGGTGAGAGACACACACTTCTTTTTTTTTTTTTTTTTTTTGAGACAGAGTTTTGCTGTTGTTGCCCAGGCTGGAGTGCAGTGGAGCAATCTCAGCTTACTGCAAGTTCCACCTCCCGGGTTCAAACGATTCTCCTGCCTCAGTCTCCCAAGTAACTGGGATTACAGGCGCCTGCCACCACGCCCAGCTAATTTTTGTATTTTTAGTAGAGATGGGGTTTCGCCATGTTGGCCAAGCTGGTCTCAAACTCCTGACCTCAGGTGCTCCACTCACCTCGGCCTCCCAAAGTGTTGGGATTACAGGCGTGAGCCACCACACCTAGCCGAGACACACACCGTTCAAGGACATACCAGAATCTCAGAGGGAGGATGGTTAGGGAGATGTAAGATTTTTATATTTATCAAAAGAGGACTTAAATTTAAAAAGAAGGAAAGAGAGAGTGAGGGGGGAAAGAAAGAGGAAGAGAGAAAAGCAGAAGAGAAAAAGATAAAAAGGAAAGAGAATAAGTAGAAAGAGAAAAAGAAAGGAAAAGAGAGAGACTCCCTAACACATCATCTGCAACCTTCCAAACCTGCTTATGATTATAAGGTGGTTGAGTGCATGTGTATCATTAGTTGCTAGGACGATGAGTTTCAATCCCAAGCTCTAGAGCCTCATATCATGTGGAGTAGGGGTGGGCAGATTTTCTGAAGTGCTATGGTTGTGCTTTTATCGCTCTGGGGACAGATCCGTGGTGGCATGGCTAATGGGGATTTCTCTTTCCAGGAAGGGGCTATCAGTCTATGACTCAGCTGTCACCTTCTGGCCCCTGAGATCTAGATAGTGTCTCTCCTGAACCATCAGTTTTACTGCCCGTAGAGGTCCACTGCCAAATTTCTACTAATTCTTAGGGACTTGCCTTCCCATGAGCCCTCTGCTTTTGGCTCTACACGGGTGGCTTTGGTCCTTACCATGATGCTCAAAACATGAAAGTTGGCCCTTTGCAATATTATCTTATAGAATTTTTATAGTTTTGGGTCCAAGATTTAAGTCCCTGATCCATCTTGAGTTGATTTTTGTATAAGGTGAGAGATGAGGATCCAGTTTTATTCTCCTGCATGTGGTTTGCCAATTATCCTAGCACCATTTGTTATATAGGGTGTCCTTTCCCCACTTTATGTTTTTTGTTTGCTTTGTCAAAGATCAGTTGACTGTAAGTATTTGGGTTTATTTCTGGGTTCTCTATTCTGTTTCATTGCTCTATGTGCCTATTTTTATACCAGTACCATGCTGTTTTGGTGACTATGGCCTTATAGTATAGTTTGAAATCAGGTAATGTGATGCCTCCAGATTGGTTATTTTTGCTTAGCCTTGCTTTGGCTACGTGGGGTCTTTTTTGGTTTCATGTGAATTTTAGGGGTTTTTTTTCTTTTTTAGTTCTGTGAAGAATTCAATTCATGGGAATTGAATTGTATTTGTAGATTGCTTTTGGCAGTATGGTCATCTTCACAATATTGATTCTACACATCCACGGGTGTGGGATGTGTTTCCATTTTTTTATGTTGTCTATGATTTCTTTCAGCAGTGTTTTGTAGTTTTCGTTGTAGTTTTCACCTCCTTGGTTAGGTATTTTCTTAAGTATTTTATTTATTTATTTATTTATTTTTTGCAGCTGTTGCAAAAGAGGTTGAGTTCTTGATTTGATTCTCAGCTTGGTTGCTGTTGGTGTATAGGAGAACTACTTATTTGTGTACATTAATTTTGTATCTGGAAACATTGCTGAATTATTTTATCAGTTCTAGGAGCTTTTTGGAGGAGTCTTGAGGACTTTTTAGTTATACAATCATATCATCAGCAAACAGCAACCCTTTCAATAGTATTTAAACAGACACACAACTAAAAAACGTTTACAAGCACACATTTATTACTTTATAACTTTGCAGATGACTGCTACTGAAATCAGCACATGCCAGATAACATTAAAAAATCCCTTTTATGGAAAGATATACCAATTTTGTGGGATGGAAGATGCAATATTGTTAAGATGCCAATTTTCCCTAAAATTAATTTACGGATTTAACATCTCCGAATAAAAATTCTAACACTTTTTTTTTTGGTAGAAATTGGCATGGGTAGGGAAAAGCAAAGGAATTAGAACAACCAAAACAAATTTGAAGGGAAGAATGAAGTTTGAGGACTTACACTATCTTTGTTGAAGATTTTACAAATCTATAATCAAGACAGTGTGATATTGGTGTAAAGATAGATATATGGATAAGTAGAACAGAACAGAGAGTTCTATTGGCCACACATATATGGTCAATTTATTTTGGCAAAATTACAAAGACAATTCAGTGTAAGGAGGATAGTTTTTCAACAAACGATGCTGGAATGAGTGTTATCTGATGGTGAAACATCATCTTTGATCCATACTTGCTCCATGTGCAAAAATGAACTCAAAATTGATCATAAATCTAAATGTAAAGTCTATGAGTATAAAACTTCTGGAATAAAAGATAGGAGAATATCTTCGTGACCATGAATTAGGCAAAGATTTTTTAGCTATGACATCAAAAGCATAATCCATAAAAGAAAAAAAATTGATGAATTGGACTTTATCAAAATTAAGAGCTTCTGCTTTTTGAAACACACTGTTAATGGAATGAAAAGTCAAGCCACAGGCTGGAAAAAACATTTGCATATCACATATCTGATAAAGGATTTATATCTAAATATATAAATAACTCCCAAACTCAATAAAACAGCTCAATAAGAAAAATGGGGAAAATATTTTAATGGACACTTCATCAAGAGAGAGATATGGATGGTAAATAAGCACATGAAAACATGCTCAGGAAAATGCAAATTAAAATCACAATGAGATGCTACTACATATCTTTAGAATATTTAACATTAAAAAGATTTACAGTATCAAGTATTGGTTAGGATATTGAAGAATTGGAATTCTTATATGTTGCTGGAATGACCACTTTGGAAAACAGTTTCTTAAAGAGTTCAACAAAAAATATAACTCAGTAATTCTGTTCCTAGTGGAATGAAAACAGGTGTTCATACAAAGACTTGAACAGGAATGTCCAGAGCAGCTTTATTGTAATAGCCCCAAACTAGAAACAACCCAAATATCTATCAACAGGGGAACAGATACACAGATTTTTGACATATTCATATAATGAAATACTTCTCAGCATTAAAAGGAATAAACTACTTATACATACTAAAACATAAATGAATCTCAAAATAACTACAGAGTGAAATATACCAGACAGAAAGGGAGTATATAGTATATGATTCCATATATAGATATACGATTCTAGAAAATGCAAATCAATTTATAATGACAGAAAGAAGTTGTGGTTGCCTGGGTAGGCAGGGATTGGATTGGGAGCTTACAAGGAACACAAAGAAACTTTGGGGTGATAGACATTTTTACTATCTTGATTGTGGTGATAGTTTCAACTTATTGTATACTTCAAATATAGTTTATGTAAATTATACCTCAATAAAGCTATTGTTAAAAATCTGCTTTAGACAGATTTTCTCTAAAGTCCTATTTTTGGCTTCCCACCACTGTCAAGTTCTTCTCTTGGTCCCTTCCCCATCATCACTTGATTCTTCTCTCTTTTCCTTCATTTTCCACCTCCCCTCCCACCCTCTGCATTTCAATAACAGAGTTCCTCTCCTTGTCTCATGCTGAGCAGTTATGCTCTTGTTCTTGAACTTGAATTTGTGACTCCAGCTCACAAATGGACCCTTGCCTCTTATCATCCATCTTGTACTTCAGTACGCAAGTGCTGGAGCCAAAGTGCATGGATTCAAAAGCTATACTCTCCTACTTCCTAGCTGGGAGCTTCAGCAAGTTCCTTGCCATCTCTATACTGTGAACAAATGTGAACCTAAAAACGTCCTTCGAGATGGATCCTGGGTGGCTAAGCCAGTCCTTCAAGATGGAGCCCAGGTGGCTAAGTAGGCCTAAATTTAAAAATAAAGCCAAATGGCCATACTCTGAGTTTCCAGAAAAATCTCACCTCTGCTTAACTTGGGGACTTCAGAGCTCACCAGAGCCAACTAATCAGGGCTCAGCTATATCAACCAATCAAGGATCAGTTGTATTGACCAATCAGAACTCAGCTGTGCCAACCAATGAAAACTAGGCAAGTTTGAAACTTTCATTTGGATAAACAGATTTGATTGGGTAGCTGGGCAGGAACTTTTGCTATAAAACTGGAAACTTCCCTTTGTTCTCTGGAACATGCCTTAATTTTACAGGTTTGCAAACTGTTATCTCCCACATGATAGTAAAATTAATAGTACTTGTCTTTTAACATTTGCTGTGAGGATTAAATGAGTTAATAAATAGAGAATGTTTAGAATATCTGGCATGTAGTGAGTATTCAATTATTATTATTACTATTATATAGTAATAGAGCAATTATTGTTACTTTTAGGACTTAAAAGCATTTTTCTAAGTTTAGAACAATTCCTCCCTTAAGGGGAATTATGACAGTAGAGAAAGAGTTCAGTAAATTATGGCCCATCAACTGAGTGGAATATTACATGTACCTTAAAAAAAATGATCCTTCCTATGAGTCTATAATAATTTCGAGAAATGCTTGTTACATGAAAATATAGTAGGTTCTATAATCATACATACAATGTCATCTCAACTATACTCAAAAGTCCAAACAAAAATTATGCACAGAATAAAGACTGAAAGGAATTATGCTAAAATATTAACAGCTACCTTTCATAATGGGGAAAAAAAAGTGTCTTTTTTCCCTCCACAAAGAATCCTCTCATTATTAGTGAATGCCTCTGCAGGGGAGCTGTGGACACCCTATACTTTTATTAGTTAACCTCTTATCTAGCCACGGCTCGGCAGGAAATACAGCAATGCAATCTAGGGTTGGAGGAATATGTTTGAAGGGGAGGAGAGAAGATGAAAGAAGAGATACATAAATGAGGAAGAGGCCGCTGTGGGGAAAATGGGAAATGCCAAGGAAATTTGTGCTTTCCCATTGCACCTGGATTCAGGAACATTCACTCTCCTGCAGCAGCATCACGAAGACATGTCCAGCCAGCCTGTTGCTGAAAATTATGCTGGTGCTGTCTTATGCAGAGATCCCTAAGGCAGAGGCCCGTGACGCCCATGGTGTCTGCTTATCCATTTCTCTTTGACTTGACACCTGTGTCTGTGGGAAAGGATATTACTCATTCATGATGGTAGCTGCAAAGACTATGATTAGATTATTAATAAACTGCAAAAATCATTTCCTGATCTTCCATCCCAAGCAGAAATTCAGCTTTTGTCACACTGACAACGTTTTGACCCTAGCTTCTCCTTTATCTATGCATATTTAGTTGCAGGGAGAAGAAAACCTTCCTCTTCTTTCCTGTCTCTTGCTCTGTGATTTTTGTGGTGAGTAACTTATTTTTCTAATCACGCATGTAGCTCATGAGCTGAAGCAATGCAAGGAGTTATCTTGGTTCTTGGGTGCTGGTTTCTGGTCAGCCAACCGTTTGTTGTCTGGAAGGGTTGGTGATTTTAGCTATATGTCCCTCTTAGTCAGACTAATTAGATCCGTAGCACTGTGAAGCACATCTTACCAGGGAATTTGCAGATCATGCTTATATCTATTAACTCTACCTCCAAGGCTAGGAAACAGGAGACTGCCCTAATGTCCATGGACACTCTTTCACTTTTTCTCCCTAAATCAAGAAAATGGAGCTTATATTATTTAGGCCGCCGTGTTGGAAATGTTGGTCTCACTCTTTGAGGGAGCCAACTGATGAAAAATATTTGGAACATTTCCATGGGGCAGCCTGGCTAGAAACCATCCAAAAATTGCTGACAGCCAGCCTGGGGTATGCCTACCTGGTCTCCCTCTGAGTAGCTCAGGGCCAGCTGGAGGGAGAGGGTGTGCCCAGTCACCACACTGCAACCCTGACAAAGGGAGGTCATCACTAAGGGCAATCTGAGGCTGTTGTATTCGAAACCAATTATTTCATTTTTTTCTTCTTTAACTTTTAAGTCCTGAGGTACATGTGCAGGATGTGCAGGTTTGTCATATAGGTAAATGTATGCCATGGTGGTTAGCTGCACAGGTCAACCTATTACCTAGATATTAAGCCCAGCATCCATTAGCTATTCTTCCTGATGTTCTCCCCTCCTACCCACCACTGACAGGCCCCAGTGTGTGTTGTTCCCCACCAAGTATGTCCATGTGTTCTCATTGTTCTGATCCTACTTATAAGTGACAACATGCAGTGTTTAGTCTTTTGTTCCTATGTTAGTTTGCTGAAGATAATGGCTTCCAGCTCCATCCATGTCCCTGAAAAGGACATCATCTCATCCCTTCTTATGGCTGCATAGTATTCCATGGTCAAAACAGTTATTTTAATTTTCCCCAATTATTAAAACATACAAAGTCATTTTTGCATTGGAAAATACAGAAAGAAAAATGCAGTTGTAAAACTTAATATTTTGGGCCAGGTGCGGTGGCTCACGCCTGTAATCCCAGCACTTTGGGAGGCCGAGGCGGGCAGATCACATGAGATCGGGAGCTCAAGACCTGCCTGACCAACATGGTGAAACTCCATCTCTACTAAAAATACAAAAATTAGCCAGGCGTAGTGGCAGGCGCCTGTAATCCCAGCCCTCAGGGGGCTGAGGCAGGAGAATCACTTGAACCTGGGAGGTGGAGGTTGCAGTGAGCTGAGATTGTGCCATTGCACTCCAGCCTGGGTGACAGAGCAAGACTCTGTCTCAAAAAAAAAAAAAAAAACCAAAAAAAAACCTTAATATTTTGTAATATTTTCTTTTGAAATATTTTATTGTCCTTTTTTCTACCATAGTCAAACAAATACAATGTATAAAATGTTTATGTCCTGCTTTTATTACTTCATGTGGCCTGAATATTTTCATATAGTGTTAAAGATACTTTGCAATAATCAGTTTTAATGGCTGCTTAATTTTCTCTCCTGCTGTAGTTTCTTTAGCAATTCTTCTATGGTTGGGCATTTTTCATATTATGAATAGTATGAGCCAGGCATGTTGATACACTCCTGTGGTCCTAGTTACTCGAGAGGCTGAGGTGGGAGAAATGCTTGAGCCAGGAGTGATCATGCCACTGCACTCCAGCCTGGGTGACAGGGCGAGGCCCCATCTTTAAAAAAAAAGAAAAAACTTAAAAATTAAAAACATTAAAAAAAAGTAAAAAAACTTCTTTGGTCATAAAATTTTTTCATATTTCAGGTTATTTCCTGAGTATAGAATACCAGAAGAGGAATTTATAAGTGAAGATCATAAAAATGGCTACCATATATTAAGCACTTATGTATCGGGCATTTTACATATATTTTGGAATTTAATTCTTATAACAATCCTGCAAGATTTGTATTATTATTTCTATTTTTACACATGAAAGAAGGCTCAGAGAATTAAACAACTATTAAGTGGCAGAATTGGGATTCAAATGCAGGTTGATCTGATTCCAATACACATTTTTGATGGTTAATCTTACGTGTCTACTTAGCTGGACCCCGTTGCCCAGATGTTTGGCCAAACATTATTCTGCATTTCTGTGAAAGATTATTCTGGATTCTATTTTTTAGATGAGATTTACATTTGAATTGGTAGACTTTGAGTACAGCATATTGTCTTCCATAATGTGGGTGGGCCTCATTTCATCAGTTGAAGGCCTGACTAGGAAGAAAAGACTGACTTCCTCCAACCAAGAGGCAGTTTTTCAGCAGGAAGCCCTTGGGCTTGAATTGCAACAGCAGCTCTTCACTTGATCTCTTACCTGACAGCACACTTTGGAGATCTTGGACTTGCCACCCTCCATAATTGTGTGAGTCAATCCCTTAAATCTCTTTCTACATATATACACATCCTATCGATTCTGTTTCTCTGGAGAGTCCTGAGTAATAGCACATTCTCTGACTAGAATATTTCTAAAGTTTTTGATAGATATTTTCAAATTGCTTCTCAAAAGGCTTAACAGTGAATATTACCACCAGCAATGTATGAGAGAACATGAATTGACAATTCACAAAGAGAAGAAACACAGTGTATGGGTGTCTGTGTCACCCACGACATTCAACATTCATCTTTTTAAAATTCTACTTATATACTATATAGGAAAGGCAATTTCACTTGAATTCGCATTTCTTTTTCTAACTACAGAAGTTCAGCATTTTTCTAAATTTTTTAACAGTCACTTTTTTCCTATTTTTTCTTTTTTAAGGATTGAGTATATTACAATTAGGTTTCTGGAATTTATTCTGGTGTATGGTACATGTTGAGGATCTGGTTCGATTTCTTTCAAAATGACTAACATACTGGCCTGATGGTTTTTATTGTCTAATCCACCGGGCTTTGGTTTTATCATCTACGAGATGAGAGGGTTGGGCTAGAAGTGCTTCTCAACCCTTACTGTATGTTACAATCACCTGGGGACGCTTTTTGAAAAAAACATAATTGCTTGGCTTTTCTCCAGAGTTTTTGTTTCAGTTGGTCTATGGTGGGATCTGCGAATTATTTTTGTTCTTTTTTGGTCCTTTAGATTTTAATGTGGACCCAGGTTTGAGGAAGCCTGCGCTGCATGACCATCGAGGTCACTCCACCTCTAAAACTCAGATTTGAGGTAAAGCCATCTGTGATGTTGTGAGCTCATTGCTCACCAGGTAGCAACCCCTGATCAGGCTGGTGGTGGTTGGGAAATGTGGGGTAGGGAGGGGAAGATTCCCTTTCTCTCTTCCCCACTCTTTGTATGGACCTCCTGGAGCTTTCTGGTCTTTGAGGTTACACACCTTCTGGCCCAGGTCACAGAGGATAGCTCTGCTCTTCTGCTTGAACTTCTGAGTATAGAACTCAAGAATTCCCCAGACTTGGATTTCTACAAAAACTTTGCCAAAAAGAAATCAGTATCAGAGCAAAGCAGTGTATGTTTCCTCTAAGGCAATCAGGCTCTGGTTTATGGTATATTTTGCTGGTTAACTTTTGTCCTGGACTGTCCTTACCTTTGCAATCCACAGATTGTCCCTGATAGCATTTCTGCTAGCCCTCTCCCTTCACACATCTCAACTGGGATATGGGCTCCTCAGGAGGTGATTCTCAAGCCAGACTGCATGGTAGACCCCATGGGGAGTTTGTTTTTTGTTTTTTTTTGTTTGTTTGTTTGTTTGTTTTTGAGACAGAGTCTCTTGACACAGATCTTGGCTCACCGCAACCTCCGCCTCCTAGGTTCAAGCGATTCTTGTGCCTTAGCCTCCCGAGTAGCTGGGATTACAGGCATATACCACCACACCCGGCTAATTTTTTTGTATTTTTTATTAGGTTAGTGCATAAGTAATTGTAGTCTTGCCATTATTGATAATAGCATTTAGCCATCTCTAATAGTAGAGACAGGGTTTTGCCGTGTTAACCAGGTTGGTCTCAACTCATGGCCTTAAGTGATCCTCCTGCCTTGGTCTCCCAAAGTGTTGGGATTACAGGTGTGAGCCACTGTTTCTGGCCCCATGGGGAGCTTTTAAAAAATGCTGATGCTATGGTCCTACCTCCAGAAATTCTGAATTTGTCTAGCATAGGATAAAAGCACCAGGCAATTCTCATGTGTAGCCAGATTTGATATCCACTGCCCTGGGATGTGGTGGTACAGATTCAGGTTGCAAATAGGGAAAGAAATATTGTTGAGAAAGAAAATTCTTGACAAATTTATTTTTATTTTTATTTTAATAATCAAAGGGAAAGAAAAAAAGAGGTAGATGGCCTCATGCAGATAAACCATACTCAAGGGCCAGAACTACTTTAATGTAGCCTCAAGCAGGAAGCATACTGGGGCCTGAGCTTCATTACAGCCAGACAGGAGCTGGTGGGATGGAGACGGGAAAAGCTAGATTAGCTCAAGTGGCACTCAGGTGGGCCAAAAGGCCTGAAAAATTTGGAGGGCAGTTGGGCAAGTATTGGCAATCTGGAGAGTAAATCCAGCAGGAAGGCATGCATGCAGTAGAAAGTTGCTTTCTGGTTCTGGGCAAACAGTTTATTTAAGGCAATGGCCCAGCTAGTGTTTAGGGACATGAAGATCAGGATACAACCCCCACAAATGAGTCAGAGGAGAGCATGACACTGTGGCTGCATCTGCAGGGAGGGGTGGGGTTAAGAACAGGGCCCTTGCAAAATCATTTCTGGGGAATTTTTTTTTTTCTGATTCTTCTTATTGGAAGGTAAGCTCCCTGAGAGCAGATACACATACTTCTGTTGTCAGCCACTCGATCTCCAGCACATACCACAGTGACAGCTGCACAACAGTAGGTTCTCAAATATTTTGTAATTGGTGGTGGTTTGTTTTTGGCACATCCTAAATCTTTTTTTTTTTTTTTTTCAAGACGGAGTCTCACTCTGTCGCCAGGCTGGAGTGCAGTGGCACAATCTCGGCTCACTGCAACCTCCGCCTCCCGGGTTTAAGTGATTCTCCAGCCTCAGCCTCCCGAGTACCTGGGACTACAGGAGCGAGCCACCACGCCCAGCTAATTTTTGTATTTTTAGTAGAGATGGGGTTTCATCATATTGGCCAGGATGGTCTCGATCTCTTGACCTCGTGATCCCCCCTCCTTGGCCTCCCAAAGTGCTGGGATTACAGGCATGAGCCACTGCACCCCACCAGCACATCCTAAATCTACAAGCAGCAAGGCATGGGCTCAGTCCCCTCTTGCTGGTAAGAGGTGGGTACTAACATCCTCTCCACTCAGATACAGTGGGGTAGGCAGAGGCTGACAGGAGGGCCTGTTGATTGCTGTGCTGGGAGGAGAAGGGTCTTGAATGGCAGGACTATTTCTGCCAGGTTACTTCCCGCAGACTGCCTTAATCACTCCTCATTCCCCTGGCACTGCCCCCACCAGACCCCCCACATCTGCCTGTGAGGCAAAGCCCCAGAAGAGAGTTCCTGAAAGGAAAATGCCTGGGGCTACCAGTTTTGACATTCAAAAAGAAGTCAGCAGACCTTAAAAAGGGCAGGTTTTTCCTTCAAACACACATTAAAAGCTAACCTACTGCCTTTGTAACAGTTTGCGTCTTGCCAAACGCTTCAAGGATTGCTTTTCCAACTTGGAAGAGGATTTCCTCAACTTTAGAAAAGCTGGAATGAGCTATTGCCAAGGCAACCAGTAGAATCCATAATATTTGGCCTCCTCCACTTTAGCATGCCCAAGTCGATTGGAGGGGTCCGCGGGAGGAGGGAATGAGCCCTTCCAAGCGGCTGATCTCTGCTGCCACTTTCCCCAGCTCTTCAGGTAAATGCAGTTTATTATATCTGACAGCTGGCTCTGCAGCTGTGGTGCAGGCAAGCCATCTCATCTTTCATCTCATGGTCTGAGACTGCTCCCTTATTAAATACACTTACTGAGTTGGAGAAATGGAGTTTTAAAGCAGCCTTTCCAGGAAGTTCAGAGAAATCAATCTTTCCCAACACACCTCTTCCTGGATAATGGCAAGTGCCTATTAGCTGGTCTGCCTGTTTCCATTCTCACTGTCCTACAGGCCAGGCCTTTCACAATTCAGCCAGAGGGATCTTCTTAAAATGACAGTCATGCCATGTCACTCCCCGACTTCATTTCCTCTAGTATTTTTTTTCCTCCTCATTTGAATCAGGATAAACTCCAAGCTCCTTCTGAGGGAGGCTCAGGAGGTCCTGTGACCTCAGGCCTACCTGGTCAGCCAGCCACAGCTCACAGAACTCACCTCTCTACTGGCCTAATCACAACATTCTTTTCTGTCACTTGTAGCCTTCGCTGGACCATTTCATCCATTTCTTCACAGATCCATCAATCCGAGTGCTGGTGATGCTGTCATGATGAGCACATCGCGTTCTCTAAAGAGATTAACTCTTAAGTGAATTCTCAGTTACTGAAGTGGCCTCCTTGTCTGGGGTGATAACCGAGGTTCATTGTCTCACCGTCCTGGAGATCAAGGATGTGGACACACAAAGAGTAAGGTTAAGAGCAGAAATTTAATAGGTGAAAGAAAGAGAATACCTCTCTGCTACAGAGAGGGGTCTTGGAAAAATGCGTTGTTGATCTGTGGTGAAATGCAGATGTTTTTATAGATAAGCTAGTGAGGAGGTGGTAACTGATCTATATACAGTGTGAAAACCAGGTTAGGACCAGGTGTGCCATCTGCATAGGGTGTGAATTTCTGGAAGCTCTCACCCCAATCTTTTATTATGCAGGTGGGTTCTCTGCCTGAGCTTCTCCATATTGCCCAGTTCTTTCTTACCATACATGTGCTAACAAAAAAGGGAAGGTGGGAGCTTCCAAGGTGTACATGCCTGGCCCTAAGTAGACCCTTTCTATTGGCGCAGCCTCCGGTATTCCCCCATGCAAGCTTCCAGCTTCCTTATCTATGTTTGCAGCTTGATCTTCAGGCTGCTCTTGGTTAGAAAAGAAATGATTTCTTGGGCTGCTTTTTGTTAGAAGGGAAGTTCTGCTGAGGACTCTCTTGCCCCTAGGATCTGCCTAAGTAATTTCTATCTTCCGTCTGTATCATTACTTTATGGGAAAATCCAACATTAACAGATATGCTCTAGTCTATAAGATGGGGTGAAAACCTGACCTCATGATGAGATCATTTGGCATTGGGAAAGATGAGAAAAGAAAATGGGAAGGGAAAATGGGAGGCTTGCGGGGAGGAAACTGTGGAAACTGTAGAAACTGGTGGCACAAAAGATAAAAGGGGAGTTACTGAAATAATACTGCTTTAAGATTTATTCATTATGGCCAGGCATGGTGGCTCATGCCTATAATCCCAGCACTTTGGGAGGCCAAGGCGGGCGGATCACGAGGTCAGGAGTTCGAGACCAGTCTGGCCAACATGGTGAAACACCATCTCTACTGAAAATACAAAAATTAGCTGGGTGTGGTGGTGGATGCCTATAATCCTAGCTACTTGGGAGGCTGAGGAAGGAGAATCGCTTGAACCCAGGAAGTGGAGGTTGCAGTGAGCCACGATCACACTACTGTACTCCAGCCGGGGCAACAGAGTGAGACTCCATCTCAAATAAAAAAAAAAAAGATTTATTCATTATTTGTGGAATGGTATAATATTCTGGGTCGACTGTGATGAGTTAAAGAGCCATATTATAATCTCCAGAGCACCCACTTTAATATATACAACAATGAAATATTGATAAAAAAAATCAACAGAGGAAATAATTTGAAATACAAAAAAAAGTCTATATTAGTTTAACATTTTAAAAAACAGAAAAGGAAGAAAAAGAACACATGGGAAATAGGGAAACAAAATCAACATGGTAGATGTATTAGTCAGTGTTCTTTAGAGAAACAGAACCAATAGAATATATAGAGACATATAAGAGGAGATGTATCATTGGAATCCATTCACATAAAGGGAGGCTGAGAAGTCTCATGATATGCCGTCAGCAAGTTGGAGAACTAGGAAAGCTGATGCCGTAATTGAGGGGAGCCAATGGTGTAACTTTCACTCCAAGGCCTGAGCACTGGAAGGTGGGGTGTAGGGGAGAAAGTAGGAATGCTGGTGTAAGTCCCAGAGTCCAAAGTTCCGAGAACTAGGAACTCTGATGTCCAAGGGCAGGAGAAAATGGATGTCTAGCTCAAGAAGAGAGCAAATTCTCCCTTTCTCCTCCTTTTTGTTTTATTTGGACAAGTCCTTAATGGTTTGGATGATAGCTGCCCACACTGTTGAGGGAGATCTTCTTTATGTAATCTACCAACTCAAATGCTAATCTCTTCTGGAAACACCCTCACAGACACAGTAGTAATGTTTTACCAGCTATCTGGGCATCCACTAACCTAGTCAAATTAACACATGAAATTAGTCATTTCATTAGACATGAATACAATCATATCAATGATTGTGTTCTGACATAAATTACCACGAACTAGGTGGCTTAAAACAACATAATTTATTCTCTTATAGTTTAGGCTGCCAGAGTACAAAATTAAGGTGTTGGGCAGCATTAATTCCTTCTGGAGGCTCTGAGGGAGAATCTGTTTCATACCTCTAGCTTCTGGTGATTACCAGCAATTCTTAGTATTCCTTGGCTTGTAGCTACATCATTTTAGTCCTTGCCTTTGGGTTTACACAGCCTTCTTATATCTGTGTATCTTTGTGTATCCTTTCCTCTTCTTATAATTGGATTAGATTTAGGGTCTGTTCTAATCTAGGATGACCTCATCTTAACTAATATTTGCAAAAACCAATTTTCAAATAAGGTCACATTCTGAGGTTCTGGGAAAACATAAATTTTGAGGGTACATTATTCAGTCCACTACAAACATTAATGGATTAAACACTTTAATTAGGCTGGGCATGGTGACTCAGGCCTGTAATCCCAGCATTTTGGGAGGCTGAGGTGGGCGGATCATGAGGTCAGGAGATGGAGACCATCCTGGCCAACATGGTGAAACCCCATCTCTACTAAAAATACAAAATTTAGCTGGTCGTAGCAGCGCGTGCCTGTAATCCCAGCTACTCGGGAGGCTGAGGCAGGGGAATCGATTGAACCTGGGAGGCGGAGGTTGCAGTGAGCCGAGGTCGCACCACTGAACTACAGCCTGGTGACAGAGTGAGACTCTGTCTCAAACAAAACAAAACAAAACAAAAACCACACTTTAATTAAAAGGGAGAGATTATGAGGTTTTTTTTTTTAAAGCAAGACATCTATATGCTGCTTTTAAGAGATATACTTTAAATATAAAAACACAGATAAGTTAAAAGTAAAAGAATGGTTAAAAAGGTCTACCATGCAAATTAGTGTGACTATAATAATGTCAAGAAAGTAGATTTCAAGATAAAGAACATGACTAGAACTGAAGAGGCACATTCCATAATGGTAAGAGTCAAGACACAAAAATACTAAAAGTGTATGTACCTAATAACAAAGCTCCAAAATATGTAAAATAAAAATAGATGGAATTAGAGAAAACAGACAAATTCATATTTATATTTGGAGATTTCAGCATCTCTCTGTTAGCAAATACTAGAAATAGCAAAAATCAGTAATGATATGGAAGATTGGAACAACAGTATCAACCAACTTGTCCTAATTATTATTTATAGGACATTATACTTAACAACTATAAAATACAAATTCTTTTCAAGTGCACCTGGGACATTTACAAAGATAGAGCTGGGCCATAACACAAGTCTCTGTTTTTAATATAAATTTTTTGATGACTAATAAGATTTAACAGTTTTTCTTAGTATACCTTTGACTGTTATCTGGGAAATTGTGTTTTTGTGTCCTTTTTCCAGGCATCTATCAGGTTAAAACTGAATTAGCCATTTGACTCATCACTCAGTCTATCTGGACCCTAACTCTTCTTTCCATAAAATGTTTGATCATTCATTCATTTGTGCACCTACCAAATATTCATTGATGTTTTGTGTGTCAGGCATTGTTCTAGATGCTGGAAATATAACAGTGAGCAAAATATAAAAATCCTTGTTCTCATGGAACTGACCTTCTGTTGGGAAGAATAATACTGCCTACCTCACAAGGTGGTGTAATCCATGGAAAAGAAAGCATGTTTACACTATGGAGTAAAAAGATAAGTGGTTATGACTGTTATTATTTTACACCTCCAACAATTGTGTGGTCAGAAGACACTAAACTATCCCCTGTACCTCCTCATAGCAACCCCCATGGCCTTGCTTTGGACCTTATATGACTGATTCCTTTGAGCTAAAGCATTTTATCTAAGAACACTAACACAATTTATTATAATTCCTGGTTTACAAAGTGACCCAGTCACCTAACAGGGCCCTGAAGGAACAAGGTACTGCTCAAGTTTTGTACTGATGTTGTAAAAAGGGTCAGAAAAGGCAAGAACATGGAAATTACCAATGAGGACCAAGGTGAGAAGTGAGGCAACACCAGTGTCCTGTGCTGGGAACTGATTGGAGAGCAGAAAAGAAGACAGGCATCTTTATCCTAAAAACTAAAAACCTCCACTGGAGTCTCCAGTCAGCTTGCAAGCTTGACAGAGGTGGGAAACAAGACAGAATCAGAAATATTGCTCCATTTCCAGCACCAACCACAGTGCCTAGCCCAGAGCAATATTTGAGGCATTTAATAGCCTCTACTCCAGATATTATAGTTCAGATTTAGCAGAAATCTTCATGGGTTGTTTATGTGGGGAGATCTTCATGGAGAAGGTGGGGCTGACCTAGGCTTCAAGGGTGGTGGGAATTGGGAGGATGAAGCTTCCCTAGGAGGGACTGATGAAAAATCTTTGAGCAGGTAGGTCAGGGAGTGGCATCAGTGGTGCAGTGGAGTGTATGTGCAGTCCTTAAGTCTTGGAGATTTGGTGAGGAGGTGGGGCAGGGACAGGCTGAATGTCATGAATAGCAGAAGCATCATGGGCAGAGTCTCTGAGAGCAGGTTTGGGACCAGTGGAAGTAGAGCCAATTAGGGGGAGTATTGTGACACAAAATTTTTATTATTATGCAACATTGCTGGCCTGGGCTCACTCTTGTCAGTCTTGGTGAAATTTCCTGAATCAGAGTGTTCTGCCTCCCACATACAGCCTGAAGTCTGGAGGGACTTCCTCATTTTGCAAAGGGATAATAAACTCTTTACAGAGTTTGGCTTTAAACTCTTAGCTTGGGTGTATTTTCTTTTTTCGGTTCAATTAGCTAAATCTACCTAGTATAAGAGCAAGAAATTATAGTAAACTATTGTAGTAAACTCAGGATCATTCAAACAAGGGCTTGGCATGAGATTCTGGGAACTTGCTTGGAGCAACAGGAAGAGACAGGGCTTGCATTCGGATATGTAAGCATAGACTTGGCAGGAATATCTGAATTTATCAGGGCTCCACAATTTCAGCAGCACCTCAGTTTTCCTAAGCAGATAAGATTGGGAGGGCCCAAGTAAAAATACAGATTGGAGCAGGAGCTTCAATGGGTATTGAATCAACTCCACCTTTTACTTCCCAACAGCAGGTGTTGGGTGGGGCTAACCAGGGGTGAGCCTTGATTGACCCAAGACAATTGGTTTCATCTCCTCTTCTTAGCCACATAGATTAGCTCATGAGTGAGCAGGTGATTCAAACAAAGTAAAGCCCAGGACTTTGTTTCAGTGGTTGGGGGATAGCGTGGGTGTGAGTATTAGTCTGGACACTGCTGCAGTTATTTTACTCTAATGACAGGCGCCATCCAAAGGTGAGGCCGCTGCTAGAAGAGGGCAGATTCAAAAGACTTGAGAAAAAATGGAGTCAGAACCTGATCAAACCACAGGTAAAGTCTACCCTACCTTTGGTATTTACAGTTGTATGAGCCAATAATTTTTATCCATTGTTTAAACTAATTTATCTTGCTTCTTCTCTTGCTTATCTGGGAGTTTCCCTTATATTAAACAAACACTTATAGTAGTTTAGGGTGTAAAATTCCAAGCTCCCTTTATTCTCTGTTTTTGTTTTTGCTTTTTTGCTGAGACAGGGTCTCACTCTGTCATCCAGGCTGGAGTGCAGTGGCTCAATCACAACTCACTGCAGCCTCAACTTTCCCGACTCAAACGAACTTCCCCACTCAGCCTTCCAAGTAGCTGGGACTACAGGCACACACCACCACACTGGCTAATTCTATTTTTGTAGAGATGGGGGTCTCACTCTGTTCCGTAGGCTGGTCTTGAACTCTGGGGCTCAGGTGATCCTCTTGCTTTGGCCTCCTAAAGTTCTGGGATTATAGGCAGGAGCCCCTGCACCCAGCCTAGTCCCTCTTTCAGTCTCACTTTTCAGAGTTAACCACTGCTAACTGATCCATATGTGTCCCCCCTCTCAATTTCCTGTGCATTTTGTTGCTCTATATTATAAATTACATCCTCATTATATTTCAGAAATTGCAGCACATCCTTCTCCCTCCACACATTTATAACTAATGCAAGGATACCCGTTGCTCATAATCCCACCTTATTCTACCTCTTTCAATCGAGGATTTGTAATCTGGTAAAGGTGCATTCCTATGTTTTTCAAAGCTGTCTCATAAAATAAAATTCTCATAAAAGTTATCCTGCAAAAGGAATGGTACTCTTATCAGACAGGATTGAAAAAAAAATCACAGTAAAGAAAACTGCATATCTGGATCCAGATAATCAGTCTTTCTGGAAAATGACAGAACCAAGCTATCCTTAAAAGTATATTCCTTTTTAGGATCAAGCATTTGATAAGAAAATAAATTCCCAAAGTCTCAGTCACACAGGAGGTAGAACTAATTAACCCTTGAGACGCAGGAATTGAGTGTATGGGGGGATGTCAGAGGATTAGATTTTTTTGAGGGGCTCAATTCAGTTAAGTTCCATTCATCATTATAAACACGTGCATCAGGGATACTCAAAGAACTCAAATTTTTGTTGTTGTTTTAGTGAGAAAAATTGGTACTCAAAAGTTGCCAGCCACCTCTCTCTATTAGTAGAGATATGTCACTTTGGGAAGAACCATGAAATACTGTGTTCAAATTACGCAGTTATAAATTATGTTAGGTAAAGAGCAAAACTTTCTTTTTATCTTGACAAAGGTTGTCCCTGAAAGAATCTAGGGAGAGGGAGAATTTGCATATGGGCCAAGGAGCCCTCTCTCCCATCATACAATTCATGCCTTAAAAGGGTAAGATTTAGTGGTCTTTTGTATATTTACAGAATTGTGCAACTATCACCACTATCGAATTTTAAAATATTTTTAATACCCTGCAAAGAAACTGTACCCATTAGCAGTCACTCCTCATTCTCCTCACCCTAGCATCAGGAAATAACCTTTCTGTCTATAGACCTACCTATTCTGGACATTTCATATAAATGGAATCATACAACTTTTGTTTACTCGCTTCTATCTCTTAGTATAGAAGGTTCATTCATGTTGTAGCATGAATCGGTGCTTCATTTCTTTTTTTCATAATCATCGTTTTGCTTTTATTCAGTTTCATTAATCAAGTATGAATCCCTGAACAATATACTTTTCTTTTGCCTGTTTTTTAAACTTCTGGTAATATACATGTAACATAAAATTTAAGTGCATTCACATTATTCTGCAATCATCGCCACTATCCATCTTCAAAACTTTTTCATCATCACATACTGAAACCCTGTACCCATTTAACAATAACATCCCATTCACCCTCCACCCCTACCAGCCTCTGGTAACCACTGTTCTAATTTCTGAATCAGTGTATTAAACTATTCTTGTTACTTTCTACAAGTGAAATCATACAATATTTGTTCTTTTGTGTTTGGCTTATTTAGCATAATGTCTTCAAGGTTGATCCATGTTGTAGCATGTATCAGAGTTTCCCATTGTGTGTGTATATACCACACTTTGTTTATTCATTCATCCTTTGATGAACATTTAGGTTGCTTCCACTTTTTGACTATTGTGAATAATTCTGTTCAGCTATGAACACTGATGTACAAGTATCTGTTTGAGTCCCTCCTTTCAATTTTCTTGACAGTATATATAGTAATGGAATTTTTGGATCATATGGAAATTCTATGCTTAATTCTTTGAGGAATCATCAGACTGTTTTCCATAGCTGCTGTACCATTTTACATTCCTACCAAAGACGCACCAGGGATCCAGTTTCTGCACGTCCTCACCGATATTAGCTATTTTCTGACTTTTTGATAGCCATCCTAATGGGTGCCAAGTAGTATTTCATTGTGGTTTTGATTTACATTTCTCTAATGATTAATGATATTGAGCATCTTTTCGTGTGCTTTTTGGCCATTTGTATATCTTTTTTGGAGAAATGTCTATTCAAGTCCCTTTTCCATTTTTAAATAGTTTCTGTTGTTGCTGTTGAGTTGTAGGAGTTCTTTATATATTCTGGATGTTAATCTCTTTTTAGATGTGTAATGTGCAAACATTTTCCTCACATTCTCTGGGTTGCCTTTTTGCTCTGTGATAGTGTACTTTGATGCACAAATGTTTTAAATTTTGATGAAGTCCAATTTGTGTATTTTTTCTTTTGTTGATTGTGTCTTTGGTATCATATCCAAGAAATAATTGCCAAATGCAATGTCATAAAGATTTCTTTTGTTTTCCTCCCAGAGTTTTACAACTTAGGTCTTACTTTTAGGTCTTTGGTTCATTTTGAGTTAATTTTTATATATGGTGTTAAGTAAGGGTCCAACTTTATCCTTTTGTATAGGATACCTGGTTTTCTTTTTCTTAGTATAATTTGTTGCAAAGACTGTCTTGTTCCCGTTGAATGGTTTTGGCACTTTTCTTATTGAAAATCACTTGACCATATATATGAAGGTTTATTTCTGGGCCTCTATTCAATTCCTTTGGTCTATATGTCTCTTTATGCCAGTGCCATGCTGTTTTGATTTTTGTAGCTTTGTAATAAAATTTGAAATCATTAAGTGAGTCATTCAATTTTGTTCTTCTTTTTCAAGATTGTTTTGGCTATTCAGGGTCCTATGAGGTTCCCTATAAATTTTAGGATGGAGTTTTCTATTTCTGCAGAAAAGGTTGTTGGGGCCAGGTATGGTGGCTCATGCCTGTAATCCCAGCACTTTCGGAGACCAAAGTGGGTGGATTGCTTGAGCCTAGGAGTTTGAGATCAGCCTGGGAAACACAGCAAGACTCTGCCTTTACCAAAAAAAGTACAAAAATTAGCTGGGCCTGGTGCCACATGGCTGTGGTCCCAGCTACTGGGGATGCTGAGGTGGCAGGATCCCTTGAGTTCAGGAAGTGGAGGCCGCAGTGAGCTGAGATCATTCTGCTACACCCTAGTTTGGGGGTCAGAGAAGCCCCTATCTAAAACAAATAAGTTATTGGAATTTTGTGGGAATTACATTGACTTGTAGATTGCTTTGGCTAACTAATATTGTCATTTAAATAATATTAAGTCTTCTAATCCATGAACATGGAATATCTTTCTATTTATGTCTTCTTTAATTTCTTTCAGCAGTGTTTCATAATTTTCAGTATATGTCTTTCATCTCCTTGGTTAATTCCTGAGTATTTCATTCTTTTTGATGTTATTATAAATGAAATTTTCTTAATTTCTATATCAGATTGTTCACTGCTAGTGAGTTGAAATGCAACTAATTTTTATGTGTTGATTTTTTATCCTAATACTTTGCTGAATTTATTATTTGTGACAGTTTTCTTGAGTGTGGAATCTTTAGGGTTGTCTACATACACAATCATGTAATCTGTGAACAGAGATAATTTTATTCTTTCTTTTTGACTTGGATACCTTTTATTTCTTTTGCCGAATTTCTATTTTTGCCTACCTATATTGTCTGATTGTTCTATCTAGAGATCCTAATACAATGTTGAATAGAAGTGGGGAAAACTGGCATTTCTGTCTTATTCCTGATTTGAAGAGTAAAGTTTTCAGTCTTTTGTGATTGAGTGTGGTGTCAACTGTGTGTTAATTTTTCAAATGACTTATGTTAAAGTTGAAGGAAGTTCCTTCTATTTCTAGTTTGTTGAATATTTTTATTATAAAAAGATGTTTAATTGTGTCAGATGATTTTGCTGCATCAATTGAGATGATCATTGGGTTTTATCCCTTTATTTTTTATTTATTTATTTTTGAGATGGAGTCTCGCTCTGTCGCCCAGGCTGGAGTGCAGTGGCGCAGTCTCGGCTCACTACAATCTCCACCTCCCTGGTTCACGCCATTCTCCTGCCTCAGCCTCCTGAGTAGCTGGGACTACAGGCGCCCACCACCACAACCGGCTAATTTTTTATATTTTTTAGTAGAGACGGGGTTTCACCGCATTAGCCAGGATGGTCTCGATCTCCTGACCTCGTGATCTGCCTGCCTTGGCCTCCCAAAGTGCTGGGATTACAGGCGTGAGCCCCCTCGCCCACCCCCCGATCCCTTTATTTTGTTAATGTGGTGTACTATAGTGATTCATTTTGGTATGCTGGAATCATCTGTGCATTCTAGGAATAAATCCTTCTTGGTCATAGTGTATAATCCTTTTAATATGCAGATGAATTCAGTTTCCTAGTATTTTTTAAAGGATTTTTTCATCCGTATTCATAAGGGATATTGGTTTGTACTTTTTTTTTCCTTGTAGCATCTTTGTCTGGTTTTGGTATTTAGGCAATATTGGCCTCATAGGAAGAGTTAGGAAGTGTTCCAATTTCAATTTTTTGAAAAAGTTTGAAAAAGATAGGTGTTAATTTTTCTTTAAATGTGATAGAAATCACTGATGAAGCCATATGCTTTGCTTTTCTGGGAGTTTTTTAAATTACTAATTCAATCTCCTTATTAGTTATAGATCTATTTATATTTTCCATTTCTTCATGATCTATTCTAGGTAGGTTTTGTTTCTAGGAATTGGTCCATTTCATCTAAGTTACCCAATGTATTGGGGCCTAATTGTTCATAGTATTCCTTAAAATCCTTTTTATTTCTGTAGAATTAGTAGTAATGTCTTTGCTTTCATTTCTGATTTTAGTAATTTGAGTTGTCTTTTTTCTTAGTCTAGGAAAAGATTTGTCAATTTTGTTTATCTTTTCAGAGAAAACTTTTTATTTTATTGGCGTTCTCTATTGTTTTTCCAGTCTCCATTTCATTTCTTTCTTCTTTAATCTTTATTATTCCCATCCTTCTACTTGTTTTAAGCTTAATCTCCTCTTTTTTCTCATTTTTTTAAAGGCATAATTATTTCTCTCCTCAATTCTGTCAGTTTTTGCTTCATGTGTTTAGGGCTCGGTTTTTAGGTCCATATATATTTACAGTTGTTATTTATTCCTGATGAATTGACACTTTAATCATTATAAAAAGTTCTTCTTTATCTTTAATAACAATTTTTTGTCATAAAGTCTTTTCTGTCTGCTATTAGGATAGCCACTTTAGCTCTCTTTTGGTTACTATTTGCATAGTATATCTTTTTGGATTCTTTTAAACTACTCGTGTCTTTGAATAAAAAATATGTCTCATAGACAGCGTATAGTTGGGTTAAAAAATCTATCCTGCCAATTTCTGCCTCATGATTGGACTGTTTATTTGCACTTAATGTAATTATGATATGGTCAGTTTACATCTGTCATTTTGTTGTTTTCTCTTATGTATATTTTTTGTTCCTCTATTCCTTCATTATTTCTTTGTTAACATTAAATCTCTATTTTATAGAATACAGTTTCAATTTCCATTGTTTCTTTAAACACATATTTTTAGTTCTTTTACTATATATTTTAGTTTAGTATATATTTTCTTAATGGCTACGCTGGAAATTACAGTCAACATCTTAACTTATAAAAATCTAGCTTGGACTAATACCAACTTAATTTCAGTAATTTAAAGAAGTTTGCTCCAATATAACTCTACACCGTCTCCTCTACTTCATGTTGTTACTGATATACAAATTACATTATATATATATAATGTATCAATGCAGTTTATATTTTTAAAAATAATTATTTCAGTTATCTTTTAAAATATATAGAAGAAAAAGAATTAGAAGCAAAAATACATTTAAATCATCCTTTAAATTTACTCCACTCCAAGATGCCACTTACACTAGATTGCCTCTGACCCAGTTATTTGGGCACTGTGTGTGTGTGTGTGTGCGTGTGCACCTATAGAGCTGTAAACTGAAAGATTTACTTCACTAAAGAACCACGACTATGGGATCCCCAGAAAACTTTGACAAAGGTAACTAATATCTGTTGGTGATCATAGAAGTTTATCTAGTTCAGCTCTAATAGTGAAATGAAAGCAACCAGGACCAGTTCCTAGATCTAACATATGATGATAATGTGCCCAGCATCAATAGCAGTAGTGATGGTAGACAGAGGTATCTTGAGGCTGTTGAGCTTTCAGTGGTGATGCCAACCTCTCAACTTTGGCAGCTTTAACTGTGGTATGAAGGTCTGTTCTGGACCACCCAGTGCTCAAAGAGCAACTGGGACTGATCTGTTGGACCTAATCATTCCCTAAATAAGAAACACTGGGAGAGTCAGCATTATATGAATTTAAATATTAAGATAAGTGGCTTTCTTTTAAATCATAACTAGTGAGCAGAAATGTCAATAAATTTAAGCGACACATTTTAGTAATAGCCCTGCCAGTGAAAAGTAAGTGAATAAACAAACAATAATATTATTTAATAGATTATTTCTCTCCCTTCCAGCGCATTTGCTTGATGAGATTTATAAAGTCTAGAAGCTCCTGAAGAGTGGGCCAACACCTTATGCACCTGCAAGAGAACTCAAAATAATCATAGCAGCTCACACTTACTTTTACCCTGTGCCAGGCACTGTGCTTCTCAGAGTGTGAGCTGTGGATCATTGCTGGTCCATGATCTGTTTGTTAATGATCCATGACAATAAGTACACAAATTGAGAATAAACATTTAAACATTTTTATAGCAATTTGACATTGCTGCAACTTGAAGGTAGTTGATCATTTTCACTGAGCTTTACAAAAATGTCAGTCCAAGTTTGAAAAAACAAAAACCAATAAACAAAAACTAATCCTTTTGTTTGGATAGCTTGAAAAGTACTGTTCTATAATATTATTATTTTTTCCACTTTACAGATGAAGAAACAAACTTAGATTAATTACTTGCCCCGGGATACAGTTAACAAGTAGGTGCTGGAATTTAAACCCAGGTGACCTGACTTCGAGTCTATGGTCTCAGGGACCATACTGTGAGCAGTAAGAAGCAGCTCCTTACCCCATTGGCAGACATTTGGCCTGTGGTTGTGGCAGCAGCAGCTTTTAGCAGAGCCCTTCCATTTAAATGACTCTGTCCTTGAGCTGACCTGTCATTGGTCAGGAGGTGAGCACGGGGTGGCTG